>NW_017852933.1:0-321185 GCF_000001405.40 Homo sapiens | reverse complement strand
GTTTTCACCACGTTGCCCAGGCTGGTCTTGAACCCCTGAACGCAAGCAATCTGCCCACCTTCAGCCTCCCAAAGTGTTGAGATTACAGGTGTGAGCCACTGCACCCGACATTTAAGAATGGTTAAGCAGGCCGGGGGCAGTGGCTCACGCCTGTAATCCCAGCACTTTGGGAGGCTGAGGTGGGTGGATCACCTGAGGTCAGGAGTTCGAGACCAGCCTGGCCAACCGACATGGTGAAACCCCCGTCTCTACTAAAAAAAAATAAATAAATAAATTAGCGGGATGTGGTGGTGCATGCCTGTAATCCCAGTTACTCGGGAGGCTGAGGCAGGAGAATCACTTGAACCTGAGAGGCAGAGGTTGTAGTGAGCGACATCACACCACTGCACTCCAGCCTGGGCAGCAGAGCAAGACTCCTTCTCAAAAAAAATAAAAAGTTAAAAAAAGAATGGTTAAACAAATGAGTGTCTTAGGTCAGTTGTATTATTTGAAATCTGTGGGTTCCTCAAGCGTAAAGTTGAGAAGGTTTTGGGAACCACTGGATGCCTCTGGTTTTTTTCATATGAAGAAACAGGGGTGGTGGCTTCTTAGAACAAAGGGATATCTGACCTATGGAGGTGGCCCTCTTTACTCCTCTTCCCTAAAAAAATGACCTATCATTGCCAATAGCTAAAGTCTGTCATTTTTTCCACCTTAGTTTGGAAGATAATCTTCTAGTATCAATCAAGACAGAGATCAGAATGATGTGTTTTAAAATTAAATGTGTAATTCATAATTGTACATTTTAATATTCTAAAGTGACATTGATTAATTTGACATTGGAGTCAAATAGATTGATTAATTCAACAAAGAAGAGAAGGCGTTCAAGTCAACAGAAAACAAGTAGATTTTACTTCTCCACTCGGGGTATTAGGACATTAATTGTGTAATTGGTCTTACTTGTTTAGTAGTAGATCTATATTGAGTGTCTTACTGTGCCCAAACTTAGGATCTTTCTATATTTCTAAAAGGATGAAACTGTATAATAAAAACACCTTCCAATTTTGGTAGATTGTAGACAGATCAGAGTATTCAAAAGTACACACATCTTCTCTATTGTGAAAGACCAAAAAATGGAAATGTGTTGTGAAATTAGAAAAGCTGTATACTAGTATGTCTGATGTTGTGAGAAGCTGGATTTTTGAAACCAGAGTTGTCTATTCAGCCTTTTATCAGTCTGTACTAAGTTTGATGTCCATAGGTACATAATATAGGGAGATACATAAAGGATAAAATTAAGTGAAGTTACATATTTTATACCTATTAGGTAGGTGCAAAAGTAATTGCGGTTTTGGCAAAAACCGCAGTTACTTCCACACCAGTCTAATATTAAATGGAACTAGAGTCAAATAGAATTTAGCGATTGCCAGTTCTGTTCCACAGATTTCAAAGTACACTAAGGAAAATTTCAGCAAATTGTGTATGGCTGTTTTACTTGGGGGAGAGTAAAACAGCCATAATAAACTAAAAAATAAAAATTAAAACTAAAGGAACATTTGTTTTTATGTTTTTCTTTTCTTTTCTTTCCTCTTTTTTGAGATATGCTCTTGCTCTGTTGCCCAGGCTGGAGTGCAGTGGTGCAATCACTGCTCACTGCAGCCTTGACTTCCTGGGCTCTGGGAATCCTCCCGCCTTAGCCTCCTGAGTAGCTGGGACCACAGGTGCATACCACCACACCTGGCTAATTTATTTTTCCTCTCTCTCTCTCTTTTTTTTTTGAGACAGAGCTTTACTTTGTCGCCCAGGCTGGAGTATAGTGGCACAATCTCAGCTCACTTGCAACCTCCGCCTCCTGGTTCAAGTGATTCTCCTGTCTCAGCCTCCCAAGTAGCTGGGAATACAGGTGCATGCCACTATGCCCGGCTAATTTTTGTGTTTTTAGTGGAGATGGGATTTCACCATGTTGGCCAGGCTGGTCTTGAACTGCTGACCTCAGGTGATCCACCCGCTTCGGCCTCCCAAAGTGCTGGGATTACAGGCGTGAGCCACCACGCCTGGCTTCCTCTCTCTTTTTCTGAAACAGAGTCTCGCTCCATTGCCCAGGTTGGAGTGCAGTGGAACCATCTCAGCTCACTGCAGCCTCCACCTCCCAGGCTCAATAAGTCCTCCTACCTCACCCTCCCAATAGCTGGGACCACAGGTGCATGTTACCACCCCCAGCTACTTTATTTTTTTTTTGTTTTCTGTAGAGACGGGGTTTTGCCATGCTGCCTGGGCTGGTCTTGAATACCTAGGCTCAAGTGATCCTTCCTCCTTGGCCTCCCAAAGTGCCAGGATTACAGGTGTGACCCACCATGCTTGGCACGCTAATTTTTTATTTTTACTTTTTTGTAGAGATGGGGCCTCCCCATGTTGCCCATGCTGGTGTCAAACTCCTACTCCATTATGAAATAAGTCATTCCTTATGAAACACTTAGTAATTGTATCTTTAAGTTGAACCTTCCCCTCACCCCAACTTTTTTTTTTTTTTTTTTTTTTTTTTTTTTTTTTTTTTTTTTTTTTTTTTTGAGACAGAGTTTTGCTCTTGTTGTCCAGGCTGGAGCGCAATGGTGCAATCTCGGCTCACTGCATCCTCCGCCTCCCAGGTACAAGCTGTTTTCCTGTCTCAGCCTCCCAAGTAGATCAGATTACAGGCATGTGCCACCACACCCGGCTAATTTTTTTATATTTAGTAAAGATGGGGTTTCACCATGTTAGGCTGGTCGTGAACTCCTGACCTCAGGTGATCCACCTGCCTCGGCCTCCCAAAGTGCTGGGATTACAGGTGTGTGCCACTGCACCCCGCCTTTTTTTTTAAAGACATAGTTTCACTCTGTCTCCCAGGGTGGAGTGCAGTGGCACAATCTTGGCTCAGTACAACCTCCACCTCCTGGGTTCAAGTGATTCATGTGCCTCTGCCTCCCGAGTAGCTGGGACTACAGGCGCATGTCACCAGGCCCGTCTAATTTTTGTATTAGAGACAGGGTTTCGCCATGTTGGCCAGGCTGGTCTCGAACTCCTGACCTCGAGTTCCCACCTTGGCTTCTCAAAGTGCTGGGATTACAGAAGTGAGACACCGTGCCTGGACCCGCCAACCCATTTTGTTTTGATTCCTTTATAAATTAGTATAATGGAAGGTTTTTTTGTTTGTTTTTTATAACAGGTAATGAAATACTCTAATTCAGTAAATATTGATGCTTCTGGGGAGATGTGTGTGTGTGTGTGTGTGTATGTGTGTGTGTGTGTGTGTGTGTATGTATATAATAAATTTTTTTTTTTTTTTTTAGGATGGAGTGTCACTCTGTCGCCCAGGCTAGAGTGCAGTGGTGCAATCTCGGCTCACTGCCAGCTCCACCTCCTGGGTTCACGCCATTCTCCTGCCTCAGCCTCCCGAGTAGCTGGGATTGCAGGTGCCCGCCACCACGCCTGGCTAATTTTTTGTATTTTTAGTAGAGATAGGGTTTCACCGTGTTAGCCAGGATGGTCTCGATCTCCTGACCTCGTGATCCGCCCGCCTCGGCCTCCCAAAGTGCTGGGATTACAGGTGAGAGCCACTGTGCCCGGCGAAGCAGCGTCTCTTTTTAAGGTTGTAAGGTAGCTTGGGTTAGAAATAAAGGCAGAGAGCCACTCCATACCTGTAGTTCTAGCTACTGGGGAGGCTAAGACCAGAGGAATCTCTTGAGCCCAGGAGTTCAAGGCTGCAGTGAGCTGTAATCACACACTGCACTACAACGTGGGCAACATAGAGTGAGACCTAATAAATAAATAAATAAATAAATAAACAAATAAATGCAAGGAGAAAGTCAGGAACTTGGTGCATTTAGGTGTACAATTAGTTGGCATAAACAATTTTTTTTTTTGAGATGGAGTTTCTCTCTTGTTGCCCAGGCTGGAGTGCAGTGGGGCAGTCTCGGCTCACTGAAACCTCTGCCTCCTGGGTTCAAGTGATTCTCCTGCCTCAGCCTCCCGAGTAGCTGGGATTACAGGTGCCCGCCACCACGGCCAGCTAATTTTTGTATTTTTAACAGATGGGGTTTTGCCATATTGGCCAGGCTGACCTTGAACTCCTGACCTCAAGTGATCCGTCCGCCTCAGCCTCCCAAAGTGCTGGGATTACAGGCGTGAGCCACTATGCCAGCCAAGAATTTTTAAAAAAGGAGTTTCATTCAGCCCACCTCATTCCTCTGCAGGGCACCTGTGTGCAGGGCAAAACTGCTCAACCCTACTCAGAAGCCCTGTGAAAGCTGCTGAAAGGATGAGCAGATTGAGGCCTGAACTGTATCTTGGATTTAGCAGCCTGGAGGTCATAATGGATTTTGCCAAGAGTGATGGGGCAGAAATTGGACCAGTGTGTGTTAAGGAGCTAGAAGAAGTGAAGAAATGGGAGAGGGGAATCTAGACAACTTTAGTTTGGCTGCAGCAAGTAAAGGCAGATTGTTTGATGGAGGGACGTGTGGGATTGATGGAGTTTTTCCTTTTTATATGTTTTTGTATTTTTCAATGGAATACATTAGAAAGTGTTGCATGTTTATGGGGGGGATTTAGTTCAGTGGGAAAAGTATTTGAAAAGTTACAGTAAGGTGGAAGTAGATGGAATCCTCAGTAAGGTCTAGAATCGGGTACAGGTATTTTATGGTATCTTCCTCACCCCACCCCGAGACGGAGTTTCGCTCTTATTATTGCCCAGGCTCTGGAGTGCAGTGGTGCAGTCTTGGCTCACTGCAACCTCCACCTCCTGGGTTCAAGCGATTCTCCTGCCTCAGTCTCCCATGTAGCTGAGATTACAGGTGCGCACCACCACACCCAGCTAATTTTTGTATTTTTAGTAGAGATGAGGTTTCACCATTTTGGCCAGGCTGGTGTCCAACTCCTGACATCAAGTGATCCACCCGCCTTGGCCTCCCAAAGTGCGGGGATTACAGGCGTGAGCCACTGTGCCCAGCTGGTACCTTTTTTCTTGTTGGTGAAGTAGAATGTGTGTATGGGGAGGGGAGGTGATAGGATATTTTGGAATTTGAAGAGAATGGGAATGTCTGGATAGTGCATGTATAGAATGGGAAGTAAACACTGGAGGACCTGGGAGTGTGGTGCTTATTGATGGATCGTTGGGTTTATCCAGGATTGGGGTTTTGCCAGATGGGTGTGATGAGAATCTTAAGAGTTAAGGGTATAGGCAAGAGTGTTGTTGAAATGATACACAATGAAATCTAAGCTGGTTAAAGAAGTGAAGAAGGGGCCGGGCACGTTGGCTCACGCCTGTAATTCCAACACTTTGGGAGGCCGAGGCGGGTGGATCCCTTGAGGTCAGGAGTTCGAGACCAGCCTGGCCAACATGGTGAAACCCCGTCTCTACTAAAAATACAAAAATTAGCCGGGTGTGGTAGCAGGGGCCTGTAATCTCAGCTACTTGGGAGGCTGAGGCAGGAGAATCGCTTGAACCTGGAGGTGGAGGTTGCAGTGAGCCAGTATTGCACCACTATACTCCAGCCTGGGCAACAAAGTCAGAGTCTGTCTCAAAAAAAAAAAAAAAAAATGAAGTGAAGAAGGAGGAGAATACTTGGATTGGGATAAAGTAGAAAGAGTCACTGGATTAAAGTTAACTAAAAAACTCATAAACTTTAGAGTGGTATTGAGAAATTGTAGGGTGAACTGAAAAAGGCTCATGGGATTTTAGAGCCAAGAAGGCCTTGAGTGGCAGTTCCTACCTTAGTAGGAATAGCTTCAGTGGTGTGTTGCAGGTGGAACCCAGATTAAAGTGGGTTAAAAAGTAAATGAAGGCAAGGAAGATAAATTTTTCAACAGGTTTGTCTGTGAAGAGTCCAGGCTATTAGATTGATAGAGGGAGAAAGGCAGTTAAAGGGTTTTTTTGTTTTTTGTTTTTTTTGAGTCAGAGTCTCACACTGTTGCCCGGTCTGGAGTGCAATGGCGTGACCTCGGCTCACTGCAACCTCCGCCTCCGGGGTTCAAGTAGTTCTCCTGCCTCAGCCTCCCAACTAGCTGGGAATACAGGCGCCCACCACCACACCCGGCTAATTTTTTGTATTTTTAGTAGAGACGGGGTTTCACTATGTTGCCCAGGCTGGTCTCAAACTCCTGACCTCATGATCTGCCTGCCTCGCCCTCCCAAAGTGCTGGGATTACAGGCGTGAGCCACCGTGCCCGGCCTTATTTTCTTAATTTTTAAATTTATTTTATTATTATTATGATTATTTTTGAGATGGAGTCTCTCTGCCGCCCAGGCTGAAGCGCAATGGTGCAATCTCGGCTCACTGCAACCTCTGCCTCCCGGATTCGAGCGATTCTCCTGCCTCAGCCTCCTGAGTAGCTGGGATTGCAGGCGCCCGCCACCACGCCTGGCTGATATTTGTATATTTAGTAGAGACGGGGTTTCACTACATTGGGCAGGCTGGTCTTGAACTCCTGACCTCATGATCCACCCACCTTGGCCTCCCAAAGTGCTGGGATTACCAGCGTGAGCCACCGCACCCAGCCTTTAGTTTTTTTTTTTGAGACGGAGTCTCGCTCTGTCACCAGGCTGGAGTGTAGTGGCACGATCTTGGCTCACTGCAAGCTCTGCCTCCCGGGTTCAAATGATTCCCCTGCCTCAGCCTCCCAAGTAGCTGGGACTACAGGTGCGTGCCACCACGCACAGGTAATTTTATTTTTTCTATTTTAGTAGAGACGGGGTTTCACCGTGTTGGCCAGGGTGGTCTCAATCTCCTGACCTTATGATCTGCCTGCCTTCGCCTCCCAAAGTGCTGGGATTACAGGCATGAGCCACCGTGCCCGGCCATTTTTTGTTTTTGTTTTTGTTTTTTTTAAAGTAAGACTTTTGAGAGTGCTCATATGTTGATGATGTGATAAGCAGTAGTAAAATGGGAGATTTTGCAACGTACAAAAGAAACAGGCCGGGTGCAGTGGCTCAAGCCTGTAATCCCAGCACTTTGGGGAGGCCAAGGTGGGCGGATCACGAGGTCAGGAGATCGAGACCATCCTGGCTAACATGGTGAAACCCCGTCTCTACTAAAAATACAAAAAATTAGCCGGGCGTGGTGGTGGGCGCCTGTAGTCCCAGCTACTCGGGAGGCTGAGGCAGGAGAATGGCGTGAATCCGGGAGGCAGCGAGTCGAGATCACGCCACTGCACTTCAGCCTGGGCGACAGAGCGAGACTACATCTCAAAAAAAAAAAGACAAGACATACCTTGGAAAATGGGGGGAATAGACAGATGATTTCTATGGATAGGAGGTTTATTTGTTCCATTATGCGAAGATGATGGGAAGAAAAGCTGTATGTGCAGATGCAGGTGAATTTGTGGATATATTAGAAGGAAGATGACAGGCAGTGATGGAGTGTTGAAGAGCTCAAACATTAGACAGTACTGGGTCTGAGTTCTGACTCTGCCTTTTGCAAGCTGTGCAACCATAGGCCAGTTATGAAACCTTAGTTATCAAGTTATAACTAATAGGATTGTGTTGAACACGAAATGACATGATAAACATATGTAAACTGCTTGGATCAGTTGCCCACTAGCTCTTGTTAGGAGCTAAAATGTTAGCTCTTGCTGAGGGTGCTGTCAAATGGCTTCTGTTTCTCATGGAGCAGAAATCTATAAGGTCATCCACTGGTAGTGGTGGGAGAAGGAAGAAGGTGCAGAAAGTTTTACAGATGTCTTGGAAAGGAAAGAAACCTGGTGAGGGAAATGTGGGCAGCATCAGAGGCCCACTTGAAGTCAGAGAAAAGGAGCATTGGGGCATGGAGGTGAGGGGGTACTTTCTTCAGCTTTTCTCTGAAGACAATTGTGCATGTGAAACAAGGGTTAAAATCAGATCTATTGCCCTCCTGGATTTATTGGCTTCGTTTGCTCTTTCTGGCTAATTTGATTGGAGTTCTGAAAGTAGAGAATATTAGAGGTTCCTTGGAAGGAAAATAAGCAACACTGAAGTCAAATCTTTATCATGTTTGCTGGAAATGTTATTAAAAAACAAAATTTATGGCCGGGTGCAGTGGCTTATGCCTGTAATCCCAACCCTTTGGGAGGCTGAGGTGAGTGGATCACTTGAGCTCAGGAGTGCGAGACCAGCTTGGGCAACATTTTGGGAATGTTGTAGAGAATGGGACAAAAAAATACAAAAGTTGCTGGGCGTGGTGGAGTAAGCCTGTGGTCTCAACTACTTGGGAGGCTGATGTGGGAGGTTTGCTTGAGCTCGGATTGCACCACTGCACTCTAGCCTGGGCGACAGTGTGAGACCCTTTTTCAAAACAAACAAGCAACTTTTTTTGAGCTACAGTATATTTAATGGTTTTAAATATGAGTGCAGAGTAAGAGGGAGTCCAGTCCATAAGATGACCCTTGCTTCTAATACTAGTTGCAAGTTTGGGGGTTCCCAAGACCACTCTTTTTTTTTTTTGAGACAGGGCCTCTCTCTGTCACCCAGGTGAGAGTGCAGTGGCATGATCACGGCTCACTGCACCCTGAACTCCTCCCTCCCAGGTTCAGGCAGTCCTCCTACCTCAGCCACCTGAGTTGCTGGATCTGTGGGCACACACCACCTCGCCTGGCTAGTTTTTCTATATTTTTTAGAGACAGTTTCACCATATTGCCAGGCTGGTCTCAAACTCCTGAGCTGAAGTGATCCGCCTGCCTGGGCCTCCCGAAGTGCTGGGATTACAGGCTTGAGTCACTGTGCCTGGCCAAGACCACTCTTAGGTTGGATGATTTGCCAGGAGGACTCACTAGAACTCATTGAAAGCTCTCATACCCATGGTTAGAGTTTATTGCAGTTTAGGGATTCAGATTAGAACGAGCCAAGGGTAGAGGTGCATAGGGCAGAGTTCAGGGAAGTTCCAAATGTTGGAGTTTCTAATTGTCCTGTCCCTGTAGAGTTGTGAAAAATGACACCTTCCTGGTGGCACTGGTGTGCGACCATACTCATGGATTATTGCCAACCAGGGAAGCTCACTCTATTTTTTATGTCCAGCGTTTTTACTGGGGTTCCATGGTTGCATGCCCATGTGGCTAACCTTAGTCTCCAGCCCCACTGGAGGCCAAGCTGATCCATGTGACTCAAAGCCCCCACCATAAGCCACATTATTAGACTGTGCTGTGGCCTAAAGCCCCCAGATGAACAAGGACACTTTCCCCCACCGCCGCCCCCCCCCCCTTTTTTTTTGGAGATAGTCTTGCTCTGTTGCCCAGGCTGGAGTGCAGTGGCATGATCTCAGCTCACTGAAACCTCAGCCTCCTGAGTAGCTGGGATTATTACAGGTGCCCGTCACCATGCCTGGCTAATTTTTGTATTTTTAGTAGAGACAGTTTTCACCATGCTGGCCAGGCTGGTCTCAGAATCCTGACCTCAAGCGATCTGCCCGCCTTGGCCTCCCAAAGTGCTGGGATTACAGGTGTGAGCCACTGCTCCTGGCCAGGACCCTCTTATTAGGTATGACATTTCAAGAGTTTAGAGATTACCTTCCAGAATTCACAGGTAGAAGCCAGACCTCTCCTTGGTGAAGATACAATTCTTTACAATTTTACAATAGTTAAATATATTTTATCAGTCTATATTGGCTGTTTAGTTGACAGACAGTTAAAAATTGGTGACAGTCCAGATGTGGTCACTCATGCTTCTAATCCTAGCATTTTGGGAGGCTGAGGTGGGAGGATTGCTTGAGTCCAGGAATTTGAGAGCAGCCTGAGCAACATAATCAGACACCTGTCTCCAAAAAACATAAAAATAAAAAATTAGCTAAATGGAGTGGCATGCACCTGTGGTCCCAGCTGTTTGAGAGGCTGAACCCATGAGGTCGAGGCTGCACCCATGAGGTCGAGGCTGCAGTGAGCTATGGTCATGCCAGTGCACTCCAGCCTGGGTGACAGAGTGAGACCCTGTCTCAAAAAAGGAAACAAATCACCCATAAATGGATAATTAAGATTTGGTTATTATAGACACTTAATACTTAGGTAGCTAAGGTAGTTTTACCAATAAATTATATTAATTTAATATTTCAGTATTGCAAAACTGATGCATACTCATTTACAATTTTGACATGGAATGGTTCTGTTTTGTTTTATTAAATTTGAACTTAAAAGTTCTCTGCAAGAAGAGATTTGTATAATAAATTCCCTGAGCCTCTCAAATTAATATTTTAGCCATAGACTCATATTTAGAGCAGTGTTTCTAATGTAATGATACAAGGCCCAGGGTTATTCATAGTTTCACCGTTTCTCTTATTCCTCATTAAAGCATGTTTGAATCCAGGTAAGAGGCATTACAGGGGAAAACCTTGAATTTATTTTTGAAGGGTAAATCATTTCCAAGTGGTATTAACCATTAGTATGGAAAGCAACATATCCTATAACTGCTCTGTGACAGTGAGACTATCTTTGCTGCTTTAGAGAATAAGTACATTCCTACTTCATTGGCTTTAGTGCAAATCTCATTTCCTGGTTTATATCCATTACAAATTAGATCTCACCATGAGAGCAAAATCCCTTAATAAACCTAGGTAAAAGCAATTTGAAGTAATATGATGCTTACTCCAGTGACACCACTAGGTGTGGTGTTTGCATCAAGTCATTTTGGGGTGCTTTATGGAAATGCTTCCTAGTAGGGAATTCCCTGACTTCACACTTTCCAGAGATGACGCTCTCTCTCTTTTTCTCTCTAATACTTACAAGAATGGACTGCAAGGCTACATTTAGTCAGGCGATACCATCCCCAGCACATGGTGGCTTGTTGGTGT
This sequence comes from Homo sapiens, assembly GCF_000001405.40. NCBI lineage: Eukaryota > Metazoa > Chordata > Mammalia > Primates > Hominidae > Homo > Homo sapiens. The sequence goes on along the minus strand of NW_017852933.1, from coordinate 310,425 downwards.
GAGGTCTAAGGATTCCGGTCATTTGAAACGAATGGCCTCCTAGATTTGTGGCATTTTTCTGTATATGGAGAATAGGTAACTAAAATAAGTGGTAACTGTATTTGCATGTGATTTGTATGTGATAGTTAACATTTAAATTCTCTTATGTACTAAAATTTTTTTGGTTGCCACATTAAGCCTCTTTATCCTGTAAGGCACAGAGTGTCTTTCCACCTCAATTTTTGCTTTAATGTATGAACCCTAATGGGACCATAGTTCAACTAAAGGCACCTAACTCATGAATGATATTTGCTCCATGTTTGAACAACAAATGTTTTAACCCACTGTCTTCACTAATATTGTAACTACTGTCTTACAGATTGACTTGATGCACAACATCACAAAGGCGATTTTTGAGGTATGAGCTTTAGAAACTTACCTCTCATGTGGCATGTACATCAGGCTTTAACTTCAGTTTGATCGTTTTGGGGAAATTTATGCATTTCTTTTTTTTTCTCTCCATGATATTTTTAGAATATTAAAGGGGCTGTAGAGGTATTTTTGGTTCCTTGCTAGGATTCTTAGACTTAACAGATAGATTTTCTTTTTTCACTAAATTGAGACACTAATTCTGGCAGATGATATCCCTTTCAGCTCTTCTAACTAACTAGCCTAACATTCATGCCTGCTTCTTGGAGTTCAAATCTGCAGTTTCTATTTTGTGGCTTTGATTGCCTCATTTTAAGTGCTCATTTCCGTTCTTCAACAGTTCTCTATTTATTGGACTGGGATGATCTTGTTGGTGCTAACAGCCTGACATTGACATTTTTTGAAACCTAAGCAGTCAAGATTGTATAAAAATAGAAATTTCTTATAAATGCTAAACCATTTTGTGCTTTTAGGTTCAGAATGCTTACAGCCTGAGTTCTGGTTGGGGATGCTTTGATCAATTTGTATTAAAATAATTTGGCAACTAGGGAGTTTTGAGGTATTTCTGAGACGGTGGCTCTATTCCAGTTTTTTTTGTTATATTTCTGAAAACACAGATTTTTTTTGGGAAAAAAATCTCAGTGTTCATAACTTAGGGGATTTAGAAACCTTATTTCTAACCAACGGGCAAGCTGCTCCTGGTTTTACAGTTTAGTTTGAAATCAGATGCTTCCTAGTTGGAAACACATTGTTGGTAGCAACAGATTACCTGCTTTCTTCAGTGAAGTATTTAAGTTGCTCTATATTGACTGTAAAAACTTGTTTTGATTATATTCATATACTCATGAACTGTTTGTACATTGTCTTTTAGACTGGAAGCTTTGAGTTTATTTTGTATTATGGTCATAACAACTTTTAACATACCCTGCAAACTAAGTGTTTCTTTATAATTCATTATCTTATTTTAGCCTCACAACAACCTTACATGTTAGATAGGTATCATCCTCATTTTATGCAAGAGACAACCAAGGCTTGGAGATCAAGTAATTTGTGCAAAGGCACACATACTTTTCAGTGCTGGAGCTGGGATTTGAGCCCAGATCTTTTTTTAACTTGTATTCTCTGCTGCCTTATGGTACTACTGTGTCACCAGAAAATGATAGAAACATTTAACTCTTAATAGTAAAGGTAGTGTAGGAGATAAGTAAACATGATGAAAACAGGAAGTGAAGATACGTTTAAATATTGGCAGACTTCAGTTATCTTTGTGTTTCTGAATTAGTCAAGTGCTTATTTTATTCGCTCATCTAATAAGAGCTTACTGTGGCATACATATAAAGTTCAAACCCTGTCAGAAAAGATTATAAGCTCTCTTAACGTTTCAGTCTCCTTTCAGAAAGTAATGGTATGCTATGATTTATATAGACGCATGTTAAGTGTGCTATTTTTAGGTACATAAGGAATGTCTTTTCATTAGTTTAAAAAAGTTATGGTCCATTGAGTTAATATTTTAATGCTTATAGACTTAGTATACTCAGAAAATATTCTCATACATTTTTCTTGAAATTCCATAGATTTTATTTTCCCTTATGTTCGAAGTACTTAGCTTTATGAATAAGTGAACTCTGAATATTAGAAGATACTCCTTATGGAGCCTTAGTCATTTTAGTATGCTAGGTTTTGAATTTCATGAAGTTTCAGATTGAGATCCTTTATAAGTAATGACTTGTACCAGTTAGATATCCAAGTTTAATTGGACCTATTGTCTGCATTCTGTATTAACAGTGATTGCAGTAAGTGCAGATCAAGGTGTCCAACTGATTGAGCTCATGCAAAGTTTTATGTTTAGTATTTTTGGGAGCAAGGAAAGACTAATAAACTCTAAACGAAATATATACAGTATACAAACACTGCTGTCACTTTTACACCATAGAGGGAGGGGCAAAGCGTAGAGGAATAGGTTAGTTTCTGGCCTTGCCAGTGTCCTAAACTTTTCTAAAAGATTCAGGTTCTAAAAGGTTGAGAAAGCATTTTTAGTAAATATCATAGAAGTGATTTTCTTTTTCTTTTTCTTTTTTTTTTTCCTCAAAATTGTTCCTCTCAGGAGAAAATCAGTAGGGGAAGAACTTACTTGGATTTTTCATATGCTATAACAGATTATTTTGTTGTCTTCTTTCTTGATAGTTTATGATTGATGGCTGAAAGATTAACACTCATGAGAAGTCTTGTAACTCAGCTCTGTTTTACTTATGAGGCAGTTGAAGCATAGAGCAGATACTTAGATGAGGACACACTTTTACCCTTGGCTGTACCCTACTTGTTTACTAATAAGCATCAGGTATTATTCTAAACAGTACCTGAATTTTAAATAGATTACGAACTACAACTTTCTGATATAACTTTATTGCATTTCTGATACCTTTTATTTTCTTAAAATGTCTTCTTTTTTACTTTTTAAAATTTTGATTGCTACTCTTTACAATTAAGGCATCTTCAATGGGGTCTTCAATACTACAGTACCTAATCAGTACTTAGAAAATAACTTGGTAAGACATTGCCCGTCCCTGACATGCTGCCAGTGTTTTTTATTTTTATGACAGGAAAGGCTGAAATGTTTTGACTGATTAACCGTCTCCATGGGGGAGAATTTAGAAAGAATTATTCTTATTATCAAGTCATGTGAGGAGAACACTGGACCAGAGTAACCAATTGTCCTGTTTTGCCTGGGACAGGAGACTTTCAATGCTAAAACCAGCAAAGTCACCCTAATCCCAGTAGTTATTCATATTTCTGAATGGGTCTTTAGAACAGTAGAAGAGAGTGAAAAGTTGGCATTTCATCCATTGAGACTCTCTTCCCAGTGAAAGACTTCTTATTAGACGGCTGAGTGCTTACATATAATATATAGTGCATATTACACTAAATACAATAGTAATGGTTAAATGTAAAATTTGGGAGAAGAGAGGCTTGTTTAAAGAAAGATTTATTTATGTTATTTAAAGTTCTAATCTTAAACTTTTCTCTTTTTATAGAACTGATAGTGCATCAGCCGACCCAGGTAATTTAAAATATTCTTCATCCAGAGATAGAGGTGGTTCTTCCTCTTACGGACTGCAACCTTCAAATTCAGCTGTGGTGTCTCGGCAAAGGCACGATGATACCAGAGTCCACGCTGACATACAGAATGACGAAAAGGGTATATATATTTTCTTATTGCTACAAGCATGTTTTTTGAACCTACCTATCCCACCTTCCTGCCTTCTTACACCCCCAACTTTCTCACTTTCTTCTAATATATTTAAAATATGAATAACAAATGCAGTGTTATTTCTGAAAACTTCATAGGACGTTTATCCACTTTATTATTTTTAAAATTTAAAATTTTTCCATACATAATTCATCAATGCAGTTTTCTTACAAAAAAGATACAATACTATTTTTGTTTTTATTTTCAAAAATATTTAGCTAAGGTTGAAGTTCCTCTTGGCTACTGTCTCTAAACTTCAAGAAAGTTTTAAAACAAGGTGCAAAATTTGATTTAATTTAGTTTTCATTTCTTTGCTTATTTTCCAATGAAGGGATCAAAATAAAATTAATTTAACTTCAAAGGTGTATTAAAAGAAATGAAAATGATTTTCAAGGCAGACAGTACAGGAAAAAGGTAGGAGAAGCAAAGGCTGGTTGAGCTGCAGATTGAGTCATAAGATCCTGAGCTATCAGGAAATTGACTGAATGAAACGAACAATCATATTTAAATGACGTACACATGGCTGTTTGTAGGTGGCTACGGTGTCAATGGGGGATCTGGGGAAAATACTTATGGTCGGAAGTCATTGGGGCAAGAGCTGAGGGTTAACAATGTGACCAGCCCTGAGTTCACCAGTGTTCAGCATGGCAGTTGTGCTTTAGCCACCAAAGACATGAGGAAATCACAGGGTAAGGCTGGGAAAACGGGGACCAATCACATACACCTTCCAAAGACTTGTATCTCCTCTTATTCTGGATGCCTCTTACTAATGCCTTGCAAAGGCATAAGTTGATTAGTCTACTGTGCAGGTAAAAATTGTTTACATTCTTTTCCTGTGAATTGTTAATTTCCCACTAGAAAGGCTATAGTACATTTTAAAAGAGAATTCTCTTAAAACAAGATTAGAAGACTGGATAAGATCTTACAGAAAAGGTTTACCCAATTATCGTGGATATTGAATGTATAGTGCATAGTAGGCTCCTACTACAGCAAGTCCTTGAACTCTTGGGCCTGTGGAGGATATAGATATATGTAGAGAGGGGGTACTTTTCTGTCTTTTTTTTTTTTTTTTCTCTCTTTTAAGTTCAGGGTACATGTGCAGGATGTACAGGTTTGTTATGTAGGTAAACGTGTGCCATGGTAGTTTGCTGCACAGATCATCTCATCATCTAGGTATTAAACCCAGCATCCATTAAGCTATTCTTGCTGATGCTCTCCTTCCCCCCGCCCCCTAGAGTGGGTACTTTTCTGGTTTTTTTGTTGTTGTTGTTTTCAATATATTTTTTTGAGACAGAGTCTTGCTCTGTCACCCAGGCTGGAGCGCAGTGCTGCAATCTCTGCTCACTGCAACCTCCGCCTCCCAGGTTCAAGTGATTCTCATGCCTCAGCCTCCCAAGTAGCTGGGATTACAGGTGCATACCACCATACCCAGCTGATTTTTGCATTTTTAGTGGAGACAGGGTTTCACCATGTTGGCCAGGCTGGTCTCGAACTCCTGACCTCAAGTGATCACACGTGCTCATTACAGGCGTGAGCCACCGGGCCCTGCCTTGAGTGGGCACTTTTCTAAAGTTAAATACACTGATAGCATTTCTGCCTTATGACATAGCCTCACTGTATAGGTGAGTGCCTTGGAAGTTCAGAGGATTGGCCGGGTGCAGCGGCTCACGCCTGTAATCCCAGCACTTTGGGAGGCCGAGACGGGCAGATCACGAGGTCAGGAGATCGAGACCATCCTGGCTAACACGGTGAAACCCTGTCTCTACTGAAAATACAAAAAATTAGCTGGGCGCGGTGGCGGGCGCCTGTAGTCCCAGCTACTCGGGAGGCTGAGGCAGGAGAATGGTGTGAACCTGGGAGGCAGAGCTTGCAGTGAGCTGAGTGCGCCACTGCACTCCAGCCTGGGCGACAGAGCGAGACTCCGTCTCAAAAAAACAACAACAAAAAAGAAAGTTCAGAGGATTAGAGGTAATGATAATTTTTTTCCTTAAAGAGAAACTTATCGGTAAAGCTGAGTTATGGGCTTTGTCAGATGTAATTACTTTTTGGACGTTTAGTTTTTGACTTTTTTTTTTTATTTTTTATACTGTGTGTGTGCTTCGTGTATCTTGGTGAAAATCTTTGTGCCTGTAGCTTTTATTGTTGGTATATAACTTTTAAAAAACTGATTTCTTTTTATGTTTTCACAAGTGGAATGAATTCAAAGGCTATGTATGCTGTTTGTTAAAATAGAGTGTTTGAAGCCTTAGACTTATGATATTATAGAAGCTAAACAGCGACTCTAAAGTAGTTCAGTAGAGAATTCCTCTTCTTCAAAGGCTCAGGGTCATGTAGTTTGCTAGTGACAGAATTGTAAGTAGAGCCTAATTTCCCAGCTGGTAACTTGATGACATATTTGGTATCTGTCCTTATTGAAATACTCTATGGGCTACGGATTTGTAAAAATCCTATTCTTCTCTCAGTCATTGTAGTTTCTTTTTTTTTTTTTTTTTTTTTTTAACTTAAATTCAGGATACAAGTGCAGATTTGTTACAGTGGTAAACTTGTGTCATGAGGGTTTGTAGTATAGATTATTTTATCACCCAGGTATTAAGCCTGGTACCCATTGGTTGTTTCTCTTGATCCTCTCCTTCCTCCCACCCCCCACCCTCCAAAAGGATCCAGTGTGTGTTGTTCCCCCTTGTAGTTATTTATTTATTTATGAGATGGAGTATCTCCCTGTCACCCAGGCTGGAGTGCAATGGCGCGATCTCAGGTCACTGCAGCCTCCACCTCCCAGATTAAAGTGATTCTCCTGCCTCAGCCTCCCGAGTAGCTGGGATTACAGGAGCGTGCCACCACGCCCGGCTAATTTTTTGTATCTTTAGTAGAGACGAGGTTCCACCATGTTGGCCAGGCAGGTCTCCAACTCCTGACCCCGTGATCTGCCCTCCTCGGCCTCCCAAAGTGCTGGGATTACAGGTGTGAGCCACCATGCCCAGCCTTCTGGTTTCTTTTATTATCAATTTTTTCTCATACCTTAGAAATGAAACTGTCAGACCCTTTGTGATTTGTTGTTTACGTATGTATTGGCTAATTATGGTAAATAGCACAGTTGAAAATGTTTTGCAAAAATTGAGTTTTTTGTTTTGTTTTGTTTTTTGAGACAGTCTCGCTCTGTCACCCAGGCTGGAATGCGCTAGTGTGATTTCACTGCAACCTTTGCTTCCCAGGCTAAAGCGATCCTCCCACCTCAGCCTCCTGAGTAGCTGGGATTACAGGCATGTGCCACTGTGCCCAGCTAATTTTTGTATTTTTCGTAGAGATGGGGTTGTACCATGTTGCCAAGCCTGGTCTCGAACTCCTGTGCTCAAGTGATCTGCCTGCCTTGGCCTTCCAAAGTGCTGGGTAATTACAGGCAAGAGCCACCTCGCCCAGCAAAAATCTAGTTTTTAAAGGCATCGTTAATATACTAATAGTATTCACTATTGTTTGCTTGTTCTTGTGATTAAAAAATAAAGGGAGAAAAGTTGTGGTTTGCTACCTTTCTAGTGGAGGCATGCCTTGCATGTGGTAGATGATAATTAGACATTTGTTGAACTAAATGTGTGATTATGGCTCCCCAAAACTTCATCCCAGGGAAATGATGATAATGTGAATAAGAGGCTTTCCTCCAGTGGGATACCTAGATGATAAGTAGAAGCCTATATCCTGTTTTTACTCGATTGAGACTTTATCCATACCCCTTGGAAGTTGTTTAATTTACCTACACCCGGGCTCTTTACCTGCATGTTGAAAACAGTTTGGAATGGACCCAAAGAAAGTTGTTACTAAGGCCTTTCTTTTTTCTCTCCCAGCCAGTCCTCTGGAATGAGGTGTTCAGTTGGCCTAGGGTTATTCATTTCTTGTTTCCTTCAGCAAATATTTTTTTGAGGGTCTGTTATGTGCCAGGCACTCTGCTGGGATTTGGAATACAGAGTTGAACAAAAGAGCGATAGGACCTATATTCCCTGAGCTTTTATTGACCAGTGGACTGTGACTTTTGATGTAATTTTATTTTTGAGAGAGGGTCTTGCTCTGTCACCCAGGCTGGAGTGCAATGGGGTGATCTTGGCTCACTGCAACCTCCGCCTCACGGGCTCCAGTGATTCTCCTGCCTCAGCCTCCCGAGTAGCTGGGACTACAGGTGCACCCCACCTTGGCTGGCTAGTTTATGTAATTTTTTGTGTGTCTGTGGAGACAGGGTTTCACCATGTTGCCCAGGCTGGTCTCAAACTCCTGAACTCATGTGATCTACCCGCCTTCCAAAGTACTGGGATTACAGGCATGAGCCCCCATAATAATTTAATTATTATTTAAATAATTTTTAATTTTAAAAATTTTAAAATTATTTTAAAATTTAAAATTTCCTTTGCTTATTTATACTCAGTGGACAACAAAATGTTTATATATTCACAGAGAGATCGATGTCTTATTGTGATGAGTCTCGACTGTCATATCTTCTTCGGAGGATCACCCGGGAAAACGACCGAGACCGAAGATTGGCTACTGTAAAGCAGTTGAAAGAATTTATTCAGCAACCAGAAAATAAGCTGGTAAGTATAGTATGTTTGGAAATATGAGGATTTTTGTGTTTCCATAATAAACTAGGTAATGCTACCTTGAGTAGTTTAAGAATGGGGAAAGTCTGTATTATGATGATCAAGAACTTAATGCTCTCTAATATGTAATTTCTTTTTCTTCTTAAAGACAAGATCTTGCTCTGTCGCCCAGGCTGGAGTGCAGTGGCACAGTCATAGCTCACTGCAGTCTCAAACTCCTGGATTCAAGCTATCCTCCCGCTGTGGCCTCCTGAGTAGCTGGGACTTCAGGCATGTGCCACTACACCTGGCTGAGGTGGAAGAATCACTTGAGCCCAGGAATTCAGGGTTGCAGTGAGATATGATCACACCTCTGCATGTCAACCTGGGCGACAGAGGGAGTCCTTGTCTCTTAAAACAACAACAGAAATGTAACAAAGTATAGGAAGGGTTAAATTTTTTTCTTCACTTTCTTTACACCAATTAAGAACTTGATATGGGCCAGGTGTGGTGGCTCATGCATGTAATCCCAGCATTTTGGGAGGCCAAGGTGGGTGGATCACCTGAGTTCAGGAGTTCGATACCAGCCTGCCCAACATAGTGAAGCCCCCATCTCTACTAAAAATACAAAATTAGCTGGGTGTGGTGGCACATGACCGTAATTCCAGCTACATGGGAGGCTGTGGCAGGAGAATCGCTTGAACCCAGGAGACGGAGGTTGCAGTGAGCTGAGATCACGCCATTGCACTCCAGCCTGGGCGAAAAGAGTGAAACTCCATCTTAAAAAAAAAAAAAGAACTTGACAATGAGCAGGAGAAAATTAATGAAAATGGTCTAGTGAGGCAGATGACACTTGGATCAAAGCAAGTTTCTCCTCCTTCCAAATTTTATTATGAGTAGTTTCAAATATATAGCAAGTTGAAAGAATTTGACATTGAATCTGTTAAACCCATCATCTAATTTTTGTCGTTAACATTTTACCCTAAATACTGCCTTGTCACATATCTCTCCATCTATCCCTCCATCCGTCAGTCAATTTTTCAAATGGATTTCAAAGTAAATGAAACAAGCTTTTTGAGTTTATTTTTTTGTTGATGATCACAGCTCTATGTTTCCAGTGGGTGAATTTCTTTCATAGGCTGAAAGGAAACATGACATTCCTGATACATGCTCATTGGGGAGTGGGAATAATAAAGAAAGTAAAGTACTGTTGAATTAGAATTTGGAGGGAAGACAAGTAAAAAAGTACACAATGCTATTCTTAAAAGTATAGGAATTTGAAGTTTTTATAAATGTGTTTTCTTTTAAAGGTACTAGTTAAACAATTGGATATCTTGGCTGCTGTACATGATGTGCTTAATGAAAGGTAAGTAACTAATAATGGTTCGGTTTAAATGACTTTAAAATATATTTTTAGAAATTACTTAACAATACACAAGAAGACAAACCCACTGGCTTTGTTTATGAACATTTATTGACATTTCAGTGGGTCTTGTCATTTTTATCTGCATTAATTATGTGTTAATTACGGTTGAATACAAATGGAATCCACTTGAAAAGAATATTTATTTTTTGAGCCGGAGTCTCACCCTGTCGCCCAGGCTGGAGTGCAGTGGTGCGATCTCAGCTCACTGCAACCTCCACCTCCCGGGTTCAAGTGATTCTCCTGCCTCAGCCTCCCGAGTAGCTGGGACTACAGGCGTGCACCACAACTGCCAGCTAATTTTTGTATTTTTAGTAGAGACAGGGTTTCACCATGTTGGCCAGGCTGGTCTGGAACTCCTGACCTCAGGTGATCCACCCACCTTAGCCTTCCAAAGTGTTGGGATTACAGGCATGAGCCACCGTGCCTGGCTGGAATATTTTATTTTTTTAATTTGCTAGTCTCACTGGATAACTGAGTCTTGACTTATGGAATGGCATAAACTCTTGATGCAGGCATGAAGAATAAAATTAGTTTTTGTAAACAAGAGAATTTGAAACTGCTTAGAGAATAGAGGTAAAAAGGAATTTCCTTCTTTGGGTAAGAGTGGATCCAAACCATATATTCTCTGGCTATTAGAGTCTCCAGAGGTGTGTGGTCATTTTTTGTTATGGTGATTCCCAAAGATTTGCAGTGTTGGCAAGTACCCAAAATTTATCTCAGCTGGTCATAAACCTTAGTGCCTTTTGATGGTTTTGTTTTATAGAGTTACTTATTAAAGTTCTATGTAAATCATTACTGTTATCCTTTTAAGTTTCTGTATTTAACTATTACCATTTTTTATTTTATAGTCATTACATATTGGATATTATGTAGAATGTAGTTATGTATAGAGTGTTTTATCTACTTATTTGTTGCTGCCCTTTTCTGAGAGTTATTTAATACAGTTTGAGATGGAATTTAGCATTTTTGGGCCTTCCCTCACTGTTTGTAAATAATTGATTTTGTAAAAAGAAAGTGATGTCAGACAGATACTTGAGGGCAATGCAGGCTAGACAGAATGTAGTATTTAGAGTGGAGAAAATTTCAACCTTTTATGTAGTTTGAATAGAAATTTAAAAAACCACTTAAGACATTCTTTTGTAAGATGTATTACTCGTGTCATCATAGAAAACTTAAGCCTTTTGTGTGTGTTTTTTGTTTGCATTAAAATAAACACAGTAGCAAATTGCTTCAGGAGTTGAGACAGGAGGGAGCTTGCTGTCTCGGCCTTCTTTGTGCTTCTCTGAGCTATGAGGCTGAGAAGATCTTCAAGTGGATTTTTAGCAAATTTAGCTCATCTGCAAAAGATGAAGTTAAACTCCTCTACTTATGTGCCACCTACAAAGCACTAGAGACTGTAGGAGAAAAGAAAGCCTTTTCATCTGTAATGCAGGTAAGAATGAAGGGGGAAAAAATGCATGATATACTTGGGAAGAAAATTGTCCCTTTAACACATGTCCTTGGAGGGGAGCTTGAAGAAGGGAATCATAGAATAGGGGTTATCTACTGATAGGAAATATGTTTTAAAAATTCCTCTTTCTCAGTTTGAGTAAAGGATACACTGTTCAAGGATCAGTGCTACATACATATATGCATATATGTGGAGAGAGAGGGAGAGATTTCTTCTAAAAAATTGGCTTACACGCCAGGCGTGGTGGCTCACGCCTGTAATCCCAGCACTTTGGGAGGCTGAGGCAGGCGGATCATGAGGTCAAGAGATCGAAACCATCCTGGCCAACATGGTGAAACCCCGTCTCTACTAACAATACAAAAATTAGCCGGGCGTGGTGGCACGCGCCTGTAGTCCCAGCTACTCAGGAGGCTGAGGCAGGAGAATGGCTTGAACCCGGGAGGCCGAGGTTGCAGTGAGCCGAGATCGCACCATTGCCTGGGAGACAGAGCCAGACTCTGTCTCAAAAAAAAAAAAAAAAAAAAAAAGATTTTTTTCCCCTTTGGTTTTTAGAAATGTTTTTTTTGAGATTGCTTAGGACCAGAATTTGCAAAGTTGAAAATAGGAACTCCACTAGTAATGCCGGATAGAAGAGTGCTTCACATTTGTAGAGGGAGACAAGAACTAAATATCACAACTTCTTTCTGAGCCTTTTGGTTTGCTAACGTGCCCCAAATTCTTATTCCAAATGGTATAAGATAATTATGTGTAAATGAATACCGGCTCTACTTAGTTGTATTTCATATTTGTGTATCTGAATATATTAAAATATCATTCGTTTTTTTTTTTTTTTATGCAGAGTCTTGCTCTGTTGTCCAGCCTGGAGTGCAGTGGCATAATCTCGGCTCACTGCAACCTCTGCCTCCCAGGTTCAAGTGATTCTCCTGCCTCAGCCTCCCGAGTAGCTGGTATTGCAGGAGTGTGCCATTAGCCTGGCTAATTTTTGTATTTTTAGTAGAGATGGGGTTTCATTGTGTTGGCCATGCTGGTCTTCAACTCCTGACCTCAAGTGATCCTCCTGCCTCGGCCTCCCAAAGTACTGTGATTAGTGTCATGAGTCACCACACCTGGCCTAAAAGATCATTGATTTAGTTTTGAGTAAGATTTTAAGTGATTAAATTATGGTATTGTTGTGTTTGGAATATCTGATATTAGGGTTTTTTTTTTTTTTTTTTTTTTTTTTACAGTTTTTGATATGCTTTATTTTGGGTATGTAGTTTAAAAAATATAAAGGAAATATAAGGAATATTCTTTTTTTTTTTTTTTAATAAAAAATGTATTTTTAACTGGGCATGGTGGCTCACTCCTGTAACCCCAGCACTGTGGGAGGCTGAGGCTGGTGAATTGCCTGAGTCCAGGAGTTTGAGACCAGCCTGAGCAACATGGTGAAACCCTGTTTCTATCAAACAAAAAAAAAAAAAAAAAAAAAAAAAGGAAAAAAATAAGTTGGGCATGGTGGCATGCACCTGTAATCGCAGCTACTTGGAGGCTGAGGCCGGAGGATCGCTTGTGCCTGGGAGGTTGAAGCTACAGTGAGCTATGGTCAAGCTACTGCACTCCATTATAGGCAACCCTGTCTCAAAAAAGCAAAACAAAATGAAACATTTTCCCCTTGATTATAGAGGTTTGAGAAAAATTTGAGGGAAGATTCAGAAAATTACCTGTAACTGAACAGAATGCCACCAGCTTGGGCTTATTCTGCATGCATAATTATGAACATTTTCCCAGCTCTTGTGAAAATTCTCACATTCATAGAAAGATAGATGCACCAGTAAAATAAATACCTGTAAATACGATAATAATTTCACAATATATGCTTCACCTAGATTTACCAGTTACTAATATTTTGCCACAGTTTTATTTTCTCACACACTTTTGTTGAGCATCTGAAAACCATACACATGATGACAGTTCACCCCATAATGTTTTAGTATGCATCTCCCAAGAATAAGGTTTTTCTTCTGTATAACAAGAATATTGTAATCATACCTAAGAAAATGAATTTTATTACATATGTGTTCTATATTCAAATTTCTGTAATTACCCCAAGATGTCTTTTAAATGATTTTTAGCATTGATAGTCTGTGCCTGTGTAGATTATAACATTGGCTATTGCAAAATAATGGTTTTCTTTTTCTCTTTTTTTTTTTTTGAGACGTAATCTTGCTCTGTTGTCCAAGCTGGAGGGCAGTGGCACGATCTCGGCTCACTGCAACCTCCGCCTCCCAGGTTCAAGCAGTTCTCTTGCTTCAGCCTCCTGAGTAGCTGGGATTACAGGCATGTGCCACTGTGCTCTGCTAATTTTTATATTTTTAGTAGAGACGGAGTTTCATCATGCTGGCCAGGCTGGTCTTGAACTCCTGACCTCAGGTGATCCACCTGCCTCGTCCTCCCAAAGTGCTGGGGTTACAGGTGTGAGCCACTGCACCCAGCCTAAAATGATGGTTTTCTGATTCTAGCATTTCTTTGATAAGATTGCTATGTAAAGCACAGCTTTTCCTTTTTTAGGGAAAAATGTTTTTTAACAGCTGCAAAATAAATATTCTTTCAATGGAATGACAAATAGTTATTTATTATTTTATTTTTGCCATATATTTATTTTAAAAATTTATGTATAATGGTAACCTGAGCCTGCATGTTATTCATGTGTGGTGCCATACTGATCTTCCTTAATTTTAATATGAAGCAAGTACTAATATACTAAAGCATAAATTATATAAAATTTGCTTTATATTTTGGATTGCAAAGTAATTGTTGTACTTTATAGAAAAGTTTCCCAAATCCATTTTACTTTTTTGTATTTGAAATTTAATCACAGGTAGAATCTTAAAGAGAGCATTTAGGGATATTGTAAACAGATGTTATTAAGGACTAATGTTAACTGATGTCAAAGGACTAATATTAACAAACATTGAAGAAGAGAAAACAGTATCTGTTTTTAGCTTAACAGCTTAGTGGAGCGAAATATTTTCAGTTTATTTATTTTATTTATTTATTAATTTTTTTTTTTTTTTTTTTTGAGATGGAGTCTGGCTGTATTTCCCAGGCTGGAGTGCAGCGGTGCAATCTCAGCTCACTGCAACCTCTGCCTCCTGGGTTCAAGCAATTCTTGTGTCTCAGCCTCCCAAGCAGTTGGGATTTACAAGTCAATTCTTTTTTTTTTTTAACTAAAACTACAGAATCTATTTTTCTTGGTCTCATACTCAGGTTTTTATGTAGGCACTTCGTAAATAATGAACCTAATTTGCTTGTTTTCTCCCTATTTTGTTGAATGTTCACGGTTTGTAACTTTTATTTTTAAGCTTGTAATGACCAGCCTGCAGTCAATTCTTGAAAATGTGGATACACCAGAATTGCTTTGCAAATGTGTTAAGTGCATTCTTTTGGTGGCTCGATGTTACCCTCATATTTTCAGCACTAATTTTAGGGTGAGTTCCTCATTCCGCTGTTCAGATCATGGGGTGAGGGGGATGGTTGTGTGTGTGAGGAACTGAGGAATCAGATGGAAAACAGTGCCTCTGCTCCTTTGAATATAATCAGTGATATTTGAGGTTCCAGGGTTAAATGCCGCATTTTTCTTTCTGACGTTCGTACCTTAAAATATTTGAAGAAAATAAACTATTTCATTGTTGTCAGAAATGTAGTTCTTTTATTTTCCTGCCCCTCTCCCCTTTCTAAGTTTCTAGAATGTCAAGTAGGTAGAACATAGATGCTCCTTTTAGGATCTTTTGCTGTGAAATGGTCCACAGGTGGATTGCAGTAATATCTTAAAATGATTGGCCCCCTCTCTCTTTGTTTCCATCAAGGATACAGTTGGTATATTAGTTGGATGGCATAGAGATCATACTCAGAAACCTTCGCTCACGCAGCAGGTATCTGGTAAGTCTTGCAGCCTATACCAGTTATTTAAATACTGTCGGGGAGGAGCAGTGGTCCCCCAGTGACCATCTATCAATACCATTTCTTTAATAATGCAAGAAAACTAATTCAGAGAAATGTTTTATTGTAAATGAACATGACTTGTTAGCTAAATATATATTTTCAGAGGAAATTACTAGTAGGTGGGTAGAGTAAGTACAGACAGGACTTACCCAAGTTATTTGTAGTTTGTACTGGTAGGAAAGTATATGGTAAGAATATATTGCAGTGGCAATACCCTGAAGTGGACAATGGAAGATCCAAGTTATTTGTCACATTTTATTGTTTTTCTGGTTATTTTTTTAAAAAAGGAAATATAGGGTTAATTTGGAGAATTGTCATAAATGAGAAGTGGTTTTGTTTCCCACTTTTTTGGAGTTAAGTGAATGACTAGCGTGGCTCATTTGCACATTTCAGCTTGTTTCAAGTGTCATAGTTTCTCGTAACTTACTTGGTGTAATAAACTTTTGAAAATAAGATATTCAGGTGATAGTGGTCTGTTTCATTTTCACTGAGGAGATGAGTATACACCTTTAATGGTTAGATGTGGCCCTGGGATTAGCCGGGCCAATGGTAGATTGTGGCATTTTAGTCTTAAGTCATGTGTAGTGACAATATAGATATGAAATTTACTGAAAAAGTAAGGAAATAACATTTACCTGTTAATTTCTGCAGAAATTAAGGAGGTATTAATTAAAGAGGTATTGGTTAATCGTGATCAGCATGTTTAGCAGTCTTAATTTTATGATATAGGACATGTTTTAGGGTATGCTGCTTGAAAACCAGATACTTTTTAAAAGAAGCCTCTTATTTTTTTTAATTTGGATTTTTTGGTGTTTTTTCTCCCCCCTACCCTTTCACAATTTCTTACGCGATTCCAAGGGTGGTTGCAGAGTTTGGAGCCATTTTGGGTAGCTGATCTTGCATTTTCTACGCCTCTACTTGGTCAGTTTCTAGAAGACATGGAAGCATATGCTGAGGTGAGTATATAGAAAGCTGTTTCTTAAAATTTTGGTTAAGAAAAAATCTTAAATTGTGCTAGATTTATTTTAAAATGGCTCAGACCTCCTGACATTTAAGCAGAAATTACAAGCCCATTGCAATATTTTGAAAAATTTTTTCTTTTTGAGACGGAGTCTCGCTCTGTCACTCAGGCTGGAGTGCAATGGCACGATCTCAGCTCACTGCAACCTCCACCTCCTGGGTTCAAATGATTCTCCTGCCTCAGCCTCCCGAGTAGCTGGAATTACAGGTGCCCGCCACTACGCCCAGCTAATTTTTGTATTTTTAGTAGAGACGGGGTTTCACCATGTTGGCCAGGCTGGTCTCAAACTCCTGACCACTGGTGATCCAGCCGCGTCGGCCTCCCAAAGTGCTGGGATTATAGGCATGAGCCCCCGTGCCCAGTCAGTATTTTAAACATTTATTTCAGATGTGTTTAAGTTACCAGGAGAATTACTGGAGAGACTAAAAGAAACGTTGCAAGCTTCGTATTTCGCAAAGCTTTACATACTCTCGGTAGCTGGTATTTTTCTAAAGACATATTTTGTTATTTATTTTTATTTTTTGTTCCCAGTCTTCAGAGTCTTAAAGCAAATTGATGTTGTGTTATAAAAAAACACAAAACACCAAAAGCTCCTAAAGATTTTCCTCTTACATATGTACAGGAGATCTTGAATCGTACTTTGGAGGACAAGCCTTGGCTTCAGCCAGCTTTTGTGGCTGTACGAATATAGCATAGGAGCTTTAAGAGCGCTGCTGAAGCCTCTGTTACTGGTACTTGGCTTTTCTGGCCCCACTGTCATGGCTTAACTCTGTGCCATCTCTTATCTGAATCTCTTTGTGTTTCTCCCCTATTCAGATCAACCAGTCAAGGCTCCCATAAAGATTTTGGCCTCATCTTGTTTTTTTCATCTTTGCTGCTTGTAGTCAACAGGAATTCAGTACCTTTAGCTGTACTGATGTGTTTACTCTTTCCTAGAAAAGCAAGGAAATGTTTTGCTTCTGCGTTGTTTTTTCTTTGCCCCCACACCTAGAATGTCTTTTTTCACAGCCCACGTTTAAAGCTGATCTACCTCTCATAAGCCACACATTCTAGTTTGTAGAGATGCTTCCCCTTGTTATCCTTAAGATCTCATTCTCTTCTGTTATTTTGGTGCTTAATTTTAGGTAGATGTATACATTGGTTCTGGTATCCTAGTTTTTGCGAATCTTGTCCTTTTCATATATCGTACTTCTTCAGTTACACATCTGTAGACCAGGTCTTGTAATCTCCCTTTGCTCTTCATGTGCATGCTCTTGGTTTGGAGGACTTACTGTTGAGCTGAGTGGCTCAAAGAATACCTAGAATGAGATTTTTAGCCAAAAACTAATTCAGGAGTGGCAAAAGCTTCCGTCTTCATTTATACCTACATATAACTAGAGCATATGTGCTAGAATTTATTTTTCCCCAACAGCTTTCTGAGTTGATTTAAGAGATTATTTCCTTAATTTGTTGTCTATTGGGTTTAATGTTGGCTTTTTGAAATAATTAGGTAAAACCCATTTTTATATTCAGAGTCATGAATATTCTCATGGGCCACAGTTCTCTTTCTAAAAGCCTAAAAATCTATTCTAAAATGAATTGATTGAAATATTTTAGAGTTTTTTTTTGTTTTGTTTTGTTTTTTTAAACAATGTACTACTTATTAAGAATGCTGTGAATTCACATCTAGGACCTCAGCCATGTGGCCGCTGGGGAATCAGTGGATGAAGACGTCCCTCCTCCATCAGTGTCATTACCAAAGCTGGCTGCGCTTCTCCGGGTATTTAGTACTGTGGTGAGGAGCACTGGGGAAAGCCTCAGCCCAATTCGGGCCCTCCAATTACTGAGGCATACGTAACAGATGTAAGTGCTTTTGGGCATTTGAAGTGTCATTCAAAAATAAAATTGTTTTACATTGTAAATGCTTCTCTTTACCAGGTGAACTGTTATTAATCCTTCATTTGTTTAGCATGTATGTATGTATGTATATATGTATATATTGTCTGACTGCTTTCTTAAACAACCAGAAAAGCAGGGAATCCTGTTATATCTCATCCTCCTTTCATCCAACTCCCCTACCCTCCCATGACAAAAGGCCACTCTGAATTTTTAAATCTCATTCTTTCATTTTTAAATAATATTTCTTATAATTTTACTTTTAAATTATTGGGTTTCCTTTTAGTTTTTCAACATATTACGAATAGCACACTATAGGAGAAGCCTCAGAAAGTAATCTTCTCTGAGCATAAGATGGAACTCATATGAAAACTTGTGTATCTTTATATTCTTTGATAGCCTGATATCAAAGAACATAAACAAATTAAAAATGAGGTAGCTAGATTGCCACACTTCAGCAGCCTCAGACATTAGCTGCACTGTATATAGCACATCCAGTGAGGGTTCAGTGGAAAAGACACAAGAAATGAACCCCAGGCATTGTACTCTGCTTTGAATAAGGAGAAAGAAGCATGTGTGATACCGTCATAAAAAATTTAATCTAACTGATGAAAATTTTACCGTTAGGATAAAACTTGCTTTTAGGAGCATATACTTTTGCTGAACATGTTGCTAAATAAAATAGGATATTGATTATATAGTAAGTTGTGTACTTGAGCAGAAATGTCAGAACTTAAAGATAAATGAAACCAGCATATCGGTATTTTAAACCAATATGGTTTCAAAATGGTTTAATATCTTTGCTTCATTTTTAATGTCTAAAAGGTGGTTGTTTGAAGACTGTACAGAGTTGAAATAAAAAGCCGTTAATTCAGACATAAAATAAAGGGGACATAATTTATAGGATAGGTGTATATTGATTTATGAGGATCTTTTAGGCCTTTGAGAATGGTAGAATGGTGGGGTTTTTATTTTTTTTATTTATTTTTGGAGCTGGAACCTCACTCTGTCACCCAGGCTGGAGTGTAGTAGTTCAATCATAGCTCACTGTAGTCTTGAACTCTTGGGCCCAGGTGAACTTCCCACCTCACTCAGCCCTACAAGCGGGTGTCACCATACCCAGCTTTTTTTTTTTTTTTTCCTTTTTAAAGTGGGGTGGTGCCATCACGACTCAGTGCAGCCTCTATCTCTTGGGCTCAAGTGATCCTCCCAGCATAGCTCCTGCTAATTTTTTATTTTTGTAGAGATGGGGTCTCAGTGTTTCCCAGGCTGGTCTTGAACTTTTGGCCTCAAGCAGTCTTCCCACCTCAGCCTCCCAAAGTGTTGGGATTATAGACATGAGCCACTGTGCATGCATGGCCAAGAATGCTTCCCCCTCCGCCCTCTCCCCTCCACTCTTTTTTTTTTGGAGACATGGTCTCTGTTGTCCAGGCTGGAGTGCAGTGGCACGATCTTGGCTCACTGCAGCCTTGACCTCCCAGGCTTAAGTGATCCTCCCACCTCAGCCTCTCAAGTAGTTGGTGGGACTACTGGTGTGAGCCACCACACCCAACTAATTTAGAAACAAATTTGGTAGAGATGAGGTGTTGTTATGTTGACATGGCTGGTCTCAAACTCCTGGACTCAAGAGAACCTTCCAGCTAATCCTCTCAAAGTGCTAGGATGATAGATGTGAGTCACTATGCCCAACCTCTAAGGATACTTTTAATGAAAACTATGGGTAGACTAAATAAAATCCTGTATGTATTGGTTGTTAAATATTATAGAAATATTTTTTAACATTTGCTCTGTTTTCTCCCCTATTTTATTAGAAATTTAGTACACAATTATTGGCCATTATAGTTAAGTGGGGGATTTTGTGTGTGTGTGTATTGGAAATAATATGATTTTTGAAGATATTATGTGGCAAGCATGAGAGTGCTTATCTTTCAAAAGAGACCATCAGTAGATAGAAACTTTAATAAGCTTAAAGTGACTTGTATGTTCAGTTTTGAAAGATTGATTCCCAAAAGCCCAAGAGCTAGCTTGTAGTATGTGTGGGCAGGCTATTCCCATGCTGTCAATACCATTACTGTCGTGGTGTATTTCATGATAAAGATTCTGAGCTTCAGCCATTTAGTGACATTGGGAGAAACGAAGTTGGGTATGTGGGAAATAGAGGATGGCAGCTTCCATTTCCTGTCATAGTAGCACTTTAGGATTTTTTAGCCAAGATCATGTTTACATATTGTAGTAAAGGCATCATTATTATTCAGCTACTGAGAACTAGAATATTAAGAGACTGCTGGCAAGGCAAGCAGTTAATTTTCAGTTGAAATTGCATTAAATAGAAAGTATTTTCTTGCTTTGTGGAAGCACGTGAATTTTTTTAAAAAGCTGCTGGTTTTCCCCATTTACAGGTTCTGTACAGAGTAATGAGATGTGTGACGGCTGCAAACCAGGTGTTTTTTTCTGAGGCTGTGTTGACAGCTGCTAATGAGCGTGTTGGTGTTTTGCTCGGCAGCTTGGATCCTAGCATGACTATACATTGTGACATGGTCATTACATATGGATTAGACCAACTGGAGAATTGCCAGACTTGTGGTACCGATTATATCATCTCAGTCTTGAATTTACTCACGCTGGTATGTGAATTATTCTTTTCCTTTTTAATGTGTTGGTTTATTCAGGCCCTTAAATGGATATGTAAGAAATTAAGGGCTTTGTCTGGGTATGGTGGCTCATGCTTGTAATCCCAGCGCTTTGGGAGGCCAAAGCAGAAGGGTTGCTTGCATCCAGGAATTCTGGCACAGCTTGGGCAATGTAGTGAGACCCCATCTGTACAAAAAGTCAAAAATTAGCTTGGTGTAGTGGTGTGCACCTGCAGTCCTAGCTACTCGGGAGGCTGATGGAGGAGGATCGATTAAGCCCAGGAACTTGAGGTTGAAGTGAGCTCTGATTGTGCCACTGCACTCAGCCAAGGTGACAAAAAAGGCCCTGTCTCCAAAAAAGAAAAAAAATAAGGGCTTTGCTTTATTATATAATTTTTTTAGAGTACATTCATCAGTCTTATAATCTGTGCTTTCATTTTAGTGTCTATTTACTTTTATTTTTAATGCAATTTTTTTTTTGAGACAGGGTCTCACTCCGTTGCACAGGATGAAGTGCAGTGGCATGATTTTGGCTCACTGTAGCCTTGACCTCTTGGGTTCAGGTGATCCTCCCACCTCAGCCCCCCAGGTAGCTAGGACTACAGGCGTGCACCACCACACCTGGCTAATTTTTTATATTATTTTGTAGAGATGGAGTTTTGCCATGTTGCCCAGGCTGGTCTTGAATTCTTGGGCTCAAGCAATCCACCTGCCTTGGCCTCCCAAAGTACTGGGATTATAGGCATGAGCCACTCTGCCAGGCCTCTATTTTTAGTGGTTGATAGCTAGTCTCAGTGTAGCTTTACTCGTTTTTTCTGAGGAAACATTGCTCTACGCACCAGATTCTTTTTTTCTTTTCTTTTCTTTCTTTTTTTTTTGGGTCACAGGATCTTGCTGTATTCCCCTGGCTGGAGTGCAGCGGTACAATCAGAGCTCACTGCAGCCTCAAACTCCTGGGCTCAAGTGATCCTCCCACTCAGCCTCCCGACTATCTGGGACTACAGATGCATGCCACCATGCCTGGCTAACCTTTATATTTTTTGGAGAGAAGGGGTCTCGCTACATTGTCTAGGCTGGCCTTAAATTCTTGGTCTCAAGTAATCCTCCTGCCTTGCCCTCCCAAAGTGCTGGGATTACAGGTGTGAGCAATCATGCCTGGCCTCCTTTAATTTTTTTTTTTTTTTTTTTTTTTTTTTTTTTTGAGACGGAGTCTCGCTCTTTTGCCCAGGCTGGAGTGCAGTGGCACAATTGTATTTTTAGTAGAGACGGGGTTTCACCATGTTAGCCAGGATGGTCTCGATCTCCTGACCTCGTGATCTGCCTGCCTTGGCCTCCCAAAGTGCTGGGATTACAGGCGTGAGCCACCGCGCCCGGCCGGCCTCCTTTAATTTCTTAACCATAAATATCCTCCCCCCACTTTTATTATGGACGTTCTGAAGCACATAAAAATAGGGAGCATAGTATAATAAATTTGTACATATTTAACACTCAGCTTCTATAATTAGAAACAAATGGCCCATCTGGTTTCATCTAGGCCTCTTTGCTATCCTTTCATCTCCAACTGGATTATTTTAAAGCAAATTCTAGATGACATTCTGCTGAGCATTTCTGCCAGAATTACACCTCTCTTTGCTAATGTGAAAAAATGCCCATGATAACTGTAAAATACGTGTGTCCTATTTAGGTGTCTAAACACTTTAATGTCACAGTATTAAGGCCTTAAAATATAGCTTAGATATATTTTTCTAAATTAAAAGACTTCATTTTTTAGATATACAGAAAATTGAGCAGAAAACAGTGAGTTCCCATATACCTTCTTCATCCCAACAGTTTCCCCCTCATTAACATATTGTGTTAGTGTGGTACATTTATTACAAAGGAGTGAATATTGATATATTATTATTAACTAATTTTATAGTTTACTTTGTGTTATGTATTCTATGGACTTTAACATGTGTAATGACATGTTTCCCCTATTACCAGTATCATACAGGATAGTTTCACTTCCCTAAAAATCTTTTATGTTCTACCCACTCCTTCCTCGTTCCCTCTCCCCACTCCTCCCTCCCCCCATCTTAAGCCCATGGCAACCCCTGATCTTTTTACTGTCTCCATCGTTTTGCCTTTTCCAGAATGCCATGTAGTTGGAGTCATATAGTATGTAGCCTTTTCAGTTGGCTTCTTTCACTTACCAGTGTGCCTTGAAGGTTTCTCCATGTCTTTTTGTAATTTGAGAAGCTCATTTTTTAAAAATTTTATTCTTTTAGATTGTTGAACAGATAAATACGAAACTGCCATCATCATTTGTAGAAAAACTGTTTATACCATCATCTAAACTACTATTCTTGCGTTATCATAAAGAAAAAGAGGTAAGTAATACACTGATAATGAATTTTGACAACTTGAGTCACTGAAGAGTTGGACCTAATGTTGCTTACCCCAGGCTATATAAGTGAAATTGAGTGAAATGTGAAATGTTTGATTTAGAATATAGTGATTGTATTTGTTCTTTTAAATTTATATTTCTTGATAATCATACTGAATACTTTCATGAATGGTGTGCCAGATACTCTTTTCAGACTATGCATCTTTTGCTGTTATTAAATTTATTAAATTTTCATAAGGGTAAAACAAGTTGACACATTTATAAAGTTATAAATTAAGAAGTACTGTATATTTGGTAAACAAAAATGACTGGCTTTTCAACCACCCCCTAGTCAAATCCACCACAGACTTTCCTGGTAGATTTAAGAAACCCAGTCTTAAACTGCTGTTTGCATATGTCTTTTGATGTTGATTATTAAAAAAAAAAAACAAAAACGGCCATTTTGGAAATTTCCTATTGACAGTTTTCATTTATAGTACTCTTTATTTGTGATAAAACTTAATAGATTTGAAATAGCATACTGATCTGTGTCAGTTTTCTGATTGGTTTTTAAAAAATTAAAATATTAAATGCTACAGACAGTGAATTGATCGATCTTAAATTTATTTGTATCATCAGCACTAATACAGATAGTGATTTATTTTCCATATAATTTTAGAAGATTTATTTTCCATTTATCACTTCCTTGAATTTTTTGTTTTTCAGGTTGTTGCTGTAGCCCGTGCTGTTTATCAAGCAGTGCTCAGCTTGAAGAATATTCCTGTTTTGGAGACTGCCTATAAGTTAATATTGGGAGAAATGACTTGTGCCCTAAACAACCTCCTGCACAGTCTGCAGCTTCCTGAGTCCTGTTCTGAAATAAAACATGAGGCTTTTAAGAATCATGTGTTCAATGTAGACAATGCAAAATTTGTAGTTAAATTTGACCTCAATTGACTACAAAATTTGTAGTTAAATTTGACTACAATTGGAAATGCCAAAAACTCACTAATAGGGGTGAGTCTTTAATTGTAATGACTTTGTTTTATCCACATTACATATTTATGTATTTCACTGTTATGTCAACATGTCTGCAGAATCACTGTATGTAACAAACAGCCATATTTAAGACATGCCTGGATAAATAAAATTGGTAGGAATGTTTTCTTGCCATTATATTTAACTTTTCTTCTTTTTCCTTGACAAATCTTGATAAGTTTTTTTATATTAGTTTTATTTTCTAGAAAATGTCTTATGAATTTCTCCTATTTGCTCTAGCATGCTTACAGAAAATGTCAGTGTTTCTTACAGCTCAAATTTGTATAGTTGTTTTAAAATGCGGTCTCTTTCTTCTTCCCCTGGTACTTTTTTCTTTCTGTGTACTGAAGTTAGTTCTTATACATGGTCTTATATTTTGGCTGTCTCTTTTTCCCTAGGAACATTCATACAGGTTGAATATTCCTTATCTGAAATACTTGGGACTGGAAGTGTTTTCGATTTTGGATTTTGGAATACTTTTTTTTTTTTTTTGGAGATAGTGTTTTTACTCTTGTTGCCCAGGCTGGAGTGCAATGGCGCGATCTTGGCTCGCTGCAACCTCCGCCTCCCGGGTACAAGCGATTCTCCTGTTTCAGCCTCCCAGGTAGCTCGGATTACAGGCATGCACCACCACCCCTGGCTAATTTTTTTGTATTTAGTAGAGATGGGTTTTCACCATGTTAGCCAGGCTGGTTGTGAACTCCTGACCTCAGGTGATCCACCTGCCTTGGCCTCCCAAAATGCTGGGATTACAGGTGGGCACCACCATGCCCAGCCGGAGTTTGGAATATTTTCATAACACTTACTGGTGAGCATCCCTAATCTGAAAATCCTAAATCTAAAATGCTCCAAAATTTGAAACTTTTTGAGCACCAGTATGATGCCCCAAGTGGAAAATCCCACACCCGACCTCATGTGATGAGTCCAAACTGTTGTATGCCCAAAATTATTTAAAATATTGCATAAAATGACCTTCAGGCTATGAATAGAAGGTGTCTATGAAACATAAGTGAATTTCGTCTTTAGACTTGGGTCCCATCCCCCACATATCTCATTTTATATATATGCAAGTATTCTCAAATCCAAACATATACAAAGTCTGAAACACTTCTGGTCCCAAGCATTTTGAATAAGGGATACTGAACCTGTAGTCTTCCTTTTGGTGGTGGTGGGGGGACTTTTTTTTTTTTTTTTTTTTTTTTTTTTTTGGGGGAGACAGAGTCATGCTGTTGTCAACTGGGCTGGAGTGCAGTGGTGCAATCTCGGCTCACTGCCACCTCTGCCTCCCGGGTTCCAGCAATTCTCCTGCCTCAGCCTCCCGAGTAGCTAAGATTACAGACACTTGCCACTACGACGGGCTAATTTTTGTATTTTTAGTAGAGACTTGGTTTCACCATGTTGGTCAGGCTGGTCTCAAACTCCTGACCTCAGGTGATCCACCTGCCTCAGCCTCCCAAAGTGCTGGAATTACAGGCATGAGCCACCGCGCCCAGCCCGTGTGGTTTTTTTTTTTTTAAGTAATTCGACATGGCCCTGCTCTTGATTTGTATTTATTGTTTATGGTTTGTGTATTTCTTCTTCCTATTGGACCACACAGAGTTGAAAAACATCATTTTTAATAGAAAATAATAGGTGTAGGCTGGGCACGGTTGCTGACACCTGTAAACCCAGCACTCTGGGAGGCCAAGTCAGGCTGATCACCTGTGGTCAGGAGTTTGAGACCAGCCTGGCCAACATGGTGAAAGCTCGCCTCTACTAAAAATAGAAAAATTAGCCAGGGGTGGTGGTGCACACCTGTAATCCTAGCTACTTTGGAGGGTGAGGTAGGAGAATTGCTTGAACCCAGGAAGTGGAGGTTGCAGTGAGCTGAGATCACACCACCGCACTCCAGCCTGGGCTACAGAGCCAGACTCTGTCTCAAAAGAAAAAAAAAAAAAAGAAAGAAACAAAGAAAGAAATGGATGTAATTAGGGAATAAAGTTTTTAGGAGGAAGAAGGTAAAATTTGATGTTTGCGCTTCAATGTGCTCCGTGTTGTTTGATTGGATTGCCTTGTATAATTCCATAGCTGCTTCGCTTATTACCAGTTACAGTTTATGTTTGAAGTCACAATAAACTCTTCTTCAAACATGAAAGCTTGATTTTTGAGGAAAATTATTCACATTATTTACAGATTCAAAGATGTTTATGTCCTGTACTCTAGAAATAAGGAGAAAGTGGGTGGGGATGGGGCAGTCAGGTGGAGTGGAGTGTCTTGGCAGTGTAAAGGAAAAAGATGGATGGAAAAGGTGTAGGGTGGCAGGGTGTGCCTCTGTTTCCTTATTGAACAGGGCACCTTGCCATTTGCAGTATATGGAAAATTGAGGAAATACAGTCTACTTCCGCAAAAGGCACATACAAAGGGCTCTGTTTAGACCAGAGATCAGCAAACTATGGTCTGTGGGCCAAATACAGCCCAGCACCTGTTTTTTGTCTGTTATTTTAAGTGTATAATTCACTGATTTTTACTATATTCACAGAAGTGTACAACCATCACAACACTAGTGCCTGTTTTTGTAAAGAAAGTTCTTGTTGGGCTGGGCGCAGTGGTTCACGCCTGTAATCCCTCGGGAGACTGAGACAGGCAGATCACCCAAGCTCAGGAGTTCAAGACCAGCCTGGCCAACATGGTGAAACCCTATCTCTACTAAAAAAATACAAAAGTTAGCAGGGCATGGTGATGGGCACCTGTAATCTCAGCTACTTGGGAGACTGAGGCAGGGAGAATTGCTTGAACCCCGGAGGTAGAGGTTGCAGTGAGCTGAGATCGCCCCATTGCACTCCAGCCTGGGCGACAGAGCGAGAGACTCCGACTCAAGAAAGTTTTCTTGGAACACAGGTACTCTCATTCCTGTGTTTTGTGTGTGGCTGGTGTTTTGTTTTGAGAGAGAGAGTCTTAACTTTGTCATCTAGGCTGGAGTGCATTGGTATGATCTCGGGTCACTGCAACCTCTGCCTCCCAGGTTCAAGCAATTCTCCTGCCTCAGCCTCCCGAGTAGCTGGGATTACAAGTGTGCGCCACCATGCCCAGCTACTTTTTGTAATTTTAGTAGAGATGGGGTCCCGCTGTGTTGCCCAGGCTGGTTTCAAACTCCTGGGCTCAAGTGATCTGCCCACCTTAGCCTCCCAAAGTGCTAGGATTACAGGTGTGAGCCACAACACCTGACCTGTGGCTGTTTTCTTACTGTAGCGATAGACGAGGAGTTGCTGCATTGCATAGAGATGCTATATTGCACGCAAAGGCTTTACTGACTTCACAAAAAAGTATTTGTCCCAGGTGTAGTGTACTAGATCCCTTCCAATCTGTAATTTTAATTTAAAAATGTCCAAATACCCCTGTTTTGAAGGATAAACTCTGTATGCTTGTGCTTATTTTGGAGAAGCCATAAACTTACTTTGTTTTGTACATGATCAGATGTGGGCGCTATCTCCAACTGTCTTTGCACTTCTGAGTAAGAATCTGATGATTGTGCACAGTGACCTGGCTGTTCACTTCCCTGCCATTCAGTATGCTGTGCTCTACACATTGTATCCTCATTGTACCAGGTACTGTATTCACAAATTTTTCTTAAGAAAAGAACCCCACAAAACATTTTATTTTTTTAATGGATAGATTTTGAAGATGTATGTTGATTTAACTTTGGACTTGCTTGCTTTCTTTGATTAAAGATGAAAAGATAATCTATGCTTTGTCTTTCAGGCATGATCACTTTATCTTTAGTAGCCTCAGTTCTTCCTCTCCTTCTTTGTTTGATGGAGCTGTGATTGGCACTGTAACTATGGCCACAAAGAAACATTTCTCAATTACATTAAATCTTCTGGGAATGTTACTTAAGAAAGATAAC
This sequence comes from Homo sapiens, assembly GCF_000001405.40. NCBI lineage: Eukaryota > Metazoa > Chordata > Mammalia > Primates > Hominidae > Homo > Homo sapiens. The sequence continues at coordinate 282,542 of NW_017852933.1, read as the reverse complement.
CAGGACACGAGGTAACAGATATTATATAGTATTAACCATTCCTAACTTTGTTAATTTGCCTTTATAATTTGAGAAGAAGAAATGTGGATTACAAAAAATTTAAAAAAATGTGGATTATAGAGGTGAGGTAGAGCAGCTTCTTTATTGTCAAACACCTTATAATTTGGTTTTATTATTTAATCTAGGCTTTCTTATTCTTTCTGAAAAGAAATACATGAAAAACCTCAATCCCCCACGCCCAGTGTTTCATAGAAGAATATATATAGATTTTTAATATTCTTTGCTTTTTTTTTTTTTAAGACGGAGTTTTGCTCACTGTAACCTCTGCCTCCCAGGTTCAAGCAATTCTCCTGCCTCAGCCTCCCAAGTAGCCGCGATTACAGGTGCCCGCCACCACACCTGGCTAATTTTTGTATTTTTTTTTTGTATATATGTTAAGGTTTAATACCCAAAGTATATAAAAAACTTCTACAATTCAACAACAAAAAGACAAAACATTTTAAAACAAAATGGTTGTAAACAAACAACAAAAAGACAACCATTTTTGTCCATCTTACAATGGACAAAAGGCTTGAATAAACATTTCTCCAAAGAAGATAAACAAATGGCCAATAAGCACTTGAAAAGATGTCAACATCATTAGTCAATGGAGACATACAAATTAAAACTCCAAGCTATCACTTCACACTTACTATGATGACTATTATTAAAAAATGGAAAATAACAAGTGTTGTTGAGGATATGGGGAAATTGAAATCTTTATAAGTTAGCAATAGGAATGTGAAATGGTGCAGCTGATGTGGAAAACAGTTTGGCAGTTCCTCAATAATTTTTGTATTTTTAGTAGAGATGGTGTTTCACCATGTTGTTGGCCAGGCTGGTCTTGAACTCCTGACCTCAGGTAAGCCACCACGCCCGGCCTCTTTGCTATTATCATGCTGCGTTGGGAGGTTTTCTTAAAAGGCACACAACAATTTTGACAGTAATTTCTATAGTTTCATTTTTTATTTTTATTTTTTATTGTTTGAGATGTTTGAAAAACCAAGAGAAAACCAATGTAAGAAGACTAGGCTTTTAACTTTTTTTTGTTTTTGTTGTTGTTTTTTTTTTAATGTACAGTCAACTGTATATTTTGTGTTTCAGGAAACTGTTAATGACTTGGGCTTTGGAAGTAGCTGTTGTAATGAAGAAGTCCGAAACATATGCACCTTTATTCTGTCTTCCGTCTTTCCATAAATTTTGCAAAGGCCTTTTAGCCGACAGTAAGACTCTGGTTTTTTTTTTCTATTTTGTTTATCAGTCCTTAAAAGGGTCTTTGGTAATGGGAGATGGTCATGAATCGAGCTCTTTTCCTGACCTGAAGATGTGTAATCCTCATTTTAATGACAGATACACAGTCTTGATTTTTTTTCATTCTTAGTATTAGAAAAATGTTTTGAAGTGATTGTCACATTTTTAAGCTAACGTGAATGTTTATAGTTTACATATACTTTTACATTTTCTCTCAGAAAAAGTTTTGTGTGATGACCCATCAGTTACATTACGTGGGTTTTGTTGAATGTGTCATTTTTCCAAATGTGACAGTCAATGAGGATTCTGGACAAGAACAGTGCCTAGTCTATAGTAGGCACTCACTCTTTGTTGAATGAATGAATGGATTCAGATAATTATGACAAACTGGGATATAATTTCTTTTGGCCAGCTGAAAGTAACTGTCTTTTAATGTTTAATAGCTCTCGTTGAAGATGTGAATATCTGTCTGCAGGCATGCAGCAGTCTACATGCTCTATCCTCTTCCTTGCCAGATGATCTTTTACAGAGGTATGAAATTAAGATCGTGTCTTTTGACATTAACCCTAATAACCTGGAACTGTTAACACACCTGCTTTGTCTATTTCGTTCTTTCATAGATGTGTTGATGTTTGCCGTGTCCAACTAGTGCACCGTGGAACTTGTATTCGACAAGCATTTGGAAAACTGTTGAAATCAATTCCTTTAGGTGTTTTCCTAAGGTATAACAGTTGTTTTGAAGCAAAGACATTCTGTGATATTTACAGCCTCTACTGGTTGTCTACTTTAGGAGAAGACAGATCACCTATTAGAGCATTAATGACACATCTTTTATGGCCCTGCTTGTCAGTGATTGAAGTGATGTCAAATAACCAAATTTTGCAGGTCTGCAAGAAAATTAAAAATTTTTAATGAGCTTTATAGGCTCACAATAATTAGTATAGAATAACTCATGTAGTGCCAAAATATGTTTCTTAGTAGCTCAGATATTTGAAAAACTAAACAGTAATCTTTTATTGTTTTTGATCAAGTTGATTTGGGAGCTTTTAAGAGCCTAAACTTGATCCTTTTGTAATAGATAAGCATAATGATTGGGTTTTTATGTTCACATGTTTGATATGCCTCCCTCAAATCCTCTTATGATGTCGGCACATGACCCATCTGAGGTGAATAAAAAAAGGATCTAAAGTTGTAATCACATCTCTGTATCCATTTGAAAGTCTCAATTTTACTATATTTTTACCTCCAGTGAGTTAATAAGTAAATAATCCACTTACAGTATGTGCTAACCTTTTAAGCTAAAATATTTTGCATAACAACAACTTTATTTTCTGTCTACAGCGATAACAATCACACAGAAATTCAAGAAATTTCTTTAGCATTAAGAAGTCACATGAGTAAAGCACCAAGTAATACATTCCACCCCCAAGATTTCTCTGATGTTATTAGTTTTATTTTGTATGGGAACTCTCATAGAACAGGGTAAGACATTTCTTTGACTATTTTATCTGGGAAAGAAAATTTTAAGATTCCCTTGACTTTACATGCAGTTTTGAAGAGAAAATATGTTTGGGGGTGGCAGAGTATCAAGTAACATTCTTCTCATATGGGTTATTTCAGTTTTCATCAATAGGAAAATTGCTTTGAAGATAGCATCTGTAGAAACAAAAATGGGCTTTGAAATTGAGTAATGAAATGTGGTTAACAGTTAACTGATGTGATGTCATTAACACTTTGGGGAGTGGGGTGGGGGTGGAGATATTCTAGAGATGCTTAGTTGCATTGAATGAGTTTCATTCCTGACTGGCATGAGCCGTTTACCCTAATCATCCTTCCACACTGTACCTCATCCTGTTAACTATACAAGACCTCAAAATGAGAGGGGGGGACATAATGCTTCTCAATTTCATAGGTTTTGCCTTTTTTTGGAGTAGGGAAAATTACAGTTCCTTATTCCCATTCCCCTTGCATTTTTTTTTCATTATTAAAATGAAGTTGTCATTGTCTTTTAAATATGAAACTACTTTTCCCAGGAAGGACAATTGGTTGGAAAGACTGTTCTATAGCTGCCAGAGACTGGATAAGCGTGACCAGTCAACAATTCCACGCAATCTCCTGAAGACAGATGCTATCCTTTGGCAGTGGGCCATATGGGAAGCTGCACAATTCACTGTTCTTTCTAAGCTGAGAACCCCACTGGGCAGAGCTCAAGACACCTTCCAGACAATTGAAGGTAACTCGCTCAAGCTTTATGATGTGAATACTTTCAAAGCCTTATTGAGAAATAATGGATTTTTAAATCTTTGTTAAAGATTTGAGGGTATATGATTTTTTTTGAAAAAAGTCAATAATTTTCAGGTTTGTTTGTTAGAATAAGCTTTCATTGAATAATTGCATTGGAAATATGTTTGTTTTTTTTCCAAAACTTATGGGAGTTGTGTGGAAAAAATATATATTTTTTTCCCCTAAAATGAAAGATCTTTCATGTTGGGATTTTTTATTTTTAAATGATGGGTAGACAGAGGATACTTGATAAATGTGAATTGGTCATAAACAACTCACACTTATTCTAGGAACTTTTAAGATTTTTAAAAATTCAGAATGTTGTCTTTGCTTTCAGGTATCATTCGAAGTCTCGCAGGTCACACATTAAACCCTGATCAGGATGTTAGTCAGTGGACAACTGCAGACAGTGATGAAGGCCATGGTAACAACCAACTTAGACTTGTTCTTCTTCTGCAGTATCTGGAAAATCTGGAGAAATTAATGTATAATGCATACGAGGGATGTGCTAATGCCTTAACTTCACCTCCCAAGGTTGGTTTCCGGGAGATAGTGTTGTTTTATAGCAGTTTAATGGTCACAGCTGGCAGTATGTGCAGAGCTGAAATCACAATAGACTTGTGTATTTGGTTTATATATAGGTGAGACATCCTTACCTACAAATTGAACCAGTCCTGAGCTTTTCTTTCTCTTATCGTAAAGGTCATTAGAACTTTTTTGTATACCAATCGCCAAACTTGTCAGGACTGGCTAACGCGGATTCGACTCTCCATCATGAGGGTAGGATTGTTGGCAGGCCAGCCTGCAGTGACAGTGAGACATGGCTTTGACTTGCTTACAGAGATGAAAACAACCAGCCTATCTCAGGTAAAGTGGTGTGTTTGAAATTCATTTTAAGTCTGTTAATAAGAAAAACATGGTTTAATTCCTTTGGTATGATTTAATCTATGGATAAAATAAGTTAAAGCTTGGATTCATTTTCAAAGGTTTTGATCCTGTATTTTGTAAAAGCAACAACTGCCAGAGTTACCTATTTTATTCGTGTTAAAACAGTGTTAGAAGTCAAAATAATGTTCATGTTTTTGTTCATGTTAAAACAATATTCATGTTAGAACACGTTAAAACTCTATTTCTTCCGTGCAAAGTTTAGAACTTTAAAGGTAATTCTGAAAATTTGTTTATGGGGGAAAATTTTTATTTATTTATTTATTTTTTTGAGACACAGTTTCACTCTGTCGCCCAGGCTGGAGTGCAGTTGTGCGATCTCGGCTCACTGTAAGCTCCGCCTCTCGGGTTCAAGCCTCTTCTTGCCTCAGTCCCTGGGATTACAGGCACCCACCACCATACCCGGCTAAGTTTTGTATTTTTAGTAGAGACAGGGTTTCACCATGTTGGCCAGGCTGGTCTCGAACTCCTGACCACAAGTGATCCGCCCACCTCGGCCTTCCAAAGTGCTGGGATTACAGGCATGAGCCACTGCACCTGGCCAGGAGAAATTGTTTTTATAACGTATGACAAATGCTTGAGTAATTCCTGGCTTGAAAGTGGGCTCACAATAAATAACTGGAATCCAAAAATAACAAAATGTTTAGCAATTCAGGTAATGTCAAGCAGTATTCAAACACATGAAGTTAATCATTCCTTAATTCCTGTTTATTTATATTTCATTTTTGCTTTCTTTTTACTCCATGTGTTATTCCTACAGAGGTCACAGGTTAAATGTTTTTGGGTAACTTTGGGGTGGGGGTACAAACATCCATGTGCTGCTAAGGTTCTGTTAGTCACCCTTTGTGGCTATTTTATATGTAACATTTTAAAGAATTCTGAGCTAAATAATGTGAAAATTGTGACAATAATTGTTAAATACATTTGGCTTTAAGCAGGCACAGACTGTGATCAGTTGTAAATTTTATAGGGATTTATGTTTTAATGGTATTGGGTGACTAACTTTTCTGAATGCGTTTTCAGGGGAATGAATTGGAAGTAAGCATTATGATGGTGGTAGAAGCACTATGTGAACTTCATTGTCCTGAAGCTATACAGGGAATTGCTGTCTGGTCATCATCTATTGTTGGAAAACATCTTCTGTGGATTAACTCAGTGGCTCAACAGGCTGAAGGGAGGTAGGTTGGAGGGAAGGAAATGGGTGATAGAATTACTTTATGTTTAAGTTCTTTGTATTACTCACTGACATTGTAGCCAAATCTTAAAACAGCTTTGTTTGCTTTCAGCATTGAAGCTTGCTATAAATCCCTTCACCAGGAGGCATCTTCAGTTTGTTCTTCAGTTAGCAGCAATACTGGAGTGCCTTTCTTATTTAAGAATTAGTGGCAAATCACACTGTAAAACAAGACCTGTCAGTTGTTTTATAAATGCTTTTGAACTTGATCCCTAGTTGAGCTCCTTCCCCCTCAGAGTCTGATACAAATTACCCTTTATTGTCAGAGTATTTGCTCGTTAGTCCTGTGAACTCTACATTCAGACTCATTGCTTCCTCCGGGTAGAGGAGCTTGTACCATAATATTCTGTGTCCATTTATGTTAGTTTAATGAAATCTTGCGAACTTAGGAAAATAAAAGAACTGCTCATACTTCCATATCTTTGTAGTAACTTCTGTTGTGTGTCCTTTTGTAGTCCCATATTTCCATATCCATACGCTTTGTAATTCTTTTTTCTTTCATGTCGTTTTCTCCATTCTTCACCAAAACATCAGCGTACATAGGCACATGGTTTTATGATCTGTTTTTCCCACTCAATATTTAAAAAAACAAAATTTGCCATGTTAGGTAGGCTGGGTTCGGTGGCTTACATCTGTATTCCCAGCACTTTGGGAGGCCGAGGCAGGCGGATCACCTGAGGTCAGGAGTTCAAGACCAGCCTGGCCAACATGGTGAAACCCCGTCTCTACTAAAAATACAAGAAAATTAGCCGGGCATGGTGGCGAGTGCCTGTAATCCCAGCTACTCAGGAGGCTGAGGCAGGAGAATCGCTTGTACACGGGAGGCAGAGGTTGCACTGAGCTGAGACAGTGCCATTGCACTCCAGCCTGGGCAAGAAGAGCAAAACTTCATCTCAAAAAAAAAAAGTAAGTAGTTAGATAAATAAAGAAATAAGACTGCTTCAATTTGCTTTTCAGGTTTGAAAAGGCCTCTGTGGAGTACCAGGAACACCTGTGTGCCATGACAGGTGTTGATTGCTGCATCTCCAGCTTTGACAAATCGGTGCTCACCTTAGCCAGTGCTGGGTGTAAGAGTGCCAGCCTGAAACATTGTCTGAATGGTGAGCGTTCAGCATTTTTAAATAAAGCAAAAGTTATAGTAATATATTTCGTACTGATGATCTTATCATGTTTTTAGGTTTCTGTGCTCTTTGAAATATTTCTAATTGATCTGAATCTCTCTCTTCTTATTTTATAAAATACTTTCAGGTGAATCCAGAAAAAGTGTGCTGTCCAAACCGACTGACTCTTCCCCTGAGGTTATAAATTATTTAGGAAACAAAGCATGTGAGTGCTACATCTCAACTGCCGATTGGGCTGCTGTGCAGGAATGGCAGAACGCTATCCATGACTTGAAAAAGAGTACCAGTAGCACTTCCCTCAACCTGAAAGCTGACTTCAACTATATAAAGTAAGGCTTTCTGTTTCCAGTTATAAAACAAATTTCCAATAACTATGATGTTTTTCCTATGGCAAAAAAAATATTAAAATTGGTCATATGCAGTAATACTCAAAATGGTTATATTTCTAACTTACTGCCATTATGAAAATGACAACAGGAAACTGACATCAGAGATGAGGGAAGGTATTTGTATAATGGGAAAACACTGCTGAGATAGTCATTTGGTATTAATTTTCAGAACCTGTCGTTCTAAAACCTTAATACAGTTTGAAGATTATGCCAGAGTGAATATAAAGAAAAATTTGTACTGCTTTAGAAAGAATCACATTTGATGGCTTTGTTTCGAAATGAGGTCTGAATATATCAAAAACATTTATTCTAATGAGGACAGAGTTTGTGAACATCTGTAAATTAAACTTTCTTCTCATTCCTCTGTGCTTTTATTAATTCTGTAATTCAAAACTGAGCACTCACTCTGTTGCAGACACTTGGCTGGGAAGATAAAGGTCATTAGACTTTGTCTGATACCCTTGCCTTCTACTGCTAAATGGGTTAATGTGTAATTGCTTCACTGAGCATGTGCTGTGACCCAGGCAGCACATAAAACAGACACAAATTCCAACCTTTTAAAGCAAAGATTAGATAAAGATTATTGATAGAAGGACTAATTGGACCTCACTCACCTTTTCTGTGCCATAAGGAAAGCAGTTAGGTAAAGCTGACCTTCTTTGGAGGGAAGACACAAGGTCAAGACATGCCCATCAGGATGCCCTTTGGGCCTAGACCTGATGTGAGAATGATGGGCTTGGAGTGTTCTGGAAATAGCTGGGAGGCCTGTGTGTTTAGGAGCGCCTTAAACAGTAGGATATAAGGGCAGAGAAGTAGCTGGGAACTGAGAAAAGAACTTTGGCTGTTATTCTAGTAAGACTGAAAATTTCAGGTGGGATTTGAACAGAGTTGTGTTGTGATCTGACTTGGTTCATTCTGCTGTGGTGAAGAGACTGGAGGTGCGGGGCAAGTATGGAAGCATGGAGACCATTAATTTATGGGGGCAATGGTAGAGGGAAGAGAAACAATGCTATTAACTGAAGTAGGAGCACACAGAGAACAAGCCATGTTTTAAGATTTCTAATGAAATGTGCAGATGAGATTGTTGGGTAAGCTGTTAAGAATTGGATTTTGAACTAAGGAGACAGTCTAAGCTTGAGAGATTTGCAGATGATTAGTACACAGAAAAGGCCCTCTTTCCTTTTCAGTCTCTATACTCTAGAGCCTTTGTAAGCAACCAAACCAGAGAGAAGCCTCTGGAGAATAGTGAGTGAAGAGGAAGGAAGGCCTGGGTCAGAATCCTAGTTTAGCATTTTTGTGAAAGGATAGAAGAGGAAGCCATTCAAAAAAATACAGGGACATTGAGAAGGGAAGTGCCCTAGATATAGGACATCCAGATGGGAGTAGTCAGCCTTGTCAGATGCTCTAGGGATTATAAGGAAAAAGAGTTTTGTAGAGAGACAGAAGAAGCTAGATTGAATAGTATTGAGTGGTAGAGACATTTGAAAATGAAAAGCTTGAGGTAAGTTATTTGGTCAGTGAGTTTTTCTTGAAGTCGAGGATAGGAAGCTGTTGCTGGAGGGAAATATGAGATGTTTATTTTAAATGTTGGAGAGATTATGTTCTTTTGGCCAAGGGGAAGGAGCCACTAGAAAGCAGAGGTTGAAGAAACAGGAGAAAGAACATTGATAGATTAACTGGCCCTCACCTTTTCTCTGCCTCAAGGAAAGCAGTCAAAGTTGGTATAGACAGAATTTCGGCAGTGTATGGTGGATTGGGGGTAGGGGTAGAGGAAATTAAAGCCTGTGTTTTTTTGTTTATTTGTTTGTTTTTTCTGAGGACTGAGTCATTAGCTGAAAGCATAGGGCATTATAGAGCATAGTGGGGACTTGGGGAACCTGCCACTGGAGAGGACTTAGGACCTTTTAATGGCAGAAATGATGACTGTGTTGGCAGCAGTTCATCAGTGCCCAGTACTCAAGGGTCCCCCTGAGAAGCCAGTGGTTGCACTGATCTAGGTAGAATCAGGCACAGAATAAGTCAGGTGATGTGCCTTTCTAGCACTGGCCTCAGGCTGAGTTATAAGGGAAGTTACACAGCGAGAGGGACAGGCAAAGATGGAAAAGAGAGAGAGTGAGAAACAGTGTCTTCTTCCTGGCTGGAGAGCCCGTGTCATGAAAATGGGGACAGGGTAAGGGATCTGAAAGGAGCAGCATAGAAGCTGGGAGGATGAGGCCTGTCTTCCTGGCATTGATGCTGCAGAACTACAGGAAAGAATTTCAGAGGTGTCATTATTTTTCATATAAGCAGATGAAAGAGAAGAATTCTTTGAAAAAAGAAAAGTAGGTGAAAAAGGGAGAGACGGAGGGATGCCAGCAGTGAAAGAAGCCAGGACTGAGATACAAGATTGTGATGCTGGGAGAGCTGTGCAAGGGCTCATGCTGTAGGTGAGGAGTGAGGCTGCACAGGGAGCTCACTGGCAGCTTGGAGAGAACTGGGTGTCAAAGTTGTCCTGCAGAGGTCTACTGTCAGTGTGTCAGGCTCTGAAGAGAACAGGCTGCAACACATGAAAACAGGAAGGAGACACAGGGGCGAGTCAGCTCCACTGAAAGTCTGTAGCTGTGACTTTCTGGTTTGCCACTCCAATTTGAGTACTAATTAAGTGGTAGTCACATCTTCAACATAAAAACCAAAATAATGGCATCCTCGTGGAAGGAATTTTGTCAGAAAAGTGCTGTGTACTTTGCTGTCTTCCTAGGATTTGTTCTGTTTTTGTTTGTTTGTTTTTTTTAATGGTTCCACAGGCTGCATAGGAATACAAGCTAACCAATATTTTAATTACAGATCATTAAGCAGCTTTGAGTCTGGAAAATTTGTCGAATGTACCGAGCAATTAGAATTGTTACCAGGAGAAAATATCAATCTACTTGCTGGAGGATCAAAAGAAAAAATAGGTAGGTATTTGAGAAAATAGTTTTAAAGTTATTTTAGTGGACAAGTTGCTCAAAATGTTTGGCTTAGTATATTTTACTGGAAAATCTGGAAGTTATTTTACATTTTTGTGGGGGCAGAATCCCATGTGAAGCAACAAATTTAGGGCTGCCCTATTTATGTTTGATTTGGGAAATGAAAAGCACTTAAAATTAAGTCAAATAAAAAAAATGACCACCTTAATACTTTGAGATTTATCTAGCCATTTTGTTTGATAAAGGACAAAGTAGTGTTTCAGCTAAATATTTTTCTTGATTTTCATCTTGATGTGGCTCGTTAATTAAGTTCTTTATCACAAATGGAACACTTGATAAGATGTTATTAAAAAGTTTAATGAGTATTCTGGATTGAGCAAGATTTGCTAATGCAGGTCTAGATTTGTCCCCTTAAATAGTAGATTGACTTACCGATTTTCTTTTTTGTTGAGACAGAGTCTCACTCTGTTGCCCAGGCTGGAGTGCAGTGGCGCGATTTCGGCTCACTGCAACCTCCGCCGCCCTCTGAGTTCAAGCGATTCTCCTGCCTCAGCCTCCTGAGTAGCTGGGATTACAGGTGTCTGCCACCGTGCCCAGCTAATTTTTTGTATTTTTAGTAGAGACGGGGTTTCATCATCGTGGCCAGGCTGGTCTTGAACTCCTGACTTCGTGATCCACCCACCTTGGCCTCCCAAAGTGCCGGGATTACAGGCGTGAGCCACCACGCCTGACCTCGACTTACTGATTTTTGAGCCTTTGAAGGCAACTGCTTTTTAGGGGTCTGAGGTACAGTAATTTTGTATGAAGTATGATTTTTATATAGCTCTCAGTAATGCTTATAGTGTTTAACTGCCTGAAATATTAAAGGAGCTGTTCATTGGTGATTAGTTTTTAATAATGCCAAACATAAATCAAAATTTATAATAAAAGCACATTAACTTAATGACATTTCATTTAACTTCTGTAGACATGAAAAAACTGCTTCGTAACATGTGAAGTCCAGATCCAAGGGAACCTCAGAAATCCATTGAAGTTCCATTGTTAAGAAGTTCTGTTTGTTTGGCAACTGCTTTAAACCCGATAGAACAAGATCAGAAGTGGCAGTCTATAACTGAGTAAGTTTACTCTTACGGAGGTAAATGTACATTGTGTATATCATGTGATAAACATACATGGGGTGAAGAGGGCTGGAAGGAGAGTTACTAGATTACTAAATACTAGTGCTAATAGCTTCATTTTAGTTGTAGAAGTCATATGATATATGAATGCTGCTTGCCAACAAAAACTGAGGTTGAAATGAAATAAAATGTAAAAATCCCCAAAAGCAAATGTCTTGACTTGCTGATACCATTTTATTATAGAGCAGGCTGCTCCTCTTACTGCCCCCTAACTTTGGATGTCAATTTGATAGCATCTTATCAATTGCTTTATTCTTTGAGTGGTTATGAATTGTAATTTTTATTAATTGACAGTAAATATTTTGTTTCAGAAATGTGGTAAAGTACTTGAAGCAAACATCCCGCATCGCTATTGGACCTCTGAGACTTTCTACTTTAACAGTTTCACAGTCTTTGCCAGTTCTAAGTACCTTGCAGCTGTATTGCTCGTCTGCTTTGGAGACCACAGTTTCTAACAGACTTTCAACAGAGGTCTGTATATTTTTACAAGCACACTCTTATGACTATTAATGGTCATTACTGTAGAACAAAGACCTTATTTTTTGAGTTTTTTGGAATAGGATTTGTAGTTGGGCAAGCTGGTAAATCCAGAAATCTAACATGCTGTTTTCAGGCAGTCTTTCATTTGGGAAGTACATGGGGCAGATGGAAGAACCTGAGATAATCGCAAGGATGGCAAATTGCTCAGTTTTTTCTTCTATTTTTGGGGTGGGAGGTGGTGTATGTAAAGACAGTTCCTTTAGGCAGATCACGTAAATTTTAGATTTGCTGCAAACAAAGATCTCTCCTCTTCATCCTAAATGGGGTAAAGTTCGACCAGAGATGGGGGCTTCTGAATGAATGGTGATCTTCGAGAACTTCATAATAAAGCATTAGTTGTAATGTTTTTCTGCAGTCTGCTTTATAGTAAATGTGCTGTGACTTTTTTTTTTGTAATGTGCTTTATTAAGTATATTGATAAATTAGACTTAATATTCTGAAGAAGATTTCCCTTCAAAACAAAAGGCTTTCTCTTACTGTGTGCTTGCCTCTTGTGAGTAGAAGATAAATGATGTAAGGGTATAGTGTAATAGATAAAACTACTGCAATCAATCTGAAGTAGCCAAACTATATTGCAGTCTTGGACTTAAGACTTGCTATATATCTGCAAACATATCAACAGCCTGTTTTACGTTGAGTAATTTTGGTTTTTCTCTGGCAGGACTGTCTTATTCCACTCTTCGGCGAAGCTTTACGTTCATGTAAACAGCATGACGTGAGGCCGTGGATGCAGGCATTAAGGTATACTGTGTACCAGAATCAGTTGTTGGAGAAAATTAAAGTTAAGTGGTTTTCCTTTTTTTTTTTTTGTAAGAGAAAATTAAAGGTGGTTTTTTTTTTTAAATTTTGCTTTATTGAGGTTTATATTACACATTCTAAGTGTATGGTTTGATGAGTTCTAACATGTCTTCACTTGTGTGACCACCAATACGATCGAGATAGAGAACAGCGTCTTACCCCAGAAGGTTCCCTTGGGATCATCTCCTCATTTGCCCCTGTCAGCAGTTACTGATTTGCTTTCTGTCACTATGGATTAGACTTGTCTTTACTAAAGTTTCATGTACGTGAAATCATAACAACATGTTCTCTTGTGTTTGGCTTCTCTTGCTCAGCATGATATTTTTACGGTTCACCCATATTGCATGTATCAGGAATATAATCCTTTTTATTATTGAGTAGTGTTCTATTGTATGTATATACCACAGTTTATTTCTCCCTTCATCCTTTGCTAGATTTTGGGGTTTTTTCACATTGCGCTATTCAGTATAAACCTGCTCTCAACATTCATGTGCAAGTCTTTGAGTGGACATATATTTGCGTTTCTCTTGAGTGAATGCACCTTGTTGGGTCACGTGGCTTAACTTAAAAAAATTTTAATCACTGTGGTGCATATGTAGTGATTATTAGTGATTATCTCATAATTTTATTTTCTTGTTTAATGATGTTGAGTGTATTTCATTTGTATTTTAGTTTGCAAATGTTTGTTCAAATTCTTCACCTGTTTTTAATGAAGACGTACGACTTATTTTTGTGTTCTGAACATAAGTTCTTTGTCACATAAAATGTGCTATGAATGTTGAGTTTTAAATACTCCAAATGAATGGCTAGAGAATTACTATTTGTAGAAATATTTATATGTCAAAGGGATGCTAACAATTTACTTTATTGCTCTAAAATAGAAAAGTTGCCAGAATGCTGTGGAGTTTTAGTGGAAAACATGATAGCTGGTGTTACTGAGTAAATTTGAGTGTTAAATGTCAATGTAAGCTAACGGCCAAGATAGGGACCACTGCAGGGTGGTTACTTGCAGCTGTGACTCAACTGGTCCTTCACTGCCAAACATACCTGGGGTTGGATCATTGGCCTGACGTTTGCAAATTGAGGAACCTTAGGGCAAATCAGTGAACTTCTGAACTGCCTTCGTCTTCAGTTATATGGGGATTTCCCCACTTTTGAGATCCTTGTAAGGATTATATGAGATGAAGAGATGAGACAAGGTATATAAAAGTCCTAGCACAGAGCGTGTCATATAATATGGCTTCACAAGTACCCTCATCTCCTTTCCAGTCGTTTTTTGTTTTTGTTTTTGTTTTTTTGAGACCATCTCACTCTGTTGCCCAGGCTGGAGTGCCTCTTCATTTTTATTTCTTTATTCAGCAAGTATTGATCAAATGTGCTTTGTACCAGGTACTGAGCTCTTCGTTGGGATATAATGGTGATCAAGGAGATTGTAGATTCTGGCAGGGAAAACTGACATCAAACACGGCGACCCGACATAGTGAGACCCTGTCTCTACTAGAAGAACTTTAAAAATCACCTAGGTGTGGGCCGGGCACGGTGGCTAACGCCTGTAATCCCAGCACTTTGAGATGCTGAGGCAGGTGGATCACGAGGTCAGGAGATCGAGACCATCCTGGATAACACGGAGAAACCCCGTCTCTACTAAAAATACAAAAAAATTAGCCGGGCGTGGGGGCGGGCATCTGTAGTCCCAATTACTCGGGAGGCTGCAGCAGGAGAATGGCATGAACCCGGGAGGCGGATCTTGCATTGAGCCAAGATCACGCCACTGCACTCCAGCCTGGGCGACAGAATGAGACTCCATCTCAAAAAAAAAAAAGAAACCAAGGATATAGAATAAAACAAGAGTGTAGATTTGGGCATTGAGGCCTTCAAATTGGATTGTTCTCAATGTCCAGAAGAAAAAAAAAATTTAGAAGAGACCCAAATCAGAAAACAAAAGTTGGGCTGAATTCAATGCGAATTATTTTCTAGCTCAATATTAATACTGCTTATGTCAGCTGAATTTCAGCCTTTCAATAACAGCTAGTCAAGTATTTTTTTAGTTGGTTCCTATTGATCGTCATCTTATTTTAGTGGAATCCATTATATTGAAGATGTCAAGTTCCTCATTTCCCATACAAAGAATGTGAGATTCATCTTTCTTGAATCTTTGCTAAGTGTTGAAGGGGACTTTTGGCATCTTTTCAGGAGGACTATAATTGGGCCCTCTAACTAAAAAGTCTCCTATGCCCCTTAGATAGATGAGATTTTTTTTTTTGACCTTGTACCCACCAACATTGGTGGGAGGCTCAGAAGGGACTGTGTTTGTAACTTTGTAGCACTTTCTAAACAGTGACCTGTTGTATGGGCATTATAGGACAGTCCGTGGGGTGGGGCGGGGGATGGGGGAGATGGACAAATGAGGTCTGGTTTAAAGAATGAGAAGTGTGACCAGGCATGGTGACTCATGCCTGTAATCCAGCACTTTGGGATGCTGAGGCAGGAGGATCACTTGAGCCCAGGAGTTTGAGGTTACAGTAAGCTATGATTGTGCCACTGGGCTCCAGCCTGGGTGACAGAACTAGACCCTGTCTCTAAAAAAAGAAGAAGAGGTGTGTATCCTTCTAAATGATAAAACAGATCACTCCCCTGCTTACATAAAACTTTCCGGTGGCTGGCCAGGCACGGTGGCTCACGCCTGTAATCCCAGCACTTTGGGAGGCCGTGGTGGGCAGATCACGAGGTCAGGAAATCGAGACCATCCTGGCTAACGTGGTGAAATCTTGTCTCTACTAAAAACACAAAAAATTAACCCAGGTATGGTGGCATGCACCTGTAGTCCCAGCTACTCGGGAGGCTGAGGCAGGAGAATCGCTTGAACCAGGGAGGTGGAGGTTGCAGTGAGCTGAGATTGCGCCACTGCACTCCAGCCTGGGTGACAGAGACTCTGTCTCAAAAAAAAAAAAAAAAAAGAAAAAGAAAAATTAGATGGGTGTGGTGGCATGTGCCTGTAATCCCAGCTACTGGGGAGCCTGAGGCAGGAGAATCGCTTGAACCTGGGAGGCAGAGGTTACAGTGAGCCAAGATTGCACCACTGCAGTCTGCCTGGGTGACAGAGCTAGACTCTGTCTCAAAAACAGAAAAACAAAAAAACAACTTTCCAGTGGCTTCTCACTGCTCTGAGAATAAACTCCAGGCTCTTCCATTGCAACCAACAGGATCTGGTGATTCGACCCCAGCCCCTCTTTCCAGGCCCTCATCACCTTGATCCTCCCTTAACCTATCCTGCTCCAGCTGCACTGGCTGCCTTCCTATTCCTCCAGCATACCAAGATTGTTTCTGCCACAGGGCCTTTGCATCTGCTGTTCTCTTCGCCTGGACACCTCTTGGTTCTTTTTTTTTTTGTTCTTTGAGATGGAGTCTCACTCTGTCGCCCAGGCTGAAGTGCAGTGGCGCGATCTCGGCTCACTGCAAGCTCCGTCTCCCAGGTTCATGCCATTCTCCTGCCTCAGCCTTCCGAGTAGCTGGGACTACAGGCATCCGCCACCACGCCCGGCTAATTTTTTTGTATTTTTAGTAGAGACGGTTTCACCGTCTTAGCCAGGATGGTCTCGATCTCCTGACCTCGTGATCCGCCCGCCTGGGCCTCCCAAAGTGCTGGGATTACAGGTGTGAGCCACCGTACCCGGCCATAGAGCAGCCTCTTCCTTTTCCTGTTGGGTCTCTGCTCAAATGTCATGTCAGAGAGGCAGACCTCTGGGGCGGTCTATCTGAGGGAATGCACCCATCTCCCTTCCTCTGACCAGTTAGTTACCTTGCTTATTCTTTCAAAGCTCTTACCACCACCTGAAGTCATCTATCTGGTTTGGTTATTTTATTGTTTAGTAGCAGTCTTTATTTTATTATCATTATTATTTTTTGATGGAGTCTCACTCTGTTGCCCAGGCTGGAGTGCAGTAGCATGATCTCGGCTCACCAGAACCTCTGCCTCCCAGGTTCAAGCGATTCTCCTGCCTTAGCTTCCTGAGTAGCTGGGACTACAGGCACGTGCCACCATGCCCAGCTGATTTTTGTACTTTTAGTAGAAACGGGGTTTCACTATGTTGGCTGGTCTTGAACTCCTGACATCAAGTGATCCGCCCACCTCGGCCTCCCAAAGTACTGGGATTACAGGCATGAGCCACCACGCCAGGCTGGTAGCAGTCTTTCCTAGAATGTGGATGCCTTGGAAAACAGGGGCTCTGCCTTGTTTCCCTAGAACCTAGAATGGCATCTGGCACACAGCAGATGCTACATCTATTGTAAATGAATGAATGAAAGAAGTGTCCTTGCAGCCACACTGGCAGCCGTAACATAGTGGTTATAAATCTAGACTCTGGAGTCTCAAGTGCAAATGTCATTGGCCTCTCCTCCAGCCTCCTCAAGGGGCACTCAATGACTGGAAGTGCCCTGATATGACTGTGGTTGGACTGACATGACTGCCAGATGGTGGGACTTGGTCTGGAGCAGAGACTACTTGGAATGGTAGAGGCAAAACTCAACAGCCCCTGGAGCTGCGCTTGTGGTGGAGCTGGACCCTGATTTTAGCTGGACCTTGTTTTTAGAGACAGGGTTTCCTTCTGCAGTCTCAATCTCCTAGCCTTGATTGATCCTCCTGCCTTGGCCTCCCAAAGTGCTGGGACTACAGGTGCATGCAACCACACCTGGCTAATTTTCTTCTCTTCTTTCTTTTCTTTTTTTTTTTTTTTGATGGAGTCTTGTTCTGTTGCCCAGGCTGGAGTGCAATGGTGCCATCTCGGCTCACTGCAACCTCTGCCTCCCGGGTTCAATCCATTCTCCTGCCTCAGCCTCCCAAGTAGCTGGGACTACAGGTGTGTGCCACCGTGCCTGGCTAATTTTTGTATTTTTAGTAGGGATGAGACTTCACCATGTTGGCCAGGCTGGTCTCGACCTCCTGACCTCAGGTGATCCACCCACCTTGGCCTCCCAAAGTGCTGGGACTACAGGCACATGCAACCACGTCTGGCTAATTTTCTTGAGTTTTAGTAGAGACTGGGTCTCGTTATGTTGTCCAGGCTGGTCCCGAGCTCCTGAGTTCAATCGATCTTCCTGCCTTGGTCTCCCAAAGTGCTGGGCCTACAGGCGTGAGCCACCATCCCCAGCCCAATTTTTGTATATTTTGTAGAGACACAGTCTTGCTATGTTGTCCAGGCTGGTCTCAAACTCCTGGGCTCAAGGGATCTTCTTGCCTTGGCCTCCCGGAGCACTTAATTACAGGAATGACTGCATGTGCTGTTGTGCCTATACTTTCTGGAGATACGTTGTTAGGAATTTATGTAGTTGGCCGGGCACGGTGGCTCACGCCTGTAATCCCAGCACTCTGGGATGCCGAGGCAGGTGGATCACCTGAGGTCAGGAGTTCGAGACCAGCCTGGTCAACATGGTGAAACCCTGTCTCTACTAATAATACTAAAATCAGAGGTTGCTTGCAGTGAGCCAAGATCATACCATTGCACTGCAGCCTGGGCAACAGAGCGAGACTCTGTCTCAAAAAAAAAAAAAAAAGGAATTTACATAGTTGAACAACTATTCTTTGGACATCTTTTAGTCCAGTAGACGGTGTTAAACTTGAAGACAAATAACGATTTGACCTGTGATATTTGTTTTTCCCTCTTATCTTCTAAGCCCATTCATCCAGATCATTCATCACCTTTAAAGGCATCCCCAGAGGGAGGCAGGTCTGGACAGAGCTGAAGATTGCACAGGCCATTTGCAGGCTGGATTAGTTCTGTGGTGACCCACCTGTCTGACTCGAGTTATTTTTTTCCCATGTCTGGACAAGACTGACCTCTGCCCAGCAACTCAGGCCTGGATTTAGTCCAAGGGCCCTCAGTGGCTTTTTTGTTTGTTTGTTTTTTCAGGAAGTGAAGAATTTAGAGGGATAAAAGGCGGAAATAACTTTTCAGCCTCTGACCTTTGTAACAATCTAGTTTCCTTTTAAAGGAGCATTGTTTGGGCCTGGGGCCACCTAGACCTTCTGATGCTCTTTCCCCACCCTTGGAGGAGGAGGAAAGGAAGAAAATGGGCCCTGAGCGATCACCACATACCAGGCCCTGGGGGTCTAGTGGCGAAGGAGGCAGGTAGGGTCTCTTGCTTTCATGGAGCTTCTAGTCAAGCGAGACGCACTAAACAGTAAAGGGACAAATAGGATTACTGGAGGTAGCCCTAACTACTGGGACAGAAACAAGATGGTAAGATAGAGAAGGAAGAGTGGCCTGCTCAGATGGGGTGGTCCAGAGGCCTCTCGGGGGAGGTGACTCCTTTTTATTTTATTTTTTTTGAGATGGAATCTAGCTCTGTCGCCCAGCCTGAAGTGCAGTCGTGTGTTTCATGCGCGTCCGTGTGAAGAGACCACCAAACAGGCTTTGTGTGAGCAACATGGCTGTTTATTTCACCTGGGTGCAGGCGGGCTGAGTCCGAAAAGAGAGTCAGCAAAGGGTGGTGGATTATCATTAGTTCTTACAGGTTTTGGGATAGGGGGTGAAGAGCCATGTTTTGCAGGCAGGGGTGGATCTCACAAAGTACATTCTCAAGGGTGGGGAGAATTACAAAGAACCTTCTTAAGGGTTGGGGAGATTACAAAGTACCTTCTTAAGGGTGGGGGAGATTACAAAGTACATTGAAGAGTTAGGGTGGGGCAGAAACAAATCACAATGGTGGAATGTCATCAGTTAAGGCTATTTTTACTTCTTGTGTGGATCTTCAGTTACTTCAGGCCATCTGGATGTATACGTGCAAGTCACAGGGGATGCAATGGCTTGGCTTGGGCTCAGAGGCCTGACAGTGTGATCTTGGCTCACTGCAAACTCTGCCTCCTGGGTTCAAGCAATTTTTGTGCCTCAGCTTCCCGAGTAGCTGGGATTACAGGTGCCCGCCACCATGCCCAGCTAATTTTTGTATTTTTAGTAGAGACATAGAGTTTCACCAGATTGGCCAGGCTGGTCTCGAACTCCTGTCTCACGTGTCTGTGTGAAGAGACCACCAAACATGCTTTGTGTGAGCAACATGGCTGTTTATTTCACCTGGGTGCAGGCGGGCTGAGTCCGAAAAAGGAGTCAACAAAGGGTGGTGTGATTATCACTGGTTCTTATAGATTTGGGGATAGGCGGTGGAGTTAAGAGCAGTGTTTTGGGGGCAGGAGGTGGATCTCATAAAGTACATTGTCAAAGGTGAGGAGAATTACAAAGAAACTTCTTAAGGGTGGGGGAGATGATAAAGAACCTTCTTAAGAGTGGGGCAGATTACAAAGTACATTGATCAGTTAGGGTGGGGCAGAAACAAATGACAATGGTGGAATGTCTTCAGTTAAGGCTGTTTTCACTTCTGTGGATCTTCAGTTGCTTCAGGCCATCTGGATGTATACGTGCAGGTCACTGGGATATGATGGCTTAGCTTGGACTCAGAGGCCTGACATTCCTGTCTTCTTATGTTAATAAGAAAAATAAAACAAAATAGTGGTAAAGTGTTGGGGTGGCGAAAATTTTTGGGGGTGATATGGAGAGATAATGGGCGATGTTTCTCAGGGCTGCTTCGAGTGGGATTAGGGGCGGCATGGGAACCTACAGTGGGAGAGATTCAACTGAAGAAAGATTTTGGGGTAAGGGCTGATACTGTGGGGTTGTTAGAAGGAGCATTTGTCATATAGAATTATTGGTGATGGCCTGAATATGGTTTTGTATGAATTGAGAAACTAAACAGAAGACACACGGTCCGAATAAGAGAAGGAGAAAAACAGGTATTAAAGGACTAAGAATTGGGAGGACCCAGGACATCCAATTAAGAGAGTGCCCAAGGGGGTTCAGCATAATTATTTGCTTGGTTGGCAAGTTTTTGGACTCTATCCTTGAGTTTTTTTATGTTGTCATATACCAGGCCAGATTGATTTAGGTAAAAACAACACTCTTCATTTAAAAATATACAGAGTCGTCCTTTTTCAGCAATGAGTAAATTGAGGCCTTGGCGATTTTGGAGGAAAGAGAATTGCAAAGCCAGCAATTGTTTCTTTTTTTATTTATTTATTTACTTATTTTTTTAAATTATACTTTAAGTTATAGGGTACATGTACACAATGTGCAGGTTTGTTACATATGTATACATGTGCCATGTTGGTGTACTGCACCCATTAACTCGTCATTTACATTAGGTGTATCTCCTACTGCTATCCCTTCCCCCTCCCCCACCACACAAGAGGCCCCAGTGTGTGATGTTCCCCTTCCTGTGTCCAAGTGTTCTCATTGTTCAATTCCCATCTGTGAGTGAGAACATGCGGTGTTTGGTTTTTTGTCCTTGTGATAGTTTGCTGAGAGTGATCGTTTCCAGCTTCATCCATGTCTCTACAAAGGACATGAACTCATCCTTTTTTATGGCTGCATAGTACTCCATGGTGTATCTGTGCCACATTTTCTTAATCCAGTCTATCATTGATGGACATTTGTGTTGGTTCCAAGTCTTCACTATCGTGAATATTGCCGCGATAAACATATGTGTGCATGTGTCTTTATAGCAGCATGATTTATAATCCTTTGGGTATGTATCCAGTAATGGGATGGCTGGGTCAAATGGTATTTCTAGTTCTAGATCCCTGAGGAATCGCCACACTGTCTTCCACAATGGTTGAACCAGTTTACAGTCCCACCAACAGTGTAAAAGTGTTCCTATTTCTCCACATCCTCTCCAGCACCTGTTGTTTCCTGACTTTTTAATGATCGCCATTCTAACTGGTGTGAGATGATATCTCATTGCGGTTTTGATTTGCATTTCTCTGATGGCCAGTGATGATGAGCATTTTTTCATGTGTCTGTTGGC
Source organism: Homo sapiens (assembly GCF_000001405.40). Lineage (NCBI taxonomy): Eukaryota > Metazoa > Chordata > Mammalia > Primates > Hominidae > Homo > Homo sapiens. The sequence goes on along the minus strand of NW_017852933.1, from coordinate 260,969 downwards.
TGCATAAATGTCTTCTTTTGAGAAGTGTCTGTTCATATGCTTTGCCCACTTTTTGATGGGGTTTGTTTTTTTTCTTGTAAATTTGTTGGTGTTCTTTGTAGATTCTGGATATTAGCCTTTTGTCAGATAAGTAGATGGCAAAAATTTTCTCCCATTCTCTAGGTTGCCTGTTCACACTGATCCTAGTTTCTTTTGCTGTGCAGAAGCTCTTTAGTTTAATTAGATCCCATTTGTCAGTTTTGGCTTCTGTTGCCATTGCTTTTGGTGTTTTAGACATGAAGTCCTTGCCCATCCCTATGTCCTGAATGGTATTGCCTAGGTTTTCTTCTAGGGTTTTTACGGCTTTAGGTCTAACATTTAAGTCTTTAATCCATCTTGAATTAATTTTTGTATAAGGTGTAAGGAAGGGATCCAGTTTCAGCTTTCTACATAGGGCTAGCCAGTTTTCCCAGCACTATTTATTAAGTAGGGAATCCTTTCCGCATTTCTTGTTTTTGTCAGGTTTGTCAAAGATCAGATGGTTGTAGATGTGTGGTATTATTTCTGAGGGCTCTGTTCTGTTCCATTGGTCTATATGTCTGTTTTGGTACCAGTACCAGGCTGTTTTGGTTACTGTAGCCTTGTAGTATAGTTTGAAGTCAGGTAGCATGATGCCTCCAGCTTTGTTCATTGGGCTTAGGATTGTCTTGGCAATGCGGGCTCTTTTTTGGTTCCATATGAACATTAAAGTAGTCTTTTGCAACTCTCATCAGCCCAGTTTAATATTACCTATTTATTATAATGTAATGCTGCTCGCACAACTGAGAAAATACTGTTGCTTTACCCCCTCCAGCTCTGTAGCAGCCACGCAGAAATCATAGAACTGTAAACATATGCTAATTACACAACCTATGTAGGCAATCAATATTAAGAAAAATTTTTACTGCCCGGTATTTCTGTGGTTGAAAATGTAGAGTCTAATTTTGATCCGCAGTAACATCTAGGTTAATGTTGATTCAGAAGGAAAACGTTTGTTGTTGCCATGAGAAGAGGCATTGAAATGCTGAATCACCACCACAAATGTTACCACTATTAATATAAGGAGATACATAGGAAGATGGAATTAGACCATCTCGGACCACCAGGTTTACAATTCCACCTGCAGATACATGCAAGAAGTATTGTCACAATACTTATGTCACGTTATTCCGTTGAGGTCATCACCAACTAAGCTTATAATTAATGTGTGGTCAATTTGGTCAATGTCACCAGCGTAGCATACTAACAAAAACAAGGGTTGCAAAGTCAAATGCCTATAAGGCAGAACGTAAGACGGTAGGAAGCAAAGTCTATAGGGAGCTATATAATAGAGGCTGCAGATTCATGGCAGATTCTAAAGCACAGCAGTCCCCAACATTTTTGGCACCAGGGACCGGCTTTGTGGAAGACAATTTTTCCACAGGCGGCAAGGGATGGGGCGCAGGATGGTAATGGTCTTGGGATGAAACTGTTCCACCACAAATCATCAGGAATTAGATTCTCATAAGGAATATGCAACCTGGATCCCTCGTGTGTGCAATTCACAACAGGGTTCATGCTCCTGTAAGAATCTAATGATGCTGCTGATCTGACAGGAGGCAGAGCTCAGGCAGCAATGCAAGCAATGGGGAGCAGCCAGAAATACAGACGAAGCTTCAATTGTTACCCACCATTCACCTCCTGCTCTGTGGCCCAGTTCCTAACAGGCCACAGACCAGTACATGTCCATGGCCCAGGGGTCAGGCACCCCTGCTGTGGCACATTGCTTAATAGAGGACTGTAGCAGCCATGTGCCCTGACCTTTCCTTTTTTTTTTTTTTTTTTTTTTTTTTTGAGATGCCAGAAACCCAGAATTTTTTTTTTTTTTTTTTTTTTTTTTTTTTTAAGACAAGGTCTGGCTCTGTTGCCCAGGTTGGAGTGTAGGAGGGCGATCTCAGCTCACTGTAACATCAACCTCCCAGGCTCAAGCAATCCTCTCACTTCAGCCTCCCACGTTGCTGGGATTACAGGCACACTCCACTACACCCAGCTAATTTTTTTGTATTATTTGTAGACATGGGGTTTCGCCATGTTGCCCAGGCTAGTCTGGAATTCCTGAGGTCAAGCTGTCTGCCCATCTCAGCCTCCCAAAGTGCTGGGATTGCAGGAGTGCACCACCACACCTGGCCTGAAACCCAGATTTTATTTATTTATTTATTCATTTTTTGAGATGGAGTCTTGCTCTATTGCCTAAGCTTGAGTGCAGTGGCGCGATCTTGGCTCACTGCAACCTCCACCTCCCTGGTTCAAGCGATTCTCCTGCCTCAGCCTCCCAAAGTGCTGGGATTACAGGCATGCAACACCACACCCAGCCTGAAACCCAGATTTTTAATATGAAATCAAAGTCTTCAGACCTTGTAGGTGTCATAAAAAGCACGCTGAGGACCACTAGTTTGCAACTGCCAATCTAAAATATCATAGACATTATATCACTTCAACCACGAAAAAAAAAGTATGTGAGGCAGAAAATGGAAGCAACCATGCCTAATTTATTGTTGAATACTTTTTCCGTATACCAAGAGCTTCCTTTGCACTAGCATCTGAAACTATATCCAGAATGACACTGGTTTTCATAAAAGTGTTGATCCTCACACCTCTTTATAGTCTTGCACCTAGCACAGTGGAGTGAAACACTTTAAATAGCACTTGTTCCTTGAGTATATATGGAAAAAAGTGAAGTATTGATAAGTGCTCAGCTAATATGAGCAGCATCTCAGGAGTCTCCAATTCTTGAATTACCAGGGAGTATTTTTACCATTTTCCCCCAGTGAAAGGCCTATTTTGAGAGACTTACCCTCCAAAATGAATGTATTAAGTCATGTTCCTTTTTTTTTTTTTTTTTTTTTTTTGAGACAGGGCCTTGCTCTGTTGCCCAGGCTGGAGTGCAGTAGCATGATAGTTACAGGAAAGGGGTCCCAATCTAGACCCCAAGAGAGGGTTCTTGGATCTTGTGCAAGAAAGAATTCAGGGTGATGCCACAGTGTGAAGTGAAAGCAAGTTTATTAAGAAAGTAAAGGAGGAGGGGCACGGTGGCTCACTCCTGTAATCGCAGCACTTTGGGAGGCCGAGACAGGTGGATCACGAGGTCAGGAGATCAAGACCATCCTGGTTAACACGGTGAAACCTCATCTCTACTAAAAATACAAAAAAATTAGCCAAGTGTGGTGGCGGGTGCCTGTAGTCCCACCTACTCTGGAGGCTGAGGCAGGAGAATGGGATGAACCCGGGAGGCGAAGCTTGCAGTAAGCCGAGATCGCGCCACTGCACTCCAGCCTGGGTGACAGAGGGAGACTCCATCTCAAAAAAAAAAGAGAGAAAGTAAAGGAATAAAAGAATGGCTACCCCATAGACGGAGCAGCCGTGAGGGCTGCTGGTTGCCCATTTTTATGGTTATTTGTTGATGATATGCTAAACAAGGAGTGGATTTTTCATGCCTCCTCTTTTTAGACCATATAGGGTAACTTCTTGATGTTGCCGTGGCATTTGTAAACTGTCATGGTGCTGGTAGGAGTGTAGCAGGGAGGATGATGGGAGGTCAGTCTTGTCTCTATTTTGGTTTTGGTGGGTTTTGGCCAGCTCCTTCACTGCAACCTGTTTTATCAGCAAGGTCTTTATGACTGGTATTTTGTGCTGACCTTCTATGTCATCCTGTGACTTAGAATGCCTTAACCATCAGGGAATGCAGCCCAGTAGTTTCAGCCTCATTTTTCCCGGCTCCTATTTAAGATGGAGTTGCTCTGGTTCACACACCTCTGACATGATCATTGCCCACTGCGGCTTCCACCTCCCGGGTTCAAGAGATCCTCCTGCCTCACCCTCCCAAGGTGCTGGGACTACAGGTGTGTGCCACCAGCTCAGCTAATTTTTGTATTTTTTGTAGAGATGGTGTTTTTCCATGTTGCCCAGGCTGGTCTCAAACTCCTGGGCTCAAGCAATCCTTCTGTCTCAGCCTCCCAAAGTACTGGGATTACAGGCATGTCCCACCATGCCCAGACTAATATTTACTTTTAATCAGACTAAGATAGGGTTACTACTTGAGTTGCTATGGCTCCAGCTGAAAGAAAGCCCGTGCAGTCATATCACGCGTAAACATTTGCTTTATGCTAAAAATATGGTGGACCTGGCATTACAGCTATTACAAATCTCCTAAGATGTCTCGGGTAGTGTATTAGTTACTTTTCATACTGCTATGAAGAAATACTGGAAACTGGGTAATTTATAAAGAAAAAGAGGTTTAATGTACTCACAGTTCCACAAGGCTGGAGAGGCCTCAGAATCATGGTGGAAGGCAAAGAAGGAGCAAAAAGGTATGTCTTCCATGGCAGCAGGCAAGAGAGCACGTGCAGGGAAACTGCCCTTTATAAAACCATCAGATTTAGTGAGATGTATTCACTATCACGAGAACAGTATGGGAAAAACCTGCCCCCATGATTCGATTACCTCCTACCGGGTCCCTCCCACGACACATGGGGATTATGGGAACTACAATTCAAGATGAAATTTGGGTGGGGACGCAGCCAAACCATATCGGGTAGCAACAACCTAGGGTCAGTTTTGCAGGTGGTAAAGCCATTTACCAAGATAGTTGTAGGTAAAGAAGGGCAGATTTATTAGAGAAATTGTGAAAATATGTTGCAGTGGGCAGCTCAGCAGAGAAGGGGCTACCTGCAAAGAGGCAAGGGCTGGAGGAAAGTTTTATAGGGTCCTGCTGAAGGGTGCTACGTGTGGAATGAGGTCATTGTGCCCGCAGGTTGTTTGTGATTAGCTGTCTCTAACAATTGTTCATACAATAATTGTTCATTATTGTTCTCAACTTGGGGCTCTCCCCAACCTGGGGACCCTTCCTTATTGTTGCTTACTTATCAGGTCTCCACATAAAGGTGTGGAAACTTCATTCATTCATATCTTCAACACAAATTGTAGGTAGCCTGTTTTTTAAAACATTTATTCAACAAATATTTAGTCCAAGCCACTATTACTTACTACCTTCTCTACTATTGTATGGACTTTTAACTATCTCTGACACTATTCACTATTCTTCCACATTCTCTATTATTTATACCTATGGTAAAATTTGCCAGTTTGACCATACAACTAATACTCACAGGGAATATATAGAGTCTAGAAGAAAATATACAGGTCCTTAAAGGCTGCCCTGCCAACAAAACCATAACGCAGGAACAAACATCACAACTATGCCAAATAATCAATCCTACAATGTCCAAAATTTTACTTTAAAACTGGAATTACCAGACTTCCTTTCTGCATTAACCAGTTTAACTAGACAGTAACGAAATATTCCTACTTTATGCTGTGATAGTTTGTTTGTTTGTTTGTTTGTTTATTTATTTATTTATTTAAGACAGAGTTTCGCTCTTGTTGCCCAGGCTGGAGTGCAGTGGCACGATCTCAGCTCACCACAACCTCCGCCTCCCAGGTTCAAGCGATTCTCCTGCCTCAGCCTCCCGAGTAGCTGGGATTACAGGCATGTACCACCACGCCCGGGTAATTTTGTATTTTTAGTAGAGACGGGGGGTTTCTCCATGTTGGTCAGGCTGGTCTAGAACTCCAGACCTCAGGTGATACCCCTGCCTCAGCCTCCCAATGTGCTGGGATTACAGCTGTGAAGCCACCGCGCCCGGCTGCTGTGATAGTTGAGATGTAAACCAAAAATAAAATTCTAAGCCACCCAATCCGACTGAATGGACCCTTCCTGTTGAGCAAGGACATTCCAAAGTAAACTGAAAAGACCAGCTTAGGCCATGATGGGAAGGGGAGGTGTCAACATGCCTCATTCTACCTTCCTCCCTCTGGAATCCAGACACAACTGACCAGCATTAACATTAAAACAGAGATCTTAAGCTGGGCACAGTGGCTCATGCCTGTAATCCCAGCACTTTGGGAGGCCAAGGTGGGATCACCTGAGGTCAGAAGTTCAAGACCAGCCTGGCCAGTATGGTGAAGCCATGTCTCTACTAAAAATACAAAATTAGCCGGACATTGTGGTGCACGTCTGTCATCCCAGCAAGGCAGGCGAATCACTTGAACCCAGGAAGCAGAGGTTGCAGTGAGCCAGGATCATGCCATTGCACTCCAGCCTGGTCAACAGAGCGAGACTCCGCCTCATTAAAAAAAAAAAAAAAAAAAAAAATTAGCCGGGCGTGGTGGCGGGCACATGTAGTCCCAGCTACTAGGGAGGCTGAGGCAGGAGAATGGTGTGAACCAGGGAGGCGGAGCTTGCAGTGAGCCGAGATTGTGCCACTGCACTCCAGCCTGGACAGAAGTGCATTTCATAATGCATTTTAATTGCATTAGCAGTGATTTAATTTTTTTAGATGCTAAAACTTATGGGTGAAAGTGGATTAAATGTAGCCAAATGCAACATCAAAATCTTCAGGCACAAAAACCCATTAACTTTTTCATACTCTCAGAAGGTGAACCTAATTTCAAATGAAAGCTGCCTCCAGAATATATTGTTAAGCGTATTCTAGATATAATTCATTTTGGCAAACATACTGTAGAAATTCACATAACATTTTACTGTACTAAAAGTAAATTGCCCATGTAACAAAAAATATCTTTTCAGAGCTTGAAATGAATTTTAAAGGATGACTGATGGTCCCTGGAAGAGAAACAGTAAACAAATAAGGTTTGTAGCAATGATGTATGAGTTAGAAATTGCAGTTCCAGATGATCTCTTTATTAAAGAGACGATCTACACTTAATTTGGTCAAGTGTTATGAACATAGTTCATGTTAAGTCTCCATTTAAATACAACCTGAAATACCAAAGTTAATTTTCTTTTCTTTCTTTCTTTTTTTTTTTTTTTAGAAGGAGTCTTGCTCTGTTGCCCTTCCTGGAGTGCAGTGACGTGATCTTGGCTCACTGCAACCTCCACCTCCTGGGCTTGAGCGATCCTACTGCCTCAGCCCCCCAAGTAGCTGGGAGGACAGGCGCAAGCCACGGCACTCAGCTAATTTTTGTATTTTTCGTAGAGATAGGGTTTCACCATGTTGCCCAATTTGGTCTCGAACTCCTGAGCTCAAGTGATCCGCCCGCCTTGGCCTCCCAAAGTGCTGGGATTACAGGCATGAGCCACCGTGCCTGGCCAGAAAATTGTAAACACACACAAACTCTCAAGTGGCCTAATTCCCTCTCACCAAACCAATCACAATACAGATAAAAGAGAATAACTTGTGTTCATTTTTGTACAAACAAAAAAGATATAAATTGTGAATGATGCATGATTTTTAATTACAAGTAAACTGGGCAAATGCTTCTGCATTATTTAAAGCTAAAAGGTGATCAGTGGAAACTTTCCTCTGTTAGTACTCTAATACTTTTTATATTTATCGGCTCACTACAACCTGTGCCTACCAGGTTCAAGCGATTCTCCTGTCTCAGCCACCTGAGTAGCCGAGACCACAGGCACGCACTACCATGTCCGGCTAATTTTGTATTTTTAATAGAGACAGGGTTTCACCGTGTTGGCCATGCTGGTCTTGAACTCCTGACCTCAACCGATCCGCCTGCCTTGGCCTCCCAAAGTTCTGGGATTACAAGCGTGAGCCACAGCGCCCAGCCTTATTATAATTGTTACTATTTAAATCTCTTTTGCTCTCTCCTTCAAGAGAGACCTCATCCCATTCAGTTGCTTCCATTTATTTATTCATCTTCTGCCTCCTGGGCTCGAGAGATCCTCCAGCGTGAGTCTCCCAAGTAGCTGGGACTACAGGCTCACACCACCAAGCTTGGCTAAATTTTGTAGGTTTTGGAGAGACAGGCTCTTGCCACGTTGCCTAGGCTGGTCTCAAACTCCTGGGCTCAGATGATCCACCTGCCTTCGCCTCCCAAAGCACTGGGACATGAGCCACCACGCCCAGCCGCAAGTACTTTTACACAAAATGCAAACACCATTCTTCCATCATAAAAGTGATACCACAGCTTCCGTGAAGTTTTGCCAGGTAGTACTCATAATTACCTTGGGTAAACTTTTTGATGTTAAACTGTATCTTCTTATTACGAGTTTTTCCATTGTATTAACTGCTTTTACAACAACACAAATAACAAGTTATTTTACAAACCATTTAGAAATTTCTGTACTATGGTCCCAGTAATGTAAAATATATTAATGCCTATTACATTCAGATAAATTATACACTTGGAAACCACATACTTATGACTTACAGAAACTTACATAAACAAATTATAGAAATTACATGCTCAATTTTTAGGTATATAGTCTTAAATTAAGCTTAAATATACATTCTCAAGATAAATTAACAGTTCAGGGCTTCACAACTTGAAATCTGTGGAAGATGACATTGGAGACAACAGAACTCTGGTGGAATTCTTAGATGGAATTTGCCGAAACTTTTTTTTTTTTTTTTTTTTGAGATGGAGTGTCGCTCTGTCGCCCAGGCTGGAGTGCAGTGGCGCAATCTCAGCTCACTGCAAGCTCTGCCTCCCGGGTTCACGCCATTCTTCTGCCTCAGCCTCCCGAGTAGCTGGGACTACAGGCGCCCACCACCACGCCCGGCTAATTTTTTATATTTTTAGTAGAGATGGGGTTTTACTATGTTAGCCAGGATGGTCTCGATCTCTTGACCTTGTGATCTACCCGCCTTGGCCTCCCAAAGTGAAACTTTTCTTTAAAATAGAGATGGGATCTTGCTGTATTGCCCAGGCTGGTCTCAGACTCCTTGCCTTAAGCAGTCCTCCCACCTCAGCCTCCTAAAGTGCTGGGATTACAAGCGTGAAGCATTACATCCAAGTGAAACTTCTTGAGATGGTTACATAATGTCTAAATCTGCTGGTGTAGAAGTTAATAAAGTGTAGAACTGAATAACTATTAAATATTAGATCAAGTTTCTCATGTTTATCTTAACGTATAACGATTTATCTTAAAGCACTGATTTTCACAAAATAACATCAGTGTGAAATTGGAAAAGAAGCCAAATATTTTATTTCATGTATCTGGGAAATGAGGTGCTTTAGTCAACTGAATCTGCCCAAAACTAAAAAGCATTAATTAAAAAGTACTTAACTCAGAAATTATAAAAATAGGAGACATCAATAAAATACATTCTACACAGAATACGCCAACCATACACTACTCTTTTTTGATAATAAAAAATGTATTTACTGAGCCAGTTGTGGTGGCTCACGCCTATAATCCCAGCACCTTGGAAGGCCAATGAGAGTGGATCAGTTGAGGCCAGGAGTTTGAGACCAGCCTGGCCAACATGGTGAAATGCCGTCTCTACTAAGAATACAAAAATGAGCCGGGCACGGTGGCACGCACCTGTAATCCCAGGTACTCCGAAGGATGAGGCAGGATAATTGTTTGAACTCAGGAGGTGGAGGTTGCAGTGAGCCAAAATCATGCCACTGCACTCCAGCCTGGGTGACAGAGTGAGTCTCTGTCTCAAAAAAAAAAAAAAAAAAAAAGAAAAAAAGTCAGTTGCAGTGGCTCACGCCTGTAATCCCAGCACTTTGGGAGGCTGAGGCAGGCGGATTACAAGGTCAGGAGATCGAGACCACCCTGGCCAACATGGTGAAACCTCCTCTCTACTAAAAATGCAAAAATTAGGCTGGGCACGGTGGCTCACACCTGTAATCCCAGCACTTTGGGAGGCCGAGGCGCGGAGATCACGAGGTCAGGAGATTGAGACCATCCTGGCTAACACAGTGAAACCCTGTCTCTACTAAAAATACAAAAAATTAGCTGGATGTGGTGGCAGCACTTGTAGTCCCAGCTACTTGGGTGGCTGAGGCAGGAGAATGGCGTGAACCCGGGAGGCAGAGTTTGCAGTGAGCCGAGATACCACCACTGCACTCCAGCTTAGGCAACAGAGCCAGACTGTGTCTCAAAAACAGGAAAGAAAACAAAAGAAAATTTGGACTATTGCCAATTACAAATATTTTTAGAGAAGAATTCAAAACAGTAACTGTGGATGATGGAAACAATAGTTATGATAAAAGTCTGATGAAACTTCCCAGTTCACAAGGAAATTTAATTACTTATGTGCAGCATTTTAAGACAGTAATCAGAATCATGACTGACAGCATCATATCAGGGCCAGCAGACTTTTATAAATTTCATACAATCTTCAGAAATAATAACTTTTTTTTTTTTTTTTGGATAGATTCTACCTTTGTCACCCAGGCGGGAGTGCAGTGGCATGATCTCAGCTCACTACAACCTCCGCATCCTGGGTTCAAGCAGTTCTCCTGTCTCAGCCTCCCGAGTAGCTGAGATTACAGGCATGTGCCACCAGGCATGGCTAATTTTTGTATTTTTAGTGGAGACAGGGTTTCACTCTATTAGGCTGGTCTGGAACTCCCGACCTCAGGTGATCCACGTGCCTTTGTCTCCCAAAGTGCTGGGATTACAGGCATGAGTGACGGTGCCCAGCCATTCGTGACATGTTTATACAAATATAACTTTAGCAAATATTTAGCATAACTATCAAAATTACAAATCATATTAAATTTGTATAAATGTATGCAATTTTTGGAACACGCATATCAACAACATACCCATAAATATAACTGAGATGAGATCTAATGTCACCTCACTTGACAGTGCCCTCCCATGCAGTATCGCCACATTTGACAATGCCTGCCCATTTAATCTACCAAATAAATCGAATCACTTAATACCTCTACAAGATGAGAGATACATTCTTTAGACTCCCCAAGGGATGCAGCTGAAAAAAATCCCAAAGTTAGTTTTAAGCCAAAAAGACTTGATTTAGGATTTTGACACTGGAGAAACCCATCAAAGATGTCAAGTTTGAAAACACTTGATCAAAACAGAATCACAGGTCACTATTAAAAGAGTATTAATTTAACCAGAGACTTCCAAAGCAATACAGAAACTTACATGGATATAAAAACCCTAACCCTTTTAAAGGTCAGATTTGCTAAGTGATCAAAAGGGGTACTTGAATTGAATCGACACAGGAAGAGTGTGTACAGGGTTATGAGTGTAGGCAGGTGGTTACTTTGGTCATATCTCCATTTGCCACCTGATTACACATGAGAATGGCATCTTTACTCACCAGAAAGCCAGTATTATAGGAGGTGTAGGAGGCATTCTTGGACTTGAGACAAGAACATTGTTGTGTAGAAATTTCATTGACTGTGTTAAAATTATTCTCCATGGGCTGGAGAACACATAACATGGCCTTTAGAATGAGACGGGCATTGATTGGATGCAAGGTCTCCACACTTACTAGCTGTGTGACATTGGACAGAGTGCTTCATCATTCCGAGACTCAGTTTTTAAAGGAAAAACAACTAACTACCTTGCAAGCTTGCTAGCAGGTTTAAGTGTAATAATGTGTGGGAATGACTGCACCGTGACTAACATGCAGTGACAGCTTAATTAATGTTAACCCTTATCATTATCATATAAGAATGTGAGTTACATAAGAGAGGAGTCCTGTCAGTTCGTTCTCTGCTGTGTCCCCAAGACCATGAATCATGGCTGGCATGTAGTAGGCATTTAATAATATATGTTCAACAAGTATTTGGCAGTCTTGGAGGGCAGAAAAGGAGGTGGGGAAGATTTTTAAATAACATTCTTTAAAAAGTCACATTGTCCTACAATACCGATTTTTCTTGCATATTTAGGAAATTGAGGGTTTTTTTCTAAAACATGCGGACATATGGGAAATAGGATGCAACATTTGCACTAATGTTTCAGACACAGTTAGAGGTTTCCAAGAGATTTTGCGCTGGGGAGGCTGCTTGCTACAAGCTCCCAAAGCTCTGGGAGGACATAGTATTCATTCCTCCCTCAGCAGAAGCGGTGAGGCAAGAAGCTCTGGGGAGCACCCAGCGTTGGACTTTTAGCATAGTGTGTCAGGTCTTCATAGTTTGGGCCCAGGGCACAGAGAAGTCACAGCTCTCCGGCATCCTGTGACCTTTACCCTCTTTGCCAAGGGAAAATGTGGCCCACCAAAGCAAGAAACTTGAGGGCATGGGTCACCCCAGCCCTGGCATCTGCCCAGAGCCCGAGAAGGAAGGAACAATGATCCTCCAGCTACCTCACGGGGCTGGCACAGGTGACCACTGCCCTGGCATCACCCAGCTGTGTCCGGCAGCCTGAACCCCATCTGTGGGGATGCGAGGAGGAAAATACAAAAGTCCTTAGGTGAACACTGAGAAGGCAGATGCAGCAGAAACCTCCAGGCCAGAACTACCCAGTCTTGGACCTATGGTGGAGATAGAGCATAGCTGGCGATCATGTGTACTTACACTCTAAGGTCACCTGGTTGCACTATGGCCTCATCTGTGGCTCTGAAAATGAAGATTTGGAAGGAGATCATCACAGCTAATGTTTAACAAGCCCCTCCTGTGTGCCAAATCATTCACCCCTCACCACAACCGAATGAGCTAAGGATTCTCATTATATATAGTTTATGGAGAGGGAAGTGCAGACATAAAGAGGTGAATTATCTTACCCAGATCACACAGCTGATAAGTGGTGGAGGCAGAATAGAATCTAAACAGTGTGGCTCCGGAGCCCACATGCATTGATTCGACAAGTGTTTATTGAGCACCTGCCGCGGACAAGGCCTTGTGTGATTAAATAGGGTTATAATTAGTAATATAAAAATGAGAAATCACTAATGCTTTTTAGACTTAACATTTTGTTTTTTTGTAGGTTTCAGGCACAGAACTGTATATCCAATAATAGTGAAATGGATCCCACTAATTATGACAGAAATGATGATACATTTAAATGACTTGGATGTTTTATAGGTATGATCTCGTGAAATCTTGAGAGAAACTGAATGACGAATGAAACTATTGTTCCTGTTTCACACAGAAGAAAACTGAGGTTAAAAGGGGTAAAGTAATTTTGCATGGCATGAAGTAGAAATTCAAAGTACAGGAATTTGAACTTGGTTCTGTCCTTTTCTGAAGCCCTTGACCACTATAGACTCAAACATCACCTTGTTTTTCCACTCATTCAACACTTTTTTTTTTAAATTATCTAATAGGTTGGCACTCATCATGAGCCCCTGTTCTCATTCTGCAAATGGTGAAGCTCTCTATTGTCCTGACCCCACAGTTCCTGTCCCATGACCAGGGCCAGCTCACCAAGGAGCTGCAGCAGCATGTAAAGTCAGTGACATGCCCATGCGAGTACCTGAGGAAGGTGAGTGAGTGCAGACAGATGGGGCCTGGTGCCCTTGAGCAGTTCCCGGGTCTCAGCTGCCACACATCTCATAGCCGGTGATGCTGGGGGAAGCTTACGCAGTCACAGTACTGGCTTCTTCCTCTTTTTCTTTCCATACAAGTGGCTTAGGGATGGGGTAGAGTAGTTGACTTATTTGGATGAAAACCACTATCTTCTGTCAGAAACTCAAAAGGAATCATTGCTGGCATGGTAACCTAAAGAAAAACAACCAGACAAGTGCCCAACGACACTTAAAAAGGTGATTTATTATCTTGCCAAGTTTAGGCTGGGCATGGTGACTCATGCCTCTAATCCCAGCATTTTGGGAGGCTGAGGCTGGTGGATCACCGGAGGCCAGGACTTTGAGACCAGCCTGACCAATATGGCAAAACCTCGTCCCTACTAAAAATACAAAAATTAGCCGGGCATGGTGGTGTGAGCCTGTAGTCCCAGCTACTCAGGAGGCTGAGACAGGAGAATTGCTTAGATTCAGGAGGTGGGGGTTTTAGTGGGCCGAGATCACGCCATTGCACTCCAGACTGTGCGACAGAGCGAGACTCTGTCAAAAAAAAAAAAAAAAAAAATTATCCTGCAAAATTTGAAAAGGAAATTCAAATCAACAGCTTCTAAACTACTTTTTAACATGACTCATAATAATACATTCTATAGTACATATGTATGTTCTATAACTTTGAATAAAAGAGTTAACCACATCACATTTATTTTATAACATGTAATACATATTTTTTATTCTCCTTCATTTGTTTTGAATGCTCTGTGCAGTCTACAAAAAGTCCAATAGTAATAATTAAATTAGTCATTAAGTTGAACATTATCTTGTCTTTTAAAATGATAATCTCAAAAATGATCTTTTATTTTTGAGATTTATATAGATACACACACACACACACACACACACACACACACACACACACACACACACATATTTTTTGAGACAGAGTTTCACTCTGTCCCCCAGGCTGGAGTGCAATGGCACAATCTTGGCTCACTGCAACCTCTGTCTCCCGGGTTCAAGCAATTCCTCTGCCTCAGCCTCTGAGTAGCTGGGACTACAGGTGTGTGCCACCATGCCCAGCTAATTTTTGTATTCTTAGTAGAGATGGGGTTTCACCATATTGGCCAGGCTCGTGTCAACTCCTGACCTCGTGATCTGCCCACCGCGGCCTCCCAAAGTGCTGGGACTATAGGTGTGAGCCGCTGCACCCGGTCCAAGTAAAATTATTTTAACAATATACTATGAAGAGAAAAACACTGGCTATGAAAGAATATGCATAGTTTTACCCTGTTTAAAAATAAAGATTGAAAGAATACATATGCAAATAAGTTTACTTTTATTTTTGGTAACACTTTACTGCATTGTCTGAATATTGACAATCAGTATGCATTATGAAGCTACCTGGCTAACATTGTGTACTCACTGTGTGTGCCAGGCCCTGGGTTCAATGCTCTACATGCACTTATATTTCATTTAATTCTCTCTGCAACCTGAGATGGTATAGCCACCTCATTTTACAGAGTTGAAACTGAGGCTCAGAGACTGAAAGTTAAGCCTGAGGTTGCAGTCAATAAGAGGCAGAGCTGGAACTGAAACCTACCTGTGTCTGACCACCAGTTCGTGTTCTGACGGCAGGCTAGTCTGCATCACAGAGTGTGGAGTAGATGGTGCATGCCTGCTAGGATGGGCTAGGTATCACTGTAGGTAAGAAACAGCCCCAAACTATGGAAATGTACACCACTGAAGGCTCTTTTCCTGCCCATGCTGCACATCCTCCATGGCTCTCCTGTGCCCTGTGCCCCACATGCCCTCATCCTGCCACGAGAATAAAGGAGCAGCCTCCATATGGGAGCTGTCAGCTGCTCTAAGAGATGAAGGAGAGAGTGGCCCGTCTCAATGGCTCCCAACTCTTCTGCCTCGAGGTGACACGCTTCACTTCCACGCACATCTCCTGGGTCAAAGCAAATCCCATGGGTACATCCACTTTCAAGTGGCCCAGGAGAGAACCTGAAATACTCGGTGGACTCCATTAAGGCCGTCATATGGTGTCAGCCTGCATGGGAGACTGTGGAGGGGCAGAGGAGGAGAGTGGGGAACTGATGGGAAATGACAGGAGGACTAAGTCACCGCAGATTTGCTTTATCTTCAGCCAGGTGGAGTTTGTCCCAGAGCCGCACAAAATCATCACCAGCATGATTAAACGGAGTAGACTTCAGAAAAAGCAGTTTGGTCGGATGTAATCAGCAGTGAACTCAGAATCAATTGAGTGACATTGAGTCAGTAAATCTCTGACTGCCTCAGTTACCCCATATGATAGTTTTGAGGATGGGAACATTGAGAGAGTTGATTTGGAAGGATATCAAGAGTAAAAATTCCAACATTTTTAGTTCCTTTAAGTTAAATCCAGGCACTGTCTTTCCTGCAAGTCTCCTGTTCCTTTCAGATTGCACAGGTGAGAGTGCTCAGATTAGGGCTGGAGGTTGTAAACCATTGCTCCCACACTGACAGTGCCCCCGTGTCGTGCGTGTATTCTGCGCATTTTCCTGTGCTAAACACTCTCCCAAAACATCGTGGGGCCTGATTCTTCCTCTTTGTTCCAATGGCCCTGGGTGACTCAAGTGCCCATTCAATGACCAGGACACAGAGGTCTTAGAGAGATGCTCCTTGAGGCCCCAGGTGCGAGCCTGTACCCTGCCGGAGCATGAGGCAAGGGACAGGGCATCGTCTGTGGGGATAGTGGGGGTAGTGGGGGTAGTGGTCAGCCAGATTTGGTGACTCTACTTGCTCACCAGACGATCCTACACCTGCCACCTCCGATGGATCCACTGCCTCTGTGCCTGCCTGTACTGCTGATGCTCCAGTGGATAACTCAGCATCCCAGCCTAGGCCCAATGCCACTGAAGATGGACCTGCCCCCTGGGGACCCAGGAGTCCTACCACTCAGCTGTCCCCAGGAGTGCCCAGACCCTCATTCTTATCCAGGACCTAGGAGCCCTACCCCTGGCCTTCCCTCATCAGCCGTAAATGATGATTTACTGCTGTTACCATCATCACTGCCTTCAGTGACCAAGGGCCTTCCAAGGTGCCAGCTCTGGAACGAAGGATGCCCTTGGGAGGTGATGACACTCAGGTACACGGGTGCTCAACAGATTGCTTCCTCCTATCCTCAGACGGTCTTTGCATGCATGCAGCCATTGGCACTCCCATTGTGTGGAAGGAAACCAGCCCAGGGTCACACAGCTGGTCAGCAGCAACATAGCTGGTCTCAAATCTAAGGTGCCTGACCATGCCTCCATGAGGGACCGCCTCCAAGGGAGGTTGATCCTGGCTTTGGGGAGCCTTTCCTGGGCTGCACGAATAACCTCCATTGTTCGAGACCCCAAACTCTGCTCACATCTTCCTTTCCCTATCTCTGCTTGGGCTATGATCACGGTGACTCTAGCAGCCCTTCATGGACATTATAGTACTCTCTGCCATTCACTTTTGCTCTAATCTGACTTCAACCCCCACTTACTTGGTCTCTCCTTTTACAACCACCACAACCGAAATCTAGGGCTGCTTTTTTTTTTTTTTTTTTTTTTGAGACAGAGTCTCATTCCATTCTGTCACCCAGGCTGGAGTGCAATGGTACGATCTCGGCTCACTGCAACCTCCGCCTCCCGGGTCCAAGGGATTGTCCTGCCTCAGCCTCCTGAGTAGCTGGGATTACAGGCGTGTGCCACCATGCCTGGCTAATTTTTGTATTTTTAGTAGAGACGGGGTTTCACCATGTTGGTCAGGCTGGTCTCGAACTCCTAACCTCGTGATCCGCCTGCCTCAGCCTCCCAAAGTGCTGGGATTACAGGCGTGAGCCACCATGCCCAGCCAAATCTAGGGCAGGAACATGGCTGCAGCATATAAAAAGAATTGAATTCCATACTTTTGTTAACCCTGTTTTTTGTTTGTAGTTGTTGCTGTTTTTGAGACAGAGTCTCGCTCTGTCGCCTAGGCTGGAGTGCAGTGGTGCAATCTCGGCTCACTGCAGACTCTGCCTCCCGGGTTCAAACTATTCTCCTGCCTCAGCCTCCCAAGTAGGTGGGACTACAGGCGCCCACCACCACACCCGGCTAATTTTTGTATTTTATTAGAGACAGGGTTTCACCATATTGGCCAGGCTGGTCTGGAACTCCTGACCTTGTGATCCGCCCACCTCGGCCTCCCAAAGTGCTGGGATTACAGGCGTGAGCCACCACACCCAGCCCCTGTTTTGTTTTTGTTTTGCTTGCTTCTTAGGGTTGTTTTTCTATTTATGGTAAAGGCATTGGCTTTCCATTTGTAGCATCAATAGAATATTTCCTGTTTACAATAACCTTATGTCATAGTAAATGGTAAAGGGATTTAAAGCAGTGGTTTTCAGCTGCCAGAGGCCTGAGAGAGTTTGGGCATACTCTGTGTGATCGGGCAGAAGGCCTGTGGGAAGTTTAGCAGAGGACAGGGCCAGGAAAGGTGATGGACAGTGGGGGTCTGTCCTGGTCACCAGGCCCCTGGGTCCTGCCCACCTGCTTGGAGCTCCCCACCCATCACACATGATGCTGCCAAGCCCTCTGGGTATTGTGGGCAAATACCTTAGGAGAGAAGCTGATGAACTTTGTTTCTTGAAATGCACAGATTCCTTGGACGTCCCTGAGAGCTCAGTCATGAAAGTCAACTTGGTTTTCTCCCCCTCATTTGGGTTCAGAATTTAAAGTCCACACACACAGGCAGTAAGATGATATAGATAAGGACGTCATCACTCGGTTTCGGATGTTAAAATGTCTAGGTGGGTTAGCGGTGATTTGAGATCACACAACCTTGTGCCACAAAGAGGAATTCCCAGGCCAGAGGGAGACATTTTATTGCCATGTTATGATCTCATCATTGAGTTGAAAGGCAATCTTGTTTCATTTTGGATTCTTTCTTATGTTTATGTCTTATAAGGGCACTTTGAATTTCCAAGCAAATAATAATTTTGAATTAGCTTTTAATCATTGACTTCTAGCACAGTTATATGATCAGAAACATGCTGTGTGATTTGATTGCTCTCAAATATATTGAGATTTGCTGGAACAAAATAAGTCAGGTTAATTTTTGTAAATGTACCAGGCATGCTTAAAATGAATGTATCTACATTTGTTCCCGAGATACAGGTTGATGGACGGATGGCTACATGGATGTGATGGAGATGGTTTACTATCGGGACCTTCCGCACCCTGCTGATGTTTTGTTGCTTAGGATATGAATGGCTGAGCGGAGGCTGTAAAACCTGGCACTCTGCTTGGGTATGAGGTTCTTCCTGCCATCCTGCCATCATTTGTTTTTTATGTTTTGTCGCCATAAGTGACCTTGAGGAACCCTGGGAGCTCAGGAAGGAAGGAGCGCCCAGAAGCAGGGACAGGGAGCTGGTTGGGGAGGACCAGAAATCAGGTTTGTGAAGGTTCCAGAGAGGACCTGTCTTTGGGAGGAGTGTGGGAGACTGAGATGGGGGAGGGGTCATTGGAATGATGCGGGCGCTACTTGGCATTGTCCATTGTGAGGCACTGTCCATTGTGAGGCACCACCGGGGTCATCAGGGATTGGTGGAGAGGGAGTATAAAGCCCCAGGGTTGGTAAGGGAGGGCCCAGACCGAAGAAGGTTTGGTGGATAGCAGAACCTTTTTGTCTCCCTCTGATTGCTCCTAAGCCTCACGCTCCCTTGCCCCGCGTGTCCTGTTGCTTCCCTGATCTTCTCCGTGACCTGTAGCTAAACCTTCCACCAGCGCTTGAGAACTTAATTTGAACCGGATCCTTTCCCAGACCCCTTTCTTCTTCTCCTCCTCCTCCTCCACCTCCTCCAGGTGCCCAACAGCCCCCTTCTCCTCCTTTCCCTTCCCTTACTTCCCCCCTTCCCCTCCCCTTCCCCTCCCCCTCCCCTCCCCCTCCCCCTCCCCAACTCAGATCCGGCCCCGGTCCCCGTCCCCTTCCCTCCCCCCTGCCCTAAGCCACCTCCACCTCTGTCCTGGCCGCCTCAGGGCGCCCTGAAAGGACCAGGACATGCGGGTGCGGTGGATGCTCTTTTGGCTCCTCTTTGGGCTCCTACTGGAATTTATCAGCCATCAGTGCATCTCTGTGAGTAGACGCTGGACCCGTGGGGTTTCTTCCTTTTTACTGGGCTGTATCACGTGGCATGAAATTACACAGCTCAGGCCTGTAATCCCAGCACTTTAGGGGGCCGAGGTGGGCAGATCACTTGAGTCCAGGAGTTGAAGACTAGCCAGGGCATCATAGCGAAACCCCATCTCTACAAAAAATTCCAATAAAGATTAGTCGGGCCTGGTGGTGCGTACCTGTTATCCCAGTTACTGGAGAGGCTGAGGTGGGAGGATCGCTTGGGCCCAGGAGCTGGACGTTGCAGTGAGCCGAGATGGCCCCGCTGCACTCTTGTTTTTAACAAAGAAAATGGACCAAAACAAAGTGAAATGTCATTTGATTTGTGTCATCTGGTTTGATGACTTTTTTTTTTTTTTTTTTTTTTTTTAGACAGAGTCTCACTCTGTCGCCCAGGCTGGAGTGCAGTGGCAAGATCTCGGCTCACTGCAACCTCCGCTTCTGGGGTTCAAGCAATTGTCCTGCCTCAGCCTCCTGAGTAGCTCAGATTACAACGCCTGGCTAATTTTTGTATTTTTAGTAGACCACCACGCCTGGCTAATTTTTGTGTTTTTAGTAGAGATGGGGTTTCACCATGTTCGCCAGGATAGTCTCCATCTCTTGACCTCGTGATCTGCCTGCCTCAGCCTCCCAGTGCTGGGATTACAGGCGTGAGCCACCGCGCCTGGCCAAAATATATAACCTTAAGTGTAAGTTTACTAACTTTGGAAAGTACATACACCAGCATAAACCAACCCCCTTTCAAGATCTACATTATTTTATTTATTTATTTATTTATTTATTTATTTATTTATTTAGAGACAGTTTCTCCCTTGTTGCCCAGGCTGGAGTGCAATGGGGCAATATCAGCTCACCGCAACCTCTGCTTCCCAGGTTCGAGCGATTCTCCTGCCTCAGCCTCCCGAGTGGCTGGGATTACAGACATGTGGCACCACTCCCAGCTAATTTTGTATTTTTAGTAGAGATAGGGTTTCTCCATGTTGGTCAGGCTGGTTTTGAACTCCCGACCTCAGGTGATCCGCCCGCCTCGGCCTCCCAAAGCGTTGGGATTACAGGCGTGAACCACCATGCCCAGCCAAGATCTACACTATTATGTCACCCCAGAAAGTGAACTCTCAGTCTTCCCAGCCAGTCTCTTTCTTATCATAGGTTAGCTTGCTTATTCTGGAATTTCGCGTATACAGATGCATGCCATGCCATAGGTACTCTTTTGTGTCTGCTTTGTTCTGCTCAACACCATGTTTCTGAAATCATTACCATTGTTGTATGGTTCTCTAACTTCATCATTTCCATTTCAGACTCAGCATATGCTGAGTTCAACCTGTTGAAGGGCTATCTCTGTTTAATTCACCATCTTGAAAGAAACATTTAAAATTGAGATGTTTTCAAGAATATATAGTTAAATCCTGAGGAATCGACGTAGAAATGTTATCACAAGCTGTCTGAACTTACTCAGGGGAAGTCTTCGTCTTCACTCACATAAGAGTCTAATGGAATTAATATCAACAATCTTAGAGAAATCCCACACTATTCATGCCATTTTCATGATCTCCACCTTGATAATTTTTTTTTTTTTTTTTTTTTTTTTTTTGAGACAGAGTCTCGCTCTGTCACCCAGGCTGAAGTGCAGTGGTGCGATCTCGGCTCACTGCAACCTCTGCCTCCCGGGTTCAAGTGATTCTTCTGCCTCAGCCTCCCAAGTAGCTGGAACTATAGGCACGTGCCACCATGCCCTGCTAATTTTTTGTATTTTTAGTAGAGACGGGTTTCACCGTGTTAGCTAGGATGGTCTCAATCTCCTGATCTCGTGGTCCACCCACCTCGGCTTCCCAAAGTGCTGGGATTGCAGGCGTGAGCCACCACGCCCAGCCCACCTTGTTAATTTTTAAGCACTAAAATTTGATACTTATTTGTGAATGAAGTAATCTCTTCATTGTATTTTTTTTTTTTTTTACTTATGCTGAGATTTAAATGACAAAGATTCATATAATCCAAGAGAGAAGTATTATTTAGAGGGATTCTTTTACCATGTGATATATAATAAATGCATCCAATGTTATACATCAATTTAAAAAACAAGTAAATAACTTTAAAGAAAAGATAACTACTGGCCAGGTGCAGTGGCTCACACCTGTATTCCCAGCACTTTGGGAGGCCAAGGCAGGTGGATCATGAGGTCAGGAGTTGGAGACCAGCCTGGCCAAGATGGTGAAACCCTGTTTCTACTAAAAATACAAAAATTAGCCGAGCGTGGTGGCAGGCGCCTGTAATCCCAGTTACTCAGTAGCTGAGGCAGGAGAATCGCTTGAACCCGGGAGGCGGAGGTTGCAGTGAGTTGAGATCATGCCACTGCAATCTAGCCTGGGTGACAGAGCAAAACTTTGTCTCAAAACAAAAAGAAAAGAAAAGATAATTACTTTATACTTAGCTTGTCTTACCCATGAGTGACGGGCTGCATGTGGCCCAGGACAGTTTTGAATGCAGTTCAACACAAATTTGTAAACTTTCTTAAAACATTAGGAGATTTTGGCCAGGTACAGTGGCTCATGCGTGTAATCCCAGCACTTTGGGAGGCTGAGGCGGGCAGATTACCTGAGGTCAGGAGTTCGAGACCACCCTGACCAACATGGCAAAACCCCATCTCCACAAAAAATACAAAAATTTGCTGAGTGCACTGTCAGGCACCTGTACTCCCAGCTACTCAGGAGGCTGAGGCAGGAGAATCACTTGAACCTGAGAGGCAGAGGTTGCAGTGAGCCGGGAGCACACCACTGCACTCCAGCCTGGGTGACAGAGTGAGACCCCATCTCAAAAACAACAAACAAAAACAAAAACAAAAAAATGGCTGGGCACGGTGGCTCACACCTGTAATCCCAGCACTTTGGGAGGCCGAGGTAGGCAGATCGCCTGTCAGGAGTTCAAGGCCAGACTGGCCAACGTGGTGAAACCTCATCTCTACTAAAAATACAAAAATGAGTCGGGCATGGTGGCAGAGACCTGTAATCTCAGCTACTCGGGAGGCTGAGGCAGGAGAATGGCTTGAGCCCAGGAGCTGGAGGTTGCAGTGAGCCGAGATTGCACCACTGCACTCCAGCCTGGGCGACTGAGTGGAGCGGAACTCTGTCTCAAAAAAAAAAAAAGAGGTTTTTTTTAGATCATCAGCTATTGTTAGTGTTAGTGTATGTTATGTGTGGCTCAAGACAACTTTGCTTCTTTTAATATAGGCAGGGAAGTCAAAAGATTGGATATCCCTGCTTTATACCAAGAAAGACAACACCCCACATTTGCAATGCCTGAAAACACTACCAGCCATCTGAAAAACATGTGACTTCTAACTTCTGTTCTTTTTTGTAGCAGTGGAATCCCACGGTGATATCTGAGGGATGTGGTTACCTTTTGGAGGAGGTTGACGGTTTCTAAGGATGATTCTTTCTGAGTGAAATATTGTCAGTGTCATTGACCTTTTCATTATTTCAACTATTATTATTCCAGGTTATCAATACTCTGGCTGACCATCATCATCGTGGGACTGACTTTGGTGGAAGTCCTTGGTTACATGTCATTATTGCGTTTCCGACAAGTTATAAAGTTGTCATTACCCTCTGGATAGTTTACCTTTGGGTGAGTATACTAACTTTCTGTAGAGGTATACTTGTAATCACAAATAAGAATAAATTATATAAAACAATTCACATTTCTGGACTTCATTATGAATATGTGGTTTTACCCAAAAAATCAGGGAAATGATTTATTAGTATAAGAATTATGAAAACATCTGCCATTTGCATTATGAAAATTAAATAGGTCGGTGTTTGTTTAATAGAATGTCAACAGAGCTTTTGGTCAAAAATAAGTTTTTTTAACCTTTGTGCTATTTATCACAAATGGAGTATGAGGTTTCGTCACTTAAATAGGAAATTCTTTCTAAACTCTTCTGCTTTATAGTTCTATCGTATGGGTGGAAGGAAAGCTTCCAATCTCCTCTCTGAAGATTCACTGCAGAAATGAGCTGACAACAGACAGCTTAACAGGAAAAGAAAAACATAGAACAGGCATAAACATGGGAACCAGCTGAAAAATGAGACTGCTAGAAGGGCCGGATGGCTGATGCTTAAAGAGCACCCTCTTCTGAGGGGAGAGGGAGATAGATGGAGATGTAGGCCATTTAGAGGGGCAGCAAATGATTTTTAGGGGAAATGAAAGAGGCCAAGGAACAAACAATTGGCCTGAGACAAAGTTCCTGTGAGGTCATAGGGACGAGGTGACAAACTGCCGGAAGGTGAAGGGCAGAACTGCACTGCGTCTCATGATGCAGAGAAAGCCCCAGAGACTCTTAGAACTGCCCTCCAAGAGAATCAATGAAAAGTGTGTCTGGGCAGGGTAATTTTGAATGACATCATTCAAAGTGCATGTTCCGACTTGGAACTGGAGAGAGATCAGTATGTCAAAAGTCTGTACTTGGTAAGAATTTGGCTGCTAAGTTGTGCCATAATTTGTCTTTTGAGCCTTTTTTCCTTTGGGTAAGTTGAGCTCTACATTTTGTCTTGCCATTCATGACAGTAAAAATGTGGTTGTCTGGGGGCTGAACCTCCTTCTGAACAATGATCCAAGATAAAAGTACTAATACCACAATGCTTTTTTATATTCAAGGGAAGAGGAAGTATGTTTCAGTTTTACCACCTAGATAATTACACGTCATTTGGCACTGCCTTTCAAGATATGTAGAAAACAGAAAATATATGAGTTATGAAGATATCTAGGCACATTTAACATTCTCTATGCCACTTAGTCCTGAACAGAGAATTTTCGGTATAAATTGGAGGAAGCTTTTTTCTTTTTTTTTTTTCTTTTCTCACCCCGAAGACGAGTCTCCTTCTGTTGCCCAGGCTGGAGTATAATGGTGTGACCTCGGCTCACTGCAACCTCCACCTCCTGGCTTCAAGTGATTCCCCTGCCTCAGCCTCTCAAGTAGCTGGGATTACAGGTGCCCACCACCATGCCCAGCTAATTTTTGTATTTTTAGTAGAGTCGGGGTTTTACCATGTTGGCCAGGCTAGTCTCAAAACCCGACCTCAAATGATCCACCCACCTCAGCCTCCCAAAGTGCTGGGATTACAAGCGTGAGCCACCACGTGAGCCAGGGGAAGTTTTTAAATTTACCACTTTTTAACAATTCCACTTAGGAAAGTTCAGTTGAGCTGTTGGACTTGGACAACTTCGCACCTCTCATCTTTGTCCTTGTCATCTAGTCATCTATACCATTACCTCCTTAGCAGGGACATCATGGGTGCCATGAAGCATTCATGCGTGATGGCATTTCTTGGCTTCTCATTTCTTCATGTGTTTGACATTTCCCCTAGCTCCAAACTGGGCCAGCTACCTTTCCTATGAAATCTAGCAGTAGCTGTGGGATTGACGTGGTTGCTCTTTTCATCTTTTTAGATTACCCATTGCTTCTCTCGAAATCCTAGTACATGATTTTTTTTTTATCCTATGTGCAGAAATCAGGAAAAAACAAATTCTACAAAGAATTTGAAAGATATTATTTCAGGCCAGGTGTGGTGGCTCATGCCTGTAATCCCAGCACTTTGGGAGGCTGAAGCAGATGGATCATTTGAGGTCAGGAGTTCAAGACCAGATGGGCCAACATGGTGACACCCCATCTCTACTAAAAAGACAAAAATTAGCCAGGCATGGTAGCAGGCACCTGTAATCCCAGCTACTTGGGAGGCTGAGGCACAAGAATCGCTTGAATCTGGGAGGTGGAGGTTGCCGTGAGCCAAGGTAGCGCCACTGCACTTCAGCACGGTTGAGAGTGACACTCTGTCTCAAGAAAAAAGTCATTTCAATGACCACCTCAGGAGATTCATAGGTATCTGACCCACATCTGAGATGGGATTTGCATTGCATTTTAGCTATGATGAGAAGAAATATTTAATATCTTAGAAGATTAAAAGCATACTGTGATAATATGGAAATCTTGGTGGGAATTCAGTCATTAGTGAGAATGTTTTGCGTTAAGTTCAAACCAGCCTCAATGAAGCTGATGTGAGGGAAGGGAAAGTGAACTCTGAGTAGAGCAGGGACAGAAGGAAGATGCTCCAGTGCAGATCAGGAAGGAGCAGGGGATGAAATGTTACAAATTCTAGAACTCAGAGAGCTGAAGGTAATTACTTCCTTTTCAAGTTGTGAAACATGTTAACCTGTGGTAAAATACTTATAAGATGATAATTACCATCTAACCGTGTTGAAGTGTACAGTTCAGTTGTGTGAAGTATATTCATGTCATTTTTTTTTTTTTTTTTTTTTTGAGACGAAGTCTCACTCTGTCACCAGGCTGGAGTGCAGTGGTGGGATCTTGGCTCACTGCAACCTCTGCCTCCTGGGTTCAAGCAGTTCTCCTGCCTCAGCCTCCCGAGTAGCTGGGACTACAGGCGTGCATCACCATGCTCAGCTAATTTTTGTATTTTTAGTAGAGACGGGGTTTCACCATGTTGCCCAGGATGGTCTCCATCTCTTGACCTTGTGATTCACCCGCCTCGGCCTCCCAAAGTGCTGGGATTACAGGCGTGAGCTACCGCATCTGGCCTATTTTTTTTTTTTTTTTTTTTTTTGAGACAGAGTTTCAATTTTGTTGCCCAGGTTGGAGTGCAATGGCACAATCTCAGCTCACCACAAGCTTTTCCTGCTGGGTTCAAGTGATTCTCCTGCCTCAGCCTCCCGACTAGCTGGGATTACAGGCATGCACCACCATGCCTGGCTAATTTTGTATTTTTAGCAGAGACAGCGTTTCTCCATGTTGGTGAGGCTGGTCTCAAACTCCCGACCTCAGGTGATCCGCCTGCCTCGGCCTCCCAAAGTGCTGGGATTACAGGAGTGAGCCACCGTGCCAGCCTCATGTCATTCTTGTGTGTGTGTGTGTGTATGTGACAGAGTCTCATTCTGTCGCTCAGGCTGGAGTGCAGTGGTGTGATCTCGGCTCACTGCAACCTCCGCCTCCCAGCTTCAAACGGTTCTCTGCCTCAGCCTCCCGAGTAGCTTGGATTACAGGCGCCCGCTGCCATGCCCGGCTAATTTTTGTATTTTTAGTAGAGACGGGGTTTCACCATCTTGGCCAGGCTGGTCTTGAACTCCTGACCCCGTGATCCACCTGCCTCGGCCTCCCGAAGTACTGGGATTATACGCATGAGCCACCGTGCCCAGCCGTCATTCTTATATTATTATTTCCTAGGTGTCTCTCCTGAAGACTATCTTCTGGTCTCGAAATGGACATGATGGATCCACGGATGTACAGCAGAGAGCCTGGAGGTCCAACCGCCGTAGACAGGAAGGTATGGCTCTGTTGGAATCCGCATAGTGTGGAAATGAGTTTGCCCTGGAAAGGGAAAGAACAGCTTCTTGCCCTCAGGTTTCTCACCTTCTCCTCTCCTCACTCTCACCAAGGGCTGAGGTCCATTTGTATGCACACAAAGAAAAGAGTTTCTTCCTTTCGAGGAAATAAAATTGGCCTGAAAGACGTCATTACTCTACGGAGACATGTGGAAACAAAAGTTAGAGCTAAAATCCGTAAGAGGAAGGTGACAACGAAAATCAACCATCATGACAAAATCAATGGAAAGAGGAAGACCGCCAGAAAACAGTAAGATGTGCCTTGACACAAATACTGTTGTATGAACCATGTGCCAATCAAAGTAGACAACTGTAAAGTCCTTGAGAATATTTTCTACAATATTTGTGGCAAATTCAGTGGGTTCAAAATTGAGTTTGTCCTTTCTGCTTCATTAGTTTAAGCTGTATAATTCCTTTCCCTTCCTACATTCTTGTTTTCATTTTTTCGGAGGAAGAGGAGTTGCTAGTACTGGCATTGGTTTTCCTTTCTCTTTTTTTTTTTTTTTTTTTTCCTGAGATGGAGCTTTGCTGTTGTTGCCCAGGCTGTAGTGCAATGGCACAATCTCAGCTCACTGCCTTTTGGGTTCAAGCAATTCTCCTGCCTCAGCCTCCCAAGTAGCTGGGATTACAGGTGCCCACCACCACGCCCAGCTAATTTTTGTATTTTTACTAGAGATGGGGTTTCACCATGTTGTCCAGGCTGGTCTCGAACTTCTGACCTCAGGTAATCCACCTGCCTCAGCCTCCCAAAGTGCTGGGATTAGAGGCGTGAGCCACCACAGCCAGCCTTTTTTTTTTTTTTTTTTTTTTTAATTTTGCGATAGAGTCTCGCTCTGTCGCCCAGGCTGGAGTGCTATGGTGCAATCTTGGCTCACTGCAACCTCTGCCTCCCAGTTTGAAGCAATTCTGCCTCAGCTTCCCGAGTAGCTTGGATTACAGGTGTGTGCCACCACATTTGACCAATTTTTTTTTTTTTTTTTTTTTTTTTGAGACAGAGTCTCACTCTGTCACCCAGGCTAGAGTGCAGTGGCATGATCTTGGCTCACTGCAACCTCCACCTCCCAGGTTCAAGCGATTCTTATCCCTCAGCCTCTTGAGTAGCTGGGACTACAGGCATATGCCACCATGCCCGGATAATTTTTGTATTTTTAGTAGAGGCGGGGTTTCACCATATTGGCCAAGCTGGTCTAGAACTCCTGACATGATCCGCACACCTCGGCCTCCCAATGTGCTGGGATTACAGGCGTGAGCCACCGTGCCCGGCCCAATTTTTGTATTTTTAGTAGAGACAGGGGTTCACCATGTTGGCCAGGCTAGTCTTGAACTCCTGACCTCAGGTGATCTGCCTACCTCAGCCTCCCAGTGTGAGCCACCGCACCCAGCCTGGATTGTTGAATTCAATGCTTGGGTCACCTCCAGATTCATTTTCACAGTCTTTCATGTTTTGGTCATATGACATTGTATTTTGCTGCCATATGACTGATCTTTTTTTGTTAAATGTGAGATACTTGTTAAAAAATGTTTAGCAATGAATTGAGGCCTAGTAGCATGTTATCTTGCTGCAGAAGAGATGGGAGTCTACTTCTGGGGGATGGTCAGGGGTCCTCCATACAGGCTGCAATTGAAGTCATCGGTGCAGGCTCAGTCCCTACAAAGGCCAGGGTATTTCCTGTCCACCTTTATTCTGATGCATGACTCTTCTGGGTCTCAACCAGAGCCAGTGGACTTCAGTATGGGTCGCTTTCATTGGCAGACCCTCAATCCACTTGTTTTCCATCTAATCCCACGCATGTGTGCAAAAGCTGCTGTGCTTCTTTGCATCTCAGTAGTTCCTTCTGGAATTCAGCAATGAAACTCAGGGAAATGGGTTCCAAATGCGAGGCTGACTTTCGTCCTGGGTTTCCTTCTTCTCCATCTTCACCTCATGTCTGTTTACTGCCATGTTAGCAATTTGATGTATTCAATCATGGGTTTTATATTCTGTTTGGTGTCCCCCATTGTTCTCATCGGAGATCAGAAGCTTCAGATGCACTTATGTCAACTCAAGAGTAGAATGCTTCCTTAGCTTCCCTCCAGAGTCAGGTTTTGTGTTTCTAGTTCCCAAGTGCACAGCAGGAGTAGTGATGTCCTCACTGGCTTCTCATTTGCATTAAGCTGTGAGCTTCTTTAGCGTGGGGACAGGACCCTGCTCCCATTGCATTCTCAGCACCACACCACACACTCCTTGTTTGAGGCCACTCCAGACAGCATGTGCTGAAGGATGCCTTGTGGTCAGAAACAAGTTCATTAACTTTCTCTTTGAAGTGTTTTCGCCCCTGTTTCCTAGCGTTCTGGGAATTTTACACATCCTTCCTATAAAGCCAAGTATCAGGTGAGATCCTTAGGATCAGGACCATGAATCAAGTGGTGTGAGGGCAACACAGCAAACTTACCCTTTTGAGGCCGTTTCCTTTTTCTGCCCTCAATCTCTGTGAACTGAACCTTGTTAAAGTCAGTCAACACCAGGGTGGATGGTTTGCCGTTGTCACCTATTTTCAGGACATAACACCCTGACTTAGGAGCCATTCCGATCATTTCTAATTCAATAGATGCGCCCAGCATTCAGATTGCCTTTTCTCTCAACCAGGATCTTTAAAGTCGATGACAAGAGTTCCAGTCCTGAATCATGGCAAAGTGCAGTAGTGAACTGCGGGGTTATTCTGGAAGGATCTCTCTATGGCTGATGGTCTCAGTTCCGGCATCAGCCTCTGACTGAGAATCAGGTCTCACACAGGAGGAGTCAGATGAGGAGCAATCCTCTGCTTCCGATGGAGTTAGTTGTGATGAATTGGTGAGGTCTGGTTTTTCACACTGAACTAAAATGAGCTTTCGCTGTGTCAAGCACAAGACTGACCCCAGAGACACACATAGTGCACCTCATAGAAGCTTTTAATAGTCTTTATATTTACTAAAGAATAGGACTAACTATGGAACTATGAAGATGAGCTGGAAATGACAGGTGACTTGCCAGCAGGCCAGAGTGTGACTTTTTTTTGTCCCTCAATGGGAGGTGTCAATTCTCCCTTCGGTTGTGAGAATCAGTTGGTTCATTTGTGGGAAGGTTGCAGGGGGGATCTTTGAATCACAGCCTTCAGATGCCAGAAGGGCAGAGGGAATCCCACACGGGCTGGTGGATCATGTGTGTGCATTTCTCTCCCTTCTAATCTGAGGAAACTAAGCGTGAAAGAATGTGAGCATGCAGAAAAGGAGAGGCAGGTATCAGAGGCAGAGGAAAATGGGAAATTGGATATGAAAGAAATACACACCTACAAGTGAGTTCAGAAACTGTACCCCACCCTCTTGGGAAACGCCCATTGGAGTGTTGTTTTTAACCTTTGTACAGTATTTAGACCCAGTAAATGCAGAAATAGAAACAAACGGTCAGAAGACATATCGTGAGAGAGAGCGAGAGAGAGTTCACAAAACAGAAAACAAAGTACCTTAATATTTACCAGTGACCAAAAGATGTGAAGTAGCAAAACGTCTCCTGACCCCATTGCCAGCTAGACTGTGTGGAAACTCGGTTCATACCAGCCATTCTAGGGGTGGGGTGAGTTGTTGTCATCCTTAGGAAAGTGTGTTGTTGTAGGATCAACCACATCCTTCAAAAGGACTATGCCTGTTTATAAGCCCAGCTGTTTCTGCCCTGTGAAACACGGTAAGGATATTAATACAAAGAGAATACAGCTTTATGATAAAAGATGCTCAATGAAGGATGAATTAGGGATGTACTGAGAATGGGGAAGGAAACTATCATCTCAGAAGTCAGCAGGCAGTAAGCAAGAGGAGGAATCAATACAGCAACAGTTTGGATCAGACTGTACAGTTTTTTTGTTTTTGTTTTTGTTTTTCTGAGATGGAGTCTCGCTGTGTCACCCAGGCTGGAGTGCAATGACGTGATCTTGGCTCACTGCAACCTCCGCCTCCCAGGTTCAAGTGATTCCCCTGCCTCAGCCTCCCGAGTAGCTGGGATTACAGGTGCCTGCCACCACGCCTGGCTAATTTTTTGTATTTTTAGTAGAGAAGGGGTTTCACCATATTAGCCACAATGGTCTCAATCTCCTGACCTCGTGATCCATCCGCCCCGCCCTCCCAGAGTGCTGGGATTACAGGCGTCAGCCACCGTGACCGGCTCAGACTGTACTCTTCTAGCCATCTGAAATACGTTTTCTAGGTAGAGATAGATTGTGTAAGGGTACAGTTGTGAGGATAACAGAAACATGGCAGATTATTTAAAATCATCCTGAAAGTGGTGCTTTATCTGATGAAAGTGATTGTAATCCATAGGAAAATGTTTCAACGTGCGCAAGAGTTGCGGCGGCGAGCAGAGGACTACCACAAATGCAAAGTAAGGAGCTTCCTCCCTGCAGTTGCAGGATAGTTCAGTGCTGATGCAGATGATGCCACGGCCCTTAGACTCTCTCAACATTCAATTTCTCATGTGTTGGCTTTTTCAGATCCCCCCTTCTGCAAGAAAGGCTCTTTGCAACTGGGTAAGTTTGCTTGTTTTCCTTGCTTTTGGACATAGTCTGCCAGGTCAGGACATGGATACATTTTTCTCCCTACAGCTCTGTGCTCAAGCCCTGCAGAGGGAGATGGCAGAGAGAAAGGCTGCCTACAAGCATCACAGTCCCATCCCTGTTGGTAACCGTGTTGCGCAAAAACACCTTCATCCCCACCCAGTGGGGCCCCTGATCTAATATTCTAAGTGTCAGAGGTTCCGTATTTGTAATAGCAGATGGGCCCTGACTGTAAACTAGTGAAGAGTGAATGTAACTTATTACCCACAGGGACAATTCCAAATGAAGGCCTTAAATGATGCTCAGCTAAGCTGGTTCTTGTGTGGCCTCTGTACCTTCAAAAGCTGCCGAGTCCTATGATTACACGTGATGGGACTTGTACACTTGAAGTGAAACACAGTTTTAAAACTTGCTTTGTTTAGAATTCCCACCTCATTTTTCCATGGACAAAAGTATTCTTTATGTCCTAGTGCACTTACAATTTGGTATTACCTGGGAGTGAAAAGAAATATTACAGCCATGCCTAAGTGACTTCTTGAGGTGAGATTGTTCTGTCAGAAAACCCTCTCCCAGTTCCCCTGCAGCTCTTCAGGAATCCACATCTCTCCAGAGCTCTTTGTTCTCATGGGTGGCACCTCCAGAGTGAAGAAGATCCTTTGTCAAGAAGGGAAACAGAGGGGAAATGAGAGGGTCCTGCAGGCAGAGCTGGAATCAACTTCCACTCTGCCTCTTGCAAGCTGTGTGACCCTGGGCACAATTTCTCCTTCCTCTGGAAACCTCTGTTTTCTTAGATTTGGAGCAGGGTGGTCACACTGACCTTGCAGAGTTCTGAGAATCAGAGACAGAACATAAAAGGCCTGGAAAACATTCTCCAAAAAGAAGCTGCAACATGTGTGGACAGTGGGCTTTTCATGCCTCTCTTACTGTCTCTTACTGTCTGTTGACCTGGTGCAAGAAACATGCTCTGGTGATGGCTGTGAGGGAGGAATGAGGATAGACATAGACACTCCTGTGTCTCAAACATGCTTCTTTATTACTCTGTTATGACTCTGTCTTCCCTGGGGCAGGACCCCAGCCTGCCTACATTTGCAGACAGACACAGTGGCATGTGGAGACAACAGTGTGTCCCAATGACTTTCCTTTACCCTCCAGCTGTCGGCAGTACTCAGTGGAAGGGTGATATTATGACACTGATACTGCTATTTTGAAACCTGGAGGATGGAAAGGTGCAAAAATCTATCACCAGCAACAGAAGGTGCAGACTGTGTTGGTGGCGGTAATTTTGTCCATCAAATGAATATGTGTGAAAACATTCCCTCCTTTGGCCCTACAGGTCAGAATGGCGGCAGCGGAGCATCGTCATTCTTCAGGATTGCCCTACTGGCCCTACCTCACAGCTGAAACTTTAAAAAACAGGATGGGCCACCAGCCACCTCCTCCAACTCAACAACATTCTATAACTGATAACTCCCTGAGCCTCAAGACACCTCCCGAGTGTCTGCTCACTCCCCTTCCACCCTCAGCGGATGATAATCTCAAGACACCTTCCGAGCGTCAGCTCACTGCCCTTCCACCCTCAGCAGATGATAATATCAATACACCTGCCGAGCGTCTGCGGGGGCCGCTTCCACCCTCAGCGGATGATAATCTCAAGACACCTTCCGAGCGTCAGCTCACTCCCCTTCCACCCTCAGCTCCACCCTCAGCAGATGATAATATCAAGACACCTGCCGAGCGTCTGCGGGGGCCGCTTCCACCCTCAGCGGATGATAATCTCAAGACACCTTCCGAGCGTCAGCTCACTCCCCTTCCACCCTCAGCTCCACCCTCAGCAGATGATAATATCAAGACACCTGCCTTCCACCCTCAGCGGATGATCTCAAGACACCTTCCGAGCGTCAGCTCACTCCCCTTCCACCCTCAGCTCCACCCTCAGCAGATGATAATATCAAGATACCTGCTGAGCGTCTGCGGATTCCGCTTCCACCATCAGCCGATGATAATCTCAAGACACCTTCCGAGCGTCAGCTCACTCCCCTTCCACCCTCAGCTCCACCCTCAGCAGATGATAATATCAAGACACCTGCCGAGCGTCTGCGGGGGCCGCTTCCACCCTCAGCGGATGATAATCTCAAGACACCTTCCGAGCGTCAGCTCACTCCCCTTCCACCCTCAGCTCCACCCTCAGCAGATGATAATATCAAGACACCTGCCTTCCACCCTCAGCGGATGATCTCAAGACACCTTCCGAGCGTCAGCTCACTCCCCTTCCACCCTCAGCTCCACCCTCAGCAGATGATAATATCAAGATACCTGCTGAGCGTCTGCGGATTCCGCTTCCACCATCAGCCGATGATAATCTCAAGACACCTTCCGAGCGTCAGCTCACTCCCCTTCCACCCTCAGCTCCACCCTCAGCAGATGATAATATCAAGACACCTGCCGAGCGTCTGCGGGGGCCGCTTCCACCCTCAGCGGATGATAATCTCAAGACACCTTCCGAGCGTCAGCTCACTCCCCTTCCACCCTCAGCTCCACCCTCAGCAGATGATAATATCAAGACACCTGCCGAGCGTCTGCGGGGGCCGCTTCCACCCTCAGCAGATGATAATCTCAAGACACCTTCCGAGCGTCAGCTCACTCCCCTTCCACCCTCAGCTCCACCCTCAGCAGATGATAATATCAAGACACCTGCCGAGCGTCTGCGGGGGCCGCTTCCACCCTCAGCGGATGATAATCTCAAGACACCTTCCGAGCGTCAGCTCACTCCCTTTCCACCCTCAGCTCCACCCTCAGCAGATGATAATATCAAGACACCTGCCGAGCGTCTGCGGGGAGCGTCTGCGGGGGCCGCTTCCACCCTCAGCGGATGATAATCTCAAGACACCTTCCGAGCGTCAGCTCACTCCCCTTCCACCCTCAGCTCCACCCTCAGCAGATGATAATATCAAGACACCTGCCGAGCGTCTGCGGGGGCCGCTTCCACCCTCAGCGGATGATAATCTCAAGACACCTTCCGAGCGTCAGCTCACTCCCTTTCCACCCTCAGCTCCACCCTCAGCAGATGATAATATCAAGACACCTGCTGAGCGTCTGCGGGGGCCGCTTCCACCCTCAGCGGATGATAATCTCAAGACACCTTCCGAGCGTCAGCTCACTCCCCTTCCACCCTCAGCTCCACCCTCAGCAGATGATAATATCAAGACACCTGCCGAGCGTCTGCGGGGGCCGCTTCCACCCTCAGCCGATGATAATCTCAAGACACCTCCCTTAGCTACTCAGGAGGCTGAGGCAGAAAAACCACGCAAACCCAAGAGGCAGAGGGCGGCTGAGATGGAACCACCTCCCGAACCCAAGAGGCGGAGGGTCGGTGACGTGGAACCGTCACGCAAACCCAAGAGGCGGAGGGCCGCTGACGTGGAACCATCATCACCCGAACCCAAGAGGCGGAGGGTCGGTGATGTGGAACCGTCACGCAAACCCAAGAGGCGGAGGGCCGCTGACGTGGAACCATCATCACCCGAACCCAAGAGGCGGAGGGTCGGTGACGTGGAACCGTCACGCAAACCCAAGAGGCGGAGGGCCGCTGACGTGGAACCATCATTACCCGAACCCAAGAGGCGGAGGTTGAGCTGAGAAGAGGCCAGTGCACTCAAGCCTGAGCAATAAGAATAAAACCGAGTAGAACAAAATAAAAAATTCAAAAAACAAAACAAAACCCACACTCCAAAAACTAACAAAGAATAAATAAATAATATAAAAATAAAATAAATACTGCAGTCCTTATGTTATTGCTTTGTTTCGATATCTGGTATGATTGCCTGAGGGACCTGAGGTTTTTAATCATAGGGGTTTTTTTTTAATCTTTAGAAGTGGTTGGTTATGTAAAATATTATTATTATTTTTTTTGAGACTGGATTTTGCTGTGTCACCCAGGCTGGAGTGCAGTGGCTCGATCACAGCTCACTGCAGCCTCAACCTCCTGGGCTTCAAGCAATCCTCCTGCCCCAGCCTCCCAAGTAGCTGGGATCACAGATGATGTGTGCCACCACGCCTGGCCAATGTTAAAAAATCCTTTAACTTTTTTGTAGAGATGCACTCCTGGACTCAAGCGATCCTCCTACTTGTCCCGACCACCAGCCTCTTTCTGATAAACATTTACACTGTTTATTATCTGATGCCATTTCTATCTTCTTCCTTGTCGTCCAGACATCAAAGAATTAGGTTTCTTCAGGGTTTTCTTTTTCAAGTGCTCAGTGTTAAAGATCACTCACATTAGGGCCACACACCACGGCTCATGCCTGTAATCCCAGCACTTTGGGAGCCCGAGGCGGGCAAAGCACTTGAGGTGGGGAGTTTGAGACCAGCCCAGCCAACTTGGGGAAACCCCACCTCTACTGAAAAAAATACAAAAATTAGCTGCGCGTCATGGTGCATGCCTGTAGTCCCAGCCACTTGGGAGGCTGAGGCACGAGAATCGCTTGAACCCAGGAGGCAGAGGTTGTAGTGAGCCGAGATCACATCAGCACACTCTAGCCTGGGTGACAGAGCGAGACTGACTCAAAAAATAAATAAAATAAATATCACTTACATTAGATATACCCAAGGGGTGGTCTATAGAGACTTGGAAGCAGTGGTTATTGCAACAGGGGCACGGAAGTCATCTGGCTATGCCAGGATGCCCAGGGGATACTCGGGGTGGGTGGCATGGTGGTGCTGGGGACTCACCGCACAGGACGCTCTGATTGACGCACTGCCAGGAGTAGCGCTCTGTCTTGGGGCTGCAGCCGGCCTCCTCAGCTCGAGTGTAACATCAGTCGTGGCCATGGCAGCACCTGCGGATGTCACATGGGCAGGACAGCAGGTGGGTGAAGCTCTCTCCTGGCCCTCCTCTCTTGCCAGGACTATGGGTGACTGAAGACCCCCAGGGAGGCACAGCATCCTCTTATCTAAGATTTTTTTTTTTTTAAGAGACAGGGTCTTTCTCTGTCGCCCAGGCTGGACTGCAGAGGCACAATCATAGCTCACGGCAGCCTTGAACTCCTGGGCTCAAGCGATCCTCCCACTTCAGTGTCCCAAGTAGCTGAGACTACAGGCACACGCCAGCATGCCCGGCTGGTTTTTTAATTTGTATTTCCTTTGAGACAGCGTATCTCTCTGTTGCTCAGGCTGGAGTGCAATGGCTCAATCAGCTCACTTTAGCCTTGAACTCCCGGGCTCAAGTGATACTGCCACCTCAACCTCCCAAGTCTGCTACTACAGGAACACAAACTCCTTTTTTAAATTTTTTATGGATATGGGGTCTCACTATGTTGCCTAGGCTGGTCTCGAGCTCCCAGGCTCAGCAGTCCTCCTACCTCAGCCTCCCCAAATGCTGGGATTACAGGTGGGAGCTACTGTACGCCTGGCCTTATCTAAGCTGTTTCCCTGAAAATCTCCGTCTTGGGTAATGATTCCATTGGCCCCACCATGCCCTGTCCTGCCTTCCTGGCTGTGCCCAAGCTTGGTCCCTGCCTGCCTGCCTGCCTCCCTCTCTGGGTCTCGAGCTCCTGTGACACATGACTCCTCTCTCTTCCTGGAGTGATCCAAGCCCTGCCACTTCCTGACTTTGCCCACACTGTACCCTCTGCCTGGGGCAACTTCATGTCTGCCCATTGTCCCTTAGGCCTCAGCCCAGGCACAAGCCCCTGCCTCCGGAGGTCATCCAGGCCTCACCAGGCTACACCCTCTCGTAAAATTGGATTCCCTCCCTTCAGGGCAGGTTTATAATGAAATCCTCCTCAGAGGCCAGGTGCGGTGACACCCATCTGTAATCCCAGCACTTTGGGAGGCTGAGGTGGGAGGATCACTTGAGGCCAGGGGGTCGAGACCAGCCTGGGCAACATAAGAGAGACTCTTGTCTCTCTTGTCTCTATAACAAATTTAAAAATTAGCTCACCAGGCCAGGCTCAGTGGCTCATGCCTGTAATCCCAACACTTTGAGAGGCCGAGGCAGGTGGATCACGAGGTCAGGAGTTCGAGAGCAGCCTGACCAACACGGCGAAACCCTGTCTCTACTAAACATACAAAATTAGCCAGGCATGGTGGCACGCACCTGTAATCCCAGCTACTCGGGAGGCTGAGGTAGGAGAATTGCTTGAACCCCGGAGGTGGAGGTTGCGGTGAGCCAAGATCACGCCATTGCAGTCCAGCCTGAGCAACAGAGCAAGACTCTGTCTCGAGAGAATAAAAACACACAAAAAATTAACTCGCCAGGATGGCACATGCCTATAGTCCTAACTACTTGGGAGGCTGAGGTGGGAGGATTCCCTTCAGCCCAGGAGTTTGAGGCTGCAGTGAGCCACTGTGATTGTGCCACTGCACTCTAACCTGGGCAAAAGCGAGACCCCAGGCTAGAGTGCATGATTTTGGGTCACTGCAACCTCCACCTCCCAGGTTCAAGTGATTCTCCTGCCTCAGCCTCTTGAGTAGCTGGGACTACAGGCATGTGCCACCACGTCTGGGTAATTTTTGTATTTTTAGTAGAGACAGGGTTTAGTAGAGACCATGGTGAAACCCCATCTCTATTAAACAAATCTCTACTAACCCCATCTCTACAAAAAACGGCTGGGCGTGGTAGTGCACACCTGTAATTCCAGCTACTTGGGAGGCTGAGGCACGAGAATCATTTGCATCTTGGAGGCAGAGTTTGCAGTGAGCTGAGATCGCACCACTGCACTCCAGCCGGGATGACAGAGCAAGACCCTGTCTCAAAAAAAAAAAAAAAAAGAAAAAAGAACAAACAACAGCAACAACAACAAAAACCTCTGTGTCAATCACAGCCTTCGAGCTAGGGGAGAGGCGGCCGAATTCTGCCCTCCGCTAACGAGCTATAGCTTTGTGGAAATGGGCGAGTGGCGTGCCCTTGTGAGCCTCAGGGCCGCATCTGTAAAATGGGCATAACTGTCATGCCTGTCTTTAAGAACAGCCTTGGGGGTAAATGAGTGGAACTCATGGAAAGATCTCAGCCCACAACCTTCCACAGAACAGGCGCTTCTCACACAGTAAGTAGCAGGAGTGCAGAGGCTGCAGGCATGAATCCAGTCAGACTGCAGACTGCCTGGGTTCAAGTCCCAGCTCCCACGTCTTGGTAACTAAGTGGCCTCAGACAAGTTACTTAGTATTTCTTCTTCTTCTTTTTTTTTTTTTTTTTCAGACGGAGTTTTGCTCTGTCACCCAGGCTGGAGTGCAGTGGTGTGATCTCGGCTCACTGCAACCTCCACCTCCCGGGTTCAAGCAATTCTCCTGCCTCAGCTTCCTGAGTAGCTGGAATTACAGGAACCTGCCACCACATCCAGCTAATTTTTGTATTTTTAGTAGAGACAGGGTTTCACCATGTTGGCCAGGATGGTCTCGAACTCCTGACCTCGTGATCTGCCTGCCTCAGCCTCCCAAAGTACTGGGATTATAGGCGTGAGCCACCGCACCTGGACACATTACTTAATATTTCTGTGCCTTGGTTTCTTCATCTGTGAAATGGGATTGTTGTGAGAACGCAAAGGGATTCCCAGGGCAGTTCCTAGTGCATAGTCTGGCTGCCTTTGTGTGTGTGTGTGTGTGTGCATGTGTGTGTGTGTTTAATATAGAGACAGGGTCTCACTATGTTGCCTAGGCTGGTTTCAAACTCCTGGGCTCCAGTGATCCTCCTGCTTCCACCCAAAGTGGTGGGATAACAGGTGTGAGTCACCACACCTGGTCACTTTATATTATTTTTTTCTTTTGAGACAGGGTCTCGCACTGTTGCCCAGGTTGGAATGCAGTGGTGCAATCTCAACTCACTGCAAACTCCACCTCCCGGGTTCAAGTGTTTCTCCTGCATCAGCCTCTTGAGTAGCTGGTACTATAGTCACCCGGCTCCTTGCCTGGCTAAGTTTTGTATTTTTAGTAGAGATGCGGTTTAGTGATTCTCCTGCATCAGCCTCTTGAGTAGCTGGTACTATAATCACCTAGCTCCTTGCCCAGCTAATTTTTGTATTGTTAGTAGAGATGCGGTTTTTTTTTTTTTTTTTGAGATGGAGTTTCGCTCTTGTTGCCTAGGCTGGAGTGCAGTGGTGCTATCTCGGTTCACCACAGCCTCCGCCTCCTGGGTTCAAGCGATTCTCCTCCTCAGCCTCCCGAGTAGCTGGGATTACAGGCATGCGCCACCGCACCTGGCTAATTTTGTATTTTTAGTAGAGACGGGGTTTCCCCATGTTGGTCAGGCTAGTCTCGAACTCCTGACGTCAGGTGATCTGCCTTCCTCGGCCTCCCAAAGTGCTGGGATTACAGGCATGAGCCAGCATGCCAGGCTGGCCCTTTTTTTTTTTTTTTTTTTTAATCACTTAACATATATCTTGGAGAACTTTCCATTTTGGGAGTTAAAGAGATTTGTTTGTTTTGAGACAGGGTCTCCCTCTGTGGCCCAGGCTGGAGCTGGACCTTGGCTCAGTCCAACTTCCACCCCCCGGGCTCAAGCAATCCTCCCACTTCAGCCTTCCAAGTAGCTGGGTCTATGGGCACATGCCACCACATCCCGCTACTTTTTATAGTTTTTGTAGAGATAGGATTTTACCATGTTGCCCAGGCTGGTCTTGAACTCCTGAGCTCAAGTGATCCACCTGCTTCAGCCTCCCAAAGTACTGGGATTACAGGCATGAGCCATCTTGCCCAGCCTGTTTTTTATTCAATATCTACTAAGTGCCAACTACCATAGAGGACATAAAGATGATTCAGTCTCTGCAGAAGTCATTTTCTCTCTCTTTCCTGTTGTACAGCACAAAATTAATGGACTAAATAGTCTGTCACTAGATAAAGAAGCCCTAAGTAATCAGGCACTTGCTGCAGTTTTTACAAAGTTTAAAAAGCCATATGAAACACAGTATACTCCAAGTAATAAGAGGCAAAATATGCGAAGTGTTACTGCTGGGAATTTACGGACTATTCTTTTCTACAATATATCTGCTGTGGTCTGAATGTGTTCCCCAAGATTCATATGTTAAAACTTAACCACCAGTCTGGTAGTATTAAGAGGTGGGGCATCATTAAGTCATGAGGGCATGGGATTAGTAACCTCATAAAAAGGTTGGCAGGAACGAGCTAGGCCCTTTCATTGCCCTTACATCCCTCTGTCACTTGAAGACACAGCACTGGTCCCCCCGGGAGGACATAGCAGCAAGGTGCCATATTGGAAATGGCCACCATGCCCTCACCAGATACCAACCTGCTGGTAACTTAATCTTGGCCTTCCTAGCCTCCAGAACTGTGAGAAAGAAATTTCTGGGTTTTGTTTGTTTGTATGTATGAGACAGGGTCTCTGTCACCTCGGCTGGAGTGCAGTGGCACGATCTCAGCTCACTGCAACCTCTGCCTCCTGGGTTCAAGTGATTCTCCCACCTCAGCCTCCCGAGTAGCTGGGATTACAGGTATGCACCACCACACCCTGCTTTTTTTTTTTTTTCTTAGCGTTGTACAGATAGGGTTTCGTCATGTTGCCCAGGCTGATCTCGAACTCCTAAGGTCACACGATCCACCTGCCCTGGCCTCCCAGCATGCTGGGATTAAAGGCGTGAGCCACTGTGCCTGGCCAAAATTTCCATTTTTTATAAATAACCCAGTCTCTGGTACTTTCTTATAGCCACACGAACAGATAAAGACTGTACCTATCTGTTGGCTGGGCGCAGTGGCTCACGTCTGTAATCCCAGCACTTCGGGAGGCTTAGACAAGTGGATCACGAGGTCAGGAGATCGAGACCATCCTGGCTAACATGGTGAAACCCCGTCTCTACTAAAAATACAAAAAATTTAGCTGGGCGCGGTGGCGGGCGCCTGTAGTCCCAGCTACTCAGGAGGCTGAGGCATGAGAATGGCATGAACCTAGGAGGCGGAGCTTGCAGTGAGCCGAGATCGTGCCACTGCAGTCCGTCCTGGGCGAAAGAGCGAGACTCCGTCTCAAAAAACAAACAAACAAACAAGAGGTCCAGAGTGTGACAACATGGCCTTGCAACCTTGTGCTCAGGGACCCTGGAGCCAGTCCTTCATAGGACTGCTGGAACTCCCCACCCTGGGACTGCAGGCTCTGCCTGGCTGCAATCAAGAATCCCCTGAGGCCAGGTGTGGTGGCTCACGCCTGTGATCCCAGCACTTCGGGAGGCTTAGGTGGGCAGATCACCTGAGACCAGGAGTTCGAGACTAGCCTAGCCAACGTGCTAAAACTCCGTCTCTACTAGAAATACAGAATTAGCCAGGCGTGGTGGCGGGTGCCTGTAATCCCAGCTACTCAGGAGGCTGAGGCAGGAGAAGTGCTTGAACCCGGAAGTGGAGGTTGCAGTGAGCTGAGATTGCGTCACTGCACTCTAGCCTGGGTGACAGAGCAGAATCCGTCTCAAAATAAAGAAAGAAAGAATCCCCTGGGGATCTTGGATTTGATCCTGGTGCCAAGGGAATTGGATTTCCTTGGTCTGGGTAGTGCCTTGGCATGTGTATTACGATTATCATTTGCCAATGATTATGAATTTTTAAATTTCACACAGCTTTGGGGAAGCATAGAATCTGGACTTGTTCAGAACAATCAGCTATTGACACCAGAGGCTGCCTCTGGGTTATAATTGGATAATTATCCCTTCCTGGTGCAGACATTAGTGGCTCTCTTGTGCTTGGCCATGAACCGTTTGCTGTGTCCTCCATGTGGCCAAGCATCAAAAGGATAATGTTTTCATTTTTTAATTTTTGTGGGTAGATAGTAGGCATATATATGTATGGGGTGCATGAGATGTTTTAATACAGGCATGCAATGCATAATAATCACATCAGGGTAAATGGGGATCCATTACATCAAGCATTTATCCTTTGTGTTACAAACAATTCAATTACAC
Source organism: Homo sapiens (assembly GCF_000001405.40). NCBI lineage: Eukaryota > Metazoa > Chordata > Mammalia > Primates > Hominidae > Homo > Homo sapiens. The sequence goes on along the minus strand of NW_017852933.1, from coordinate 218,702 downwards.
TCTTTGAGTTATTTAAAAATGTACAATTGGCTGGGCACAGTGGCTCTCACCTGTCATCCCAGCACTTTGGGAAGCTGAGGCAAGCGAATCACTTGAGGTCAGGAGTTTGAGACCAGTCTGGCCAACATGGTGAAACCCCGTCTCTACTAAAAATACAAAAATTAGCTGGGCGTGGTGGCACTTATCTGTAATCTCAGCTACTTGGGAGGCTGGGGCAGGAGAATCACTTGAGCCCAGGAGTTCGAGACTAGCCTGGGCAATTTAGCAAGACCCCATCTCAAAAACAAAGCTACAGCTTAAAAGAAAATCAGACCATGTCACTCTCTGCTTAAGGCCTTCAAGGGTTTCCTCATGCATTCAGGATAGAATCCGAAGTCCTTAGAATGACCCAGAGGGACTGACACAGTTGGGCCTGGCCTCATCCCATGGCAGTCTCCTGCTCGTTCAATTAGGCTGTGATGCACTAGTCCCTCCCCCACGTGCTCCCCAGATTTATTTCATTTTATTTTATATTTTTTTGAGACAGGGTCTTGCTCTGCTGCCCAGCCCGGAGGGCAGTGGTGTGATCATAGCTCACTGCAGCCTCGAACTGCTGGGCTCAAGCTATGCTCCCACCTCAGCCCCTCAAAATATGATGATTACAAGCATGAGCTACTGCACCCAGCCCCTAGCTTTAAATATTTAAAGCATCTAAACATAGAAGAGTTGAAAAAGTGGTATAATTGTCACTCATACACCTATCCTGAAATTCAATAATTACCATTTTGTCATATTTTCTTTGTCTGTGTGCATGTGTGTATTTTGCTGAAATGTTAATTAATTTATTTATTTGAGATGGAGTCTCGCTCTAATGCTCAGGCTGGAGTGCAGTGGCATGATCTTGGCCCACTGCAACCTCCGCCTCCTGGGTTCAAGTGATCCTCCTGCCTCAGCCTCTTGAGTAGCTGGAATTATAGGCACCTGCCACCATGCCCAGCTAATTTTTTGTATTTTTTGTAGAGACGAGGTTTCATCATGTTGGCGAGGCTGGTCTTGAACTCCTGACCTCAAGTGATCCGCCTGCCTCGGCCTCCCAAAGTGCTTGGATTTCAGGCGTGAGCCACTGCGCCTGGCCAACATTTAAAAGTTAGTTGTAAGCCAGGCATGGTGGTGTGGGCCTGTAGTCCCAGCTATTGGAGAGGCTGAGGCAGGAGGATCGCTTGATCTCAGGAGTTTGAGGCTGCAGTGAGCTACGATCATGCCACTGCACTCCAGCCTGGGTGACAGAGCAAGACCCTGTCTCTAAAATAATAATAATAATAAATAAGTGAAATAAAAGTTAGCTGTAGATATCATGTCACTTGACCCCTATAATGACTTCAATGTGAATCTCCTAAAAATAAAGACATCTTCCCTTATAGCCAGCCACATGTCACCACCCTACCCAAGAAAATCAATAGAAATTTTCTAATATTGAGTCCACGTTCAAATGAACCCAATTATTCCCTGAATGCATTTTAAAGATGTTTAATTTCCAAATCAGGACCCAATCAGGTTTGCACATTGTGGTTGGCTCCAGTGTCTCTTTGGAGTCTCCTAGTCTGGAACTGGCACTTCACAGTGTGGTTTGGGACCAGCGGCATGAGCATCACCTGGGAATTTGCTAGAAATGCAACTTCACAGGCCTCACTCCCAACCTGAATCAAATTCTGGGGTGGGGTCCAGGAATCTGTTTTAACAAGCCAGGTGATTTTTTTTTTTTTTTTTTTTTGAGACAGGGTCTCGCTCTGTCACCCAGGCTGGAGTGCAGTGGCATGATCTCAGCGCACTGCATCCTCCGCCTCCCAGGTTCAGGTGATTCTCCTGCCTCAGCCTCCCGAGTAGCTGGGACTACAGGTGCCTGCCACCACGCCCAGCTAATTTTTGTATTTTTAGTAGGGATGGGGTTTTGCTATGTTATTCAGTCTGGTCTGGAACTTCTGACCTCAAGCAATCTGTCCACCTCAACCTCCCAAAGTGTTGGGATTATAGGCATGAGCCACTGTACCTGGCCTCAGCTAGTTATCTTCATGGCTGTCTCTTCCTTTTATTTTATTTAATAATAATAATATTATTATTTTTGTGGAGATAGGGTCCCACTATGTTGCCTAGGCTGCCCTTGAACTCATGGCCTCAAGTGATTCTCTTGTCTTGCCTCCCAAGGCCCTAGAATTACTGATGTGAGCCACTGTGCCTGGGCTTTCTTAGTTCTGTGCTCATTAGTTCTTCTCTCTTTCTCTCCCTCCGTCTCTCTATTTTCCCCCTTTCCCTCTCTTCTGTTCCCTCTCTCCTCTGCAAAGAAACTGATTCCTCCCTTCCTGGGCACGTATTTCCCAGCCTTCATTGCTGTTAGATGTGCTCATGTGACTGGTTCTTGCTGATGGAAGGTGGGTGGAAATGACGCGGTCCCCTGTCTGGGGCTGAGATGGTTAAGATCATGGATCTGTCTTCTCCTGTCTGCATTGTTTGCTATCTACCAGCCGAGGCCCCGAGAGACAGCAGAACCACAAGGTAGCAGTCCCTGAATCGCCATGTGGCACATCTGCCTTAGACTGTTATCTGAGCAGGTAATAAACTTCTGTGATGTTAAGCCACAGAGATTTCGGGGCTTATCTGTTCCAGCAGCCAGCATTACCGTAAGTAACAAACACATGGACTCTCTCTGCTTCTCTAGGCTTTCAACTAAACACAGCTGCCCCATGACTCCTAAGTTCTTATATTTTTAATTATAGAGGATATCGATTGGCTTCTCATCCAATTGTAACCCTCCAGGAGAGGCTGTAATGGGCCCAGCTTGGGACTCCTTGGAACCACTCCTAAAATGATCAGCTATGGCTGGTGGGGACAGTACTATGATTTGGAGATGACAGGAGGGCCCTCCACCCTTCCCTGCCAGTGAAAGGTAGGGCCATTCTTTTTTTTTTTTAATTATTATTATTTTTAATAGAGCTGAAATCTCATTATGTTGCCCAGGCTGGTCTTGAACTCCCCAGCTCAAGAGGCAGGGCCGGGCGTGGTGGCTCATGCCTGTAATCCCAGCACTTTGGGAGGCAAGGCAGGCGAGGAGGATCACCTGAAGTCAGGAGTTCAAGACCAGCCTGGCCAACATGGCGAAACCCTTTCTCTACTAAAAATGCAAAAATTAGCTGGGTGTGGTGGCAGGCGCCTGTAATCCCAGCTACTTGGGAGGCTGAGGCAGGAGAATCTCTTGAACCCAGGAAGTGGAGGTTGCAGAGAGCTGAGATTGCACCATTGCACTCCAGCCTGGGCGACAGAGTGAGACTCCATCTCAAAAAAGAAAAAAGAGGCATCAGGTCATCCTGCCTGTGACAGGAGGGCACTGCAAAATTACATGGCCAAGGGCATGGGTAGGGGGAAGGGTGAAGAGTTAGGGCCAAATAATGTAAACCTTACCTAATTTCCCACTGGAGAACACCCCCTTTCAGTCAATTACTTTGGGTGGGGCTCCAGCTCAGGGGTGGAGCAGGTGACAAAGACCTCAGCCAATCAGAGAACAACTTTGCCCATTTGGGACTACAGGCATGCACCATCATGCCTGCTAATTTAAAATATTTTTTGTAGAGGCCAGGCACCGGTGGCTCATGCCTGTAATCCCGGCACTTTGGGAAGCCGAGGCAGGCAGATCACGAGGTCAAGAAATCGAGACCATCCTGGCCAACATTGTGAAACCCTGTCTCTACTAAAAATACAAAAATTGGCTGGCCCTGTTGGTGCACGCCTGTAGTCCAGCTACTCGGGAGGCTGAGGCAGGAGAATCGCTTGAGCCCGGGAGGCAGAGATTGCAGTGAGCCAAGATTGCACCACTGCACTCCAGCCTGGGCGACAGTGCGAGACTCTGTCTCGAAAAAAAAAGAATTTTTTTTTTTTTTTGTAGAGGCAGGGTTTTGCTATGTTGCCCAGGTTGGTCTTGAACCCCTGGGCTCAAGCGATCTGTCCACCTCAGCCTCCCAAAGCGCTGGAACTACAGGCATGAGCCACTGTGCCTGGTTGACTTTTCCTTTCCAAATGAACAAGTTTGGGTTGAGTTTTCAGTCACTGAGACCAAACTGGTCCCAATGAGTACACCAGTAATCTTAGCCTCAGAGGTGTGCATCTACTCACAGAAGGGCTCAGTGGCTTCCAGTGTTCAAGGTTACTGGATTGCACAGGAGCTGTTATAGGACAAGCCCCGTGGATACTGGTGGCTCAGAGGTCTTACAGATGAGGTTTCACTGGGAACCAATCAGAACTCCCTTATTTGCAAGTAACAGACACCAAACTCGAATGGACTTGTGAGAATATGTTGGCTCATGTAATTGAAAAAGCCACTTGGGGCTGGGCGCAGTGGTTCACACCTGTAATCCCAGCACTTTGGGAGGCCAAGGTGGGGCAGATCACGTGAGGTCAGGAGTGCAAGACCAGCCTGGCCAACATGGTGAAACCCTGTCTTTACTAAAAATACAAAAATTAGTCGGGTGTGTTGGTGCGCGCCTGTAATCCCAGCTACACGGGAGGCTGAGGCAGTAGAATCACTTGAACCCGGGAGGCAGAGGTTGTAGTGAGCTGAGATCGTGCCATTGCACTCCAGCCTGGGTGACAGAGTGTGCTCCGTTTCGAAAAAGAAAGAAAAGAAAAGAAAAGAAAAAGCCATTTGGATTTCAGACACAGATCCTAGTACTCATATAATGCAATCAGAATCCATCTCTCCTCATCTCCTGGCCCTGCTTCATTTACTCTGTGCCGGCTTCATGCCTGGCCAGAATCTCCCTAAGCGGTGGCAAAGGCAGCCACCAGCAAGTCCAGGCTTACATCCCACATGCTTAGCAACTGCAGTGAAAAGAGAACACATTTTCCCCTAATAGGTACACAAAGCCAGGAGCAGCCTAGCTTGGGCTAGGGGCACACAGCTGCTGCTCCGGGATGGAATGTGCTGATTGGCTAGACCTGGGTCATGTGGCCACCCCACAGAGTGAAGGGGTGGGGTCGGCCTCCGCTGAAGGAAGGACTGGTTCAAAGGAAGCTTGGGGTGCTATCACACAAAGCAGAACGAGTGGATGCTGAACAGGCAAAAATAGCAGACGTCCGCTACATCTCATTACTCTTAGCATCTTGTGGTCCTTATTACAATTGTAATGAACTATCACTCCAAATCCTCTACCTTCTACAATCACCTCCCATTTTCCTTTTTTTAAAAAAAGTATCATTATTATTTTTTGTCTCTGTCAAAAAAAAATAATTATTATTATTATATTGTCGCCCAGGCTGGAGTGCAGTGGTGCGATCTTGGCTCACTACAACCTCCGCCTCCCGGGTTCAAGTGATTTTCCTGTCTCAGCCTCCTGAGTAGCTGGGATTACAGGCAGCCACCATTGTGCCCGGCTAATGTTTGTAGTTTTAGTACATGTTAGCCAGGCTGGTCTCAAACCCCTGACCTCAAGTGATCCACCCAGCTCGGCCTCCCAAAGTGCTGGGATGACAGGCATGAGCCAACGTGTTCAGCTAATTTTTGTATTTTTAGCAGAGATGGGGTTTTGACATGTTGGCCAGGCTGGTCTTGAATTCCTGACCTCAGGTGATCCGCCCCCCTGGGCCTCCCAAAGTGCTAGGATTATAGGTGTGAGCCACGGTGCCCGGCCCCATTTTCCTTTACCATCAACATTGAATGACTTTAGCCCACATACTAAGAAAAACCAAGGCCTGGCGTGGTGGCTCATGCCTGTAATCCCAGCACTCTACAAGGCTGTAGTGGGAGGATGGCTTGAGGCCAGGAGTTTGAGACTAGTCTGGGCAACATAGCAAGACCCTGTCCCTACAAAATAGAAATGAAGACATTAGCCAGGCCTGGTGGTGTGTGCCTATAGTCCCAGCTGTCTCAAAGGCTGAGGCAGGAGTGTCAGAGGCATTTGAACCTGAGCGACTCTATCTTGAATAGGGGCTGGGTAAAATAAGGCTAAGACCTGCTTGGCTGCATTCCCAGGAGGTTAAGGCATTCTAAGTCACAGGATGAGACAGGAGGTTGGCACAAGATACAGGTCATAAAGACCTTGCTGATAGACCAGTTTGTAGGCCAGGCACGGTGGCTCACCCCTGTAATCCAAGCACTTTGGGAGGCTGAGGCGGGCAGATCACCTGAGGTCAGGAGTTTGAGACCAGCCTGACAAACATGGAGAAACCCGTCTCTACTACAAAAATACAAAATTAGCAGGGCATGGTGGCACATGCCTGTAATTCCAGCTACTCAAGAGGCTGAGGCAGGAGAATCGCTTGAGCCCAAGAGGTGGAGGTTGCGGTGAGCTGAGATTGTGCCATTGCACTCCAACCTGGGCAACAAGAGTGAAACTCTGTCTCAAAGAAAAAAAGAAAAGGGCCGGGTGCGGTAGTTCATGCCTGTAATCCCAGCACTTTGAGAGGCCGAGGCAGGTGGATCACGAGGTCAGGAGTTCAAGACCAGCCTGGCCAATATGGTGAAACCCCGTCTCTACTAAAAATACAAAAATTAGCTGGGTGTGGTGACGTGCACCTGTAGTCCCAGCTACTCGGGAGGCTGAGGCAGAAGAATTGCTTGAACGTAGGAGTCGGAGGTTGCAGTGAGCCAAGATCATGCCACTGCACTCCAGCCTGGATGACAGAGTGAGACTCCATCTCAAAAAATAATAATAAAAATAAAAAATAAATAAATTAATTAATTAATAATAACAATAAAAAATGTTCAAAAAGGAAAACCAGGCCCCCTCCACAATGTCTCTGAGGCATCCCAAGATGGGGCTCCCCATCTCCTGAGTCCACCATGCTCAGCCCACTTCCTGGCTGTCCTTCTCTGCTCTTGGCCTCTGGAGCCATTGCCCCCTTTCTTCGCCTCCAAATCAAAACCTCTGTTTTTGTCCATTGCACCAAATCTCCACTAACCCAAGGCTGGGTGAGGAACAGTCTCCTCCCCTCAGCTGCCAGTAATTACCTCTAAATTACTTTTCTTACACCCACATTTCCACCCTAAACCAGACACTAGATGGGTGTATAGATGTTGACATTTCAGAGAGAGAGATGCTGTTTGGTGACTCTCCCATGGTGACGTGACCGTAAGTTGAGTAGTCATCTATGGCTCTGTGTGAAGGGTGTCATGGGGTCTGCGATCACTCCTTCCACTAGCCCTTGCTTTGGCCCACTTAGCTGTGACTGCTGAGGAGTTGGGAAAATTTGCATAGGCCTCAAGGAGTGTCTTGGGAAAAAAGGAATCAAGGCTACAACTCTCTTTCCTTCTGAAGTTTAATTTATTTTATTATTTTATTTTATTTATTTTAATTTTTTGAGATGGAGCTTTGCTCTATCACCCAGGCTGGAATGCAATGGTGTGATCTCGGCTCACTGCAACCTCCACCTCCTGGGTTCAAGTGATTCTCCTGCTTCAGCCTCCCCAGTAGCTGGGATTACAGGTGCCTGCCACTATGCCTGGCTAATTTTGTAGTTTTAGTAGAGATGGGGTTTCACCATGTTGGCCAGGCTGGTCTCAAACTCCTGACCTCAAGTGATCTACCCCCCTCAGCTTCCTGAAGTGCTGGGATTACGGGTGTGAGCCACTGCACCCGGACTTGAAGTTTAATGTTTTTTTTATTTTTTATTTTTGAGACGGAGTTTCACTCTTGTTGCCCAGGCTGGAGTGCAATGGTGCGATCCATAAGATTTAGGTCAAATAGAGAGATACATTTCTGTATATTCATTTTACACTTTTTATTTTTTGTAGAGACGGAGTTCTTGCTATGTTGCCCAGGCTGGTATCAAACTCCTGGCCTTAAGCAATCCTCCCAACTCAGCCTCCCAAAGTGCTGGGATTACAGGCATGAACCACTGCACCTGGCCTCATTTTACACTTTAATGGACTGGATTTTGCAGTAGTCATGATTAGGAGGGCACTGTGCACCACAAAGCCTAAGAGGTAACTAGCTTATTTGGGGTATTTTGGGAATTTTTTTTTTTTTTTTTTTTTGAGAAGGACCTTCTCTCTTGTTGCCCAGGCTGGAGTGCAATGGTGTCATCTTGGCTCTGCCTCCCATATTCAAGCGATTCTCCTGCCTCAGCATCCCAAGTATCTGGAGTTACAGGCATGCACCACCATGCCTGGCTAATTTTGTATTTTTTTAGTAGAGAAGGGGTTTCACCATATTGGTCAGGCTGGTCTCAAACTCCTGACCTCAGGTGACCCACCCAACTTGGTGTCCCAAAGTGCTGGGATTACAGGTGTGAGCCACTGCGCCTGGCCAACTCCACTGTTAAGGCAGCAGGTGCAGTGGATATTACAGCTATTCACACCCCTGCAGATAAACACAGAAGTCACCATACCACAACTATTCTCCTAACGCTGCCTTCGTCCTGAGCTTCCTGTGCTAGTGGCAAGTCAGATGCAAGGAAAATCCAGAGTAAAAATAAAAAACAATAACAGGCACAGTCTCATCAGACTGTGAAACCCTGTGAACCCTGTGAAATGAAAATTACAGATGTATGTATAAAGCAAGAATTTCAAGGCACACATTCTGACATTAACTTTGTATTAAGTGCCCTCAAATGTACTCTCTTCCCCTCTTTCAGTTCTCAAGGGAAGAGCAAATAACACTCCTTCCAAATAACACTCCTAAATCAACACCTGAAGAATGAATGATACCCTGGGCAAATATAAAACTTGCAGACCTATTTCACCCAATACCATAGAAAGAGAAAACGGTGAACTTAACCCCCTCATTAAAAGCACAAGGGGAGGCTGGGCTTGGTGGCTCATGCCTGTAAACCTAGCACTTTGGGAGGCCAAGGCAGGCGGATCACTTGAGGTCAGGAGTTTGAGACCAGCCTGGCCAATATGGTGAAACCCCATCTCTACTAAAAATACAAAAATTAGCTGGGTGTGGTGTCAGGTGCCTGCAATCCCAGCTACTCGGGAGGCTGAGGCAGGAGAATCGCTTGAACCCGGGAGGTGGAGGTTGCAGTGAGCTGAGATCACGCCACGGCACTCCAGCCTGGGGGACGGTGAGACTCCATCTTACATACAAACACACACACACACACACACACACACACACAGAAGCGTGAGGGGAACTTACTTCTCGGGCGACTCTGAGTGGCCCCTGTGCTTCCGTCCTGATGAGTTTCCATACACGTCATCTTCGTTTTCATCCACATCTTCATCATCGATGCTTTTCACATCAAGCTTCTGGTACCCAAACTCCCTGTTCAAAGACAGGGAATCAATTTTCCACGAGTTGCTGCTCTGACTTCCATTGGAGTTTGGCCCGAAGGGGCTTTCAAAGGCGGACATGATATTGACAGAGGAGCGGTCGGAGTTGTCCTCTGAGCTCTCCCCTGCCCCAGGTGTCTTTTTAAACATGTCCCCAAAGTTCTGCTCATCTTCCTCATCATCAAATGAGTTAATGTTGGTCACTTGCTTTTTCTTCTTCCGCTCCTTTTTGCATTTGGCATCTGGCAAAAAAAAAAAAAGAAAAAAAAGAAAAGATACAGTATAAGAAAAAGTAGGCAAGACAAAAGGATGATGAAACCAACTCACTTCCAGGTTGTGGAAAATACTATTCTAGTGAGAAATACACTGTAACATGAATTCAGACTTTTTAAAATCCTCAGTGAAAATCTGTGTACAGAAGATTGAGCAGAATGGATGCAGGCCTCTCCCACTGATTTAAATAAACACACCACAGAGCACACCTTGAAACTGTTCCTTCCAAGCAGTCACTTTGATGTGAAGGATGCTACCATTACCAAAATGATCTTCAATGCTTCACTTTGGAAAATATTCTCATAGCTGGTAGATGAGACCAGGAGAACCAGCTGGGGGGTGTAGTCAAGTGTTGAGCAGCCTCAAATTCCTGCCATTCCTGTGCCATGCCCCTTTGCAATGGGTCTTTGTGGCTCCTCCCAGCCAGAGGTGATGTCTATTTCTGCACCCTCTTGAATCTGGCTGGCGTAGTGCTCTGCCTTTTTTTTTTTTTTTTTAAGAGTTGGGGCATCTCGCTCTATTGCCCAGGCTGGAGTATATTGGTGCAATCATAGCTCACTGTAACCTCAAATTCCTGGGATCAAACAATCCTCTGCCCTCAGCCTCCCGAGTAGCTGGGACTACAGGTGCATGCCACAACACCCAGCTAATTTTATTATTATTTGTAGAGATGAGGTCTTGCTGTGCTTCCCAAGCTAGTCTCAAAACTCCTGGCCTCAAGCAATACTCCCACCTCAGCCTCCTAAATTGCTGGGATTATAGGCATGAGCCACCATGCCCTGCTTTTACCAAAAGAATGTGGCAGAAAGGGCCGGGTGCGGTGGCTCATGCCTATAATCCCAGCACTTTGGGAGGTCAAGGCGGGTGGATCACCTGAGGTCAGGAGTTCAAGACCAGCCTGGCAAACACGGTGAAACCCCGTCTCTATTAAAAATACAAAAAAAAAAAAAAATTAGTTGGGCGTGGTGGCAGGTGCCTGTAATCCCAGCTACTTGGGAGGCTGAGGCAGGAGAATTTCTTGAACATGGGAGGCAGAGGTTGCAGTGAGCTGAGACTGCGCCATTGCACTCCAGTCTGGGTGACAGAGCAAGACTCTGTCTCAAAAAAAAAAAAAAAAAAAAAAAGTGGCAGAAATAACACTGTGTGAGTTCTAGTAGCTAGGCGTTAAAAGGTCTCAGCTTTGCCTTTGCTCTCCTGGACAGTGGCCCTGACCCCATACATAAAGAAGCCAGTTCAGCCGACTGGAGGATGAGAGTCCATGAGTAGAATCTGAGCAGCCCCAGCACTGATTCCAGACATGTGGATGGGGCCATCTTAGATCTTCCAATCTAACCACGAGCTCCCATGAGTGAGCCGAAGGAGCCCAGCAGCAGAGCCACCATGCCAACCTACACAAAAAAGTAACGAACTGCGGTGGTTTTAAGCCACTACATTTTTAAATCACTTGTTATATAGCAAATGCTAACTGAAAAAGAAATCAAGCTTGCCTTAGTGACCAGCTCTCACAGAAGACACTTTGTGCCCCTATTTTAATCATCACACTTGGATGTAAGACACTTTGAGCCAATTCCAAAAACCCAATCTGTCTAAACCAATGTGTGATGTGGTGAGGCCTCACTGGTATAGCACAACTCTGAGATCACCTCAAAAGCAGTTCCAAAAATGGGTGGGACTGCTACTCCTGTGGGTGTAGAAATTTCAGTGTCTGTTACACAAAGCTGTCAACAGCCCTATCTCCTACAAGGTTCATGCAGGGTCACCATCAATAATTCCAAAGGGATGGCCACAGTTACTGCCTTGTTTAAGAGATTTGAGAATACTAAGTACTTAAGCCCAAAATTTCCAATTTCAACCAGATGCAGTGGCTCACACCTGTAATCCCAGCACTTTGGGAGGCCAAGGCAGGAGGATCACTTGAGGCCAGGAGTTCAAGACCAGCCTGGGCAACATGGCAAGACCCTGTCTCTACATATATACACATACATACTACAACAAAATTTCCAATTTTGCTGTAGTAACATCTTAATGTCCCAAAGGAATCAAAGGGTATTGAAAACTTCTCACCAAATTAATCTTAACTGAATCAACTTTCTTTTTTTATATTTAATTTTTTAATTAAAATTTTTTAAAAACAGGCTGGACACAGTGGCTCACGCCTGTAATCCTAGCACTTTAAGAGGCCAGGGCAGGCAGATCACCTGAGGTCAGGAGTTCAAGACCAGCCTGGCCAACATGGGGAAACCCTGTCTCTGCTAAAAATACAAAAAGAAACCAGGCATGTTGGCACATGCCTATAGTCCCATCTACTCGGGAGGTTGAGGCAGGAGAATTGCTTGAACCCAGGAGGTGGAGGTTGCAGTGAGCTGAGATCATGCCACTGCACTCCAACCCGGGCAATAGAGCGAGACTCTGTCTCAAAAAAAAAAAAAAAAAAAGTTAAAAAATTGAGACAGGGTCTCACTACATTGCCCAGGCTGGTCTAGAACCCTTGAACTCAAGTGATCCTCCTGCCTCGGCCTCCCAAAGTGCTAGGATTACAGGCATGAGACACCATGCCCAGCCTGAATCAACTCTCTTTTGCCTCCCCAGAGCCTAGAGTCAAACCTGACAACTCCTCTCTTTCCTGAGGCCTTAAATGCCATCCCCAATCAGAGGCAAGCCCAATGGCAGATGTTCCCCATAGCAGTCTATGCTTGGCTTTCATCCCTTTTATCCTAAGGATCCTAAATTATATATTTTGTCATGAACTACCCACCCACACCCATCCCAAAGGAGACTGCAGGCTACCTGCTGGCAATCTGTCTTTCCTATTCGGCTCACCGCCTAACACACAGAATACGATGAAGGAACAAATAAAGGAATGAATGAATGAGGATCAACGTCATCTGGCTCCCGGTGTCTCTCACACCCTCACTTTCCATTCGCTCTGGTTGAGCTGTTCATTTTTCCACCCAGCAATTCTCACATCTAGGTAAGGCCATCAGAGCCCTTTCAGAGTGAATGAGGATGAGAAACAGAAACACAAATGGAAAACGCAAGTGCACTGGACTCCATTCCCCTTGGAATGACTTTCAGATGATGAGGTATGTCCACCCCATCAGCCACATTCTGATTCCCTCTGCTCCGCCTCGAGCACCAGTTCCCACTCACCAGCACTGACATTCCTGGACACGACGGGCAAGGGGTCGGTCTCCTGTTCAGGTTTGATGAGGATGGAGATGGCAGAGGAGGCTGTGATCTCCCTGAACACGCTGCTCACTCCTTGCGTGGACTCCTTCAGCAAGGTCACATTCTGCGTTGACTCCTTTAAGAGGTCTGAAACGGTGGGAGCAAACTTACTCTGCCCGTTCAAATCCTTGTTGTCAATGTTAATCGCAAAGAGTATGGAGTTCGGACCTGTCCAAAAAAAGGGAAAAGTCTGGAGTGCTTGCTGATGGGCAGTCATACCACCAATAAGAGAAGACAGCTGCAGACAACAGATTACAGAAGAGGAGACACGTTGATCTTAAATAGGTATAAAAATACCTGCCACACAGAGGTTGCAGGGAGCCGAGATCGTGCCACTGCACTCCAGCCTGGGTGACAGAGCAAGACTCGGCTTCAAAAAAAAAAAAAAAAACAACCTCCCATGAAACTGGGGTCAGCAGACATCCGTTATCATGGGAGTTGAGTCATGCCACATTCTCTCCCTAACAGCCAGGAAGATGAATATGAATAAGAATTCAACTGGGAGGAGGTAAAGGCACAAGTCCCGGGATCAGGCTGCCTGGGGGTAAATCCCAGCACTGCCACCTACTAGCTACAAGACCTTGATCCAGGCTGGGCATGGTGGCTCACACCTGTAATCCCAGCACTTTGGGAGGCTGAGACAGGCGGATCACCTGAGGTCGGGAGTTCGAGACCAGCCTGACCAACATGGAGAAACCCCATCTCTACTAAAACTACAAAATTAGCCAGGCGTGGTGGTGCATGCCTATAATCCCAGCTACTCAGGAGACTGCAGCAGGAGAATCGCTTGAACCCAGGAGGCAGAGGTTGTGGTGAGCCAAGATCATGCCATTGCACTCCAGCCTGGGCAACAAGAGTGAAACACCGTCTCAAAAAAAAAAAAAAGACCTTGGTCCAGCAACTTATCATCTCCCTGTACTCCAGTCGCCTTATCTGTAAGATGGGGACAATATTATCTTCCTCACAGGATTGTAAGTATTAAAGGCAATCTCTCACAAAACACTCAGCTCCATAAACCATCAAATGTGCACTGGTAACATCATCATCATTAATGTGGACAGAAACTTACACTGGGCATCTTATGATCTACAAAGGAAATCATGGTCAAATTCTTTTTCTCATCAATGGACAGGACTAACATAAGCCCAGATATATGAGTTTAGTATAAATTTTCAAGGAAAAACAAAAAGGAGGCAACAAAGAACTTGGAAAGAGGAAGCAAGTTGCCCACTTCAGTCCAGCTGATTCCACCTTCACCCTTTGAGTCAAAGGGTGAACAATGTAACAGTCCACCGACTAACATCAACCCAGGGTCTCTCCATGTTGATTCGTCGTGTGTGCGACTCCTGATCTCACATGATTCTCTCACAGCCCCATGAAGATGACTGCTGAGACAGCATGATTCCCACCTCACAGAGAGGAAAGAAAAGGCAGCAAAGCTTACGGCATCTGCCCCAGGTCACCAGGTAGCAAGGAGTAAAGCCAGGATTCAAAGATAGGTCTCCCACCTCCAATTCCCCGCAATGCATATTACATCTCCAAAGCCCAACTAAAAACCTTCAAATCTTCGCTTTCTCTGCCAGGGTCTCACATTCTAGATAAATGGACCCAACACTGTGGTTGGGCATGGTGGCTCACACCTGCAGTCCCAACGCTTTGGAAGGCCAAGGCGGGTGGATCACTTGAGCCCAAGAGTTCGAGACCAGCTTGACCAGCATAGTGAAACTCTATCTCTATTAAAATACAAAAATTAGCTGGGCGTGGTGGCAGGCGCCTGTAATCCCAGCTTCTCGGAAGGTTGAGATAGAAAAATGACTTGAACCCAGGAGGCGGAGGTTGCAGTGAGCTGAGGTTGCATCACTGCACTCCAGCCTGGGTGACAGAGTGAGGCTCTCTCTTTAAAGAAATAAAAATTTAAAAACCAACATTCAGTGCTAGTAAAAGAAGGACAGCAGCAAGTGACTCATTGAGTTGTTGAGGGACAGAAGAATCACAACATTCCATGGCGCTGTGGAACTGCCCCAAGGCAGCCCCTCTGCCATGTGTCACAAGGCCTGGCGCCCTGATCTGGGCCAGGCTTACCTGCTGCCATGGTAGGAAGCATACTGGACCTCTCTTCATCCATCACAAAAGACCAGTCTTCATAAAAAGTACTGCAGATTGAAAGAGAAAAGGAAATCGTTCTTAGCAGTGGTTCTCTGTGTCCATTAACCAGGAAATTCCATTAGACGGCTCCCTGGAAGATCTGCACCTGGTCACCCCAGGAGGGATATGATTTGTCTGAGGTCTCTGCTGGTTTAAAGCTTCTGGTTACAAACAGAAGATTGAACACATACATCCTACAACTTCCTCGCTGGTCCCCCCCGACCCTCAGCTTTAGAGTACTAAAATAGACATGATATGTAAATGTATTTATAAAGCAGCAAAGTGGAACGGAGCAGTCAGGTGGGTGACTTCCACTCAAGCAATGTCCCCAAGAGACAGACAGGAAATCCAAGCCTGCCAACAGGGCTCGCCTGATTTGCCTAATACAAGAAGAGACCATTTCAGACAGAAATTACAGAGCCTCTATGGCTTCATCAACCAGGGCATTTAATATAATGCCTGCCTTGGCCAGGCACGGTGGCTCACACCTGTAATCCCAGCACTTTGGGAGGCCAGGGTGGGAGGATCACTAGAGGTCAGGAGTTCAAGACCAGCCTGGCCAACACAGTGAAACCCCATCTCTACTAAAAATATAAAAAATTAGCTGGGCATGGTGGCAGGTGCTTGTAATCCCAGCTACTCGGGAGGCTGAGGCAGGAGAGTCGCTTGAACCCAGAGGCTTGGTAAGCAGAGATTGCGCCACTGTACTCCAGCTTGGGCGAAAGAGCGAGACTCCACCTCAAAATAATAATAATAATAATAATAATAATAATAATAATAATAATATAATGCCTGCCTAGGTTACAGGCCTGAAAGCCCACATTATCCTTGGAAAAGGCTAGGAGGCTAAAAATGCCCCACAAATCTAGATGGCAGTTGGGGTAGGGGTGTCAAGGAAGCCTACAGGGCCTGTCCAAGGTCATCTAGCCAATAAATGGTCCAGCCAGGGCTTAAAAGCAGGTCTCCCGAGTCCAGCTTCCAAGCTCTCTCTGACTTCCTGTTAAGCAATGGAAACCAAAAATCCCCAGTGCCATAACTTCCCCGCCAGGTCATTGAATTCTAAATTAATCAAGGAAAAAGTCAATTTCACTAAAGCAAAGTCAGGGATACATGACCTGTAGTTGGGTGAGAGACTGGAAAAATTAGCCACTGAAGTGACTGAATACAACTGACAGAAAGAAAGAAGAGGAGCATTTCCAATATACTTTCCCAGAAAATGTTAGTAGACGTACAAACCACATGCTCAAGCTGACATTCTGACTGCACCTGATTCCTAAAATCATAATCCTTTAAAAATCTGAGCCCGTTTTCACGCATCTAAATGAATGTGTTTTCCCAACATCCAGCTAGGGAAGTGGCTGGTGATACAGGTAAAGTCAACTGTGATTCTTACCTGCTGGACTGACTTCTCCTTGTTGGTCACTTCAACTTTGAGACTGAGTATGTAACTCTGAACTACCCGTAAATGATATGCTGGAAGGAGCTTCACAGAAATTCACTTCAAAAAAAAGGAGTAGGTCAGACACAGTAGCTCACACCTGTAATCCCAGCACTTTGGGAGGCCGAGGTGGGAGGATCACGAGGTCAGGAGATTGAGACCATCCTGGCTAACATGGTGAAACCCCGTCTCTACTAAAAATACCAAAAATTAACCAGGCATGGTGGCGGGCACTGGTAGACCCAGCTACTAGGGAGGCTGAGGCAAGGAGTATCGCTTGAACCCAGGAGGCAGAGGTTACAGTGAGCCAAGATCGCACCACTACACTCCAGTCTAGGCAAAAAAGCGAGACTTCTTCTCCAAAAAAAGGAAAGAAAGAAACAGGAGTGTGTTTTCCTTAACTAAAGCTGGTTAATGCCCTAGAGGTCCAGACATTCTCAGCCTCCGAACTCTGACCGTGAGCAGTACACAGGTGTCGTCAGTGTCAGTCCTCCTGGCTCCCAAGCCCTCCCATTTTGGACACATAGAGTCTTGCCATACAATTGAACAAGGAGCCACAGGCAACAGAGAACTTTAAGGGTATTTTTAAGAGCCCCAGTGCACAATCCCAGAAGATCTGAGACATTACCAGTAGAGAGGTGACCACAGCAGTAGATAAAGCAGAAGAGGAGACCTAAACTAGGGAACACAGGGCAAGATATAAAATCAAGGGAACATGCCACACTACTCACAAACTGCCCACTTATTGAATTCAGTGAAATTTCACTGTTGAAGATCTGGGCGGTGCTGATCAGGAAGTTACTTAAGGAACCAGAACAGGATTCATCAGGGTCACTCCGTATCACTCAAGGACACAAAACAACTTGTCTAGTCCACCATTCTCAGAGCAAAAGTAATGGCCACGGCCAGGCACAGTAGCTCACGCCTGTAACCCCAGCACTTTGGGAGGCCTAGGCGGATCACCTGAGGTCTGGAGTTCGAGACCAGCCTGGCCAACATGATTAAACCCCGTACGCACTAAAAATACAAAAAATCAGCTGGGTATGGTGGTACACGCCTGTAATCCCAGCTACTCAGGAGGCTGAGGCAGGAGAATCACTCGAACTGGGGAGATGGAGGTTGCAGTGAGCCCAGATAGCAGCAGTGCACTCCAGCCTGGGCAACAGAGTGAGGCTCCGTCTCAAAAACAAACAAACAAACAAAAATGACTTCCTTCCCCAATGTAAAATTTCCATGTGTTTTTCAGTTTGGGATTGAATGAATGCAAGAATCCCAAATTAAAATTCTGCACCTGTCATGGTAGCTCATACCTGTAATCCCAGCACTTTGGGAGGCTGAGGCGGGAAGATTACTTGAACCTAGGAGTTCGAGGCCAGCCTGGGCAACACACTGAGACCCCATCGCTACAAAACAATTTTTTAAATTAGCCAGGCAGGGTGGCATACACTTAGGGTCCTAGCTGCTCAGGAGGCTGAGGTGGGAGGATTGCTTGAGCCAGGGAGGTCCAGGCTACAATGACCCGTGTTCATGCCACTGCACTCCAACTTGGGAAACAAAGCAAGACCCTGTCTTTAAAAAAAAAAAAAAAAAAAAAAAATCCAGAAAGTGAAGAGGAAGCTATGTCCTAGGACAACAGCTCTCTCCACATCCAAGCTGGCTGTATGCAAGTGCCATGCCGAGCCCGTTACAGGCAGTCTCTCAATGATTCTCCCCCAAGTTTCTCCACAGCTCAGCAGAACACTCCGGAGCTGTCAGAGGGAGGCCCACTTGCCCCAGATCGGGGAACTAGGATGAAAATCCAGGTGGTCTGACTACAGACTCCAAGATCTTCACCCCTTGCTCCATCCCATTCCAGGTCCCATCCCGGCCACGTACCTGAGCCTGCAGCGGTCGGCCAGGAGCATGTGCAGGTAGCGCTCCAGGGAGTGTTCGTTGAGGGCACAGCGCAGCCAGGCGCGGCCCCAGCCCACGTCTGAGGCGATGTGGCGCAGGGAGTAGAAGCGCTTGCAGCTCGTGCTTGTTGAGGACCTCCTTCACGTAGTACCAGAACACGGGCTCTACGGAGAGAGGGTGCAGGCGCCTGGCACTCGGCCTGGGGCACTCAGCACTGGGAGAGGAACACACAAAGCCTCTAGGCAATGTTGGAGATTGTAACAGAGTATCCCCTTAGCATGGAAAAGGTAGGAGATAACACCAAAGACATGGTATCAACCCAGATACTCATCAATAGTGGACTAGATAAACAAAATGTGGTACATTTACACAAAGGAATACTATGCAGCCATGAAAAAGAACAAAATTGTGTCCTATGCAGCAACATGGATGACTGGAGGCCATTATCCTAAGCGAATCACACAGAAATAGAAAACGAAATAGTGGATAGTCTCACTTATAAATGGAAGCTTAACACTGGGTACACACAGACATAAAGATGGCAAACAACAGACACTGGGGGCTGCTAGAGAGAGTAGAGAGGGAGGAGAGCACGGACGGAAAAACTACCTACCAGGTACTATGTTCACTACCTGGGAGATGGGTTCAATCGTGCCCTGAACCTCGGCATCACACAATGTACCCAGGTAACAAACCTGCACATGTACACCCTGAATCTAAAATAAAAATTGAGGCTGGGAACGGTGGCTCATGCCTGTAATCGCAGTACTTGGGAGGCTGATGTGGTGGATCACTTGAGGCTCGGAGTTCAAGACCAGCCTGGCCAACACAGTAAAACCCCATCTCTACTAAAAATGCAAAAATTAGCTGGGCATGGTGGCGCACACCTGTAATCCCACCTACCGGGCAGGCTGAGGCAGGAGAATCACTTAAAACCAGGAGACGGAGGTTGCAGTGAGCTGAGATTGCACCACTGCACTCTGGCCTGGTGACAGAACAAGACTCAGCCTCAAAAACAATAATGAAATAAGAAAAAAAGGTGGGAGATACAGAAGAGTATATCAAAAATAAAAATGACTCTAAAACCTCTCATCCAGAAAAGACCAATATTGACATTTTCAAGAATTTTCAGTCTTTTTTACTGCACTTTTCTTTTTTATAAAAAAAATCAACATTTGCTGTAGGCTGAATTATAATCCTCAAAGATATCGACGTCATAAGCTCCAGAATTCTCTGAATATTACCTTATATAGTAAAAGAGTCTGTGCAACTGTGTTAGGATCTGGAAACTGGGAGGTTATCTTGCATAATCCCTGTGAGGCTGATGTAATCACAAGATCTTCATAAGAGGCAGGCAGAGAGAAACTTGACACAGAAGAGGAGGACATGATGTGGCCAGAGAAGCAAAGACTAGAATGGGGCAGCCATAGCCAAGGAAGGTGGGCAGCGAGCAGACTCTGGAAGGGCCAGAAACGGATTCGGCCCTGAAGCCTCTGGAAGGAAGCAGCCCTGCTGTCACCTTGACTTTAGCCCAGTGAAATGGATTGGGGACTTCTGGCCTCCAGAACTGTGGGAGAATAAATTATAGTGTTTAAAAGCCACCAACTGTGTATTACTTTGTTACAGCAGCCAGAAGAAAAGAACACATCAGGCCAGGCACAGTGGCTCATGTCTGTAATCCCAGCACTCCAGGAGGCCGATGCGAGCGGATCATCTGAGGTCAGGGGCTCGAGACCAGCCTGGCCAACATGGTGAAACCCCATCTCTACTAAAAATACAATAATGAGCCAGGCATGGTGGCAGGTGCCTGTAATCCCAGCTACACAGGAGGCTGAGGCAGGAGAATCACTTGAACCCAGGAGGCAGAGGTTGCAGTGAGCCGAGATCGCACCACTGTACTCCAGCCTGGTCGACAGAGCAAGACTCTGTCTCAAAAAAAAAAAACAGGCTGGCGCGGTAGCTCACGCCTGTAATCCCAGCACTTCGGGAGGCCAAGGCAGGCAGATCACGAGGTCAAGAGATCGAGACCATCCTGGACAAAATGGTGAAACCATGTCTCCACTAAAAATACAAAAATTAGCTGGGCATGGTGGCACACGCCTGTAGTCCCAGCTACTTGGGAGGCTGAGGCAGGAGAATCACTTGAACCCAGGAGGCGGAGGTTGCAGAGAGCCAAGATCATGCCCCTATACTCCACTCTGTCTCAAAAAATAAATAAATAAAACCACATCATATTGTATGAGTGTATACGCATACATATTTGTATGTGTAATTTTGTATCCTGATTCATTTATTTTCTTGTCTAGAGCATGAACATTTTCCTATTACAATTAAAAGTCTTTCAAAGATGATTTTTGATGGCTTTCCAGTAAAACAACTATTTCCATACTGCTAAGGGCATGGCACATGGCCAACTTTCCCTCTGTACAGTAAAGAACACCCCTATACATAAATAATTGTCCTCATTCCTAGTTCCTTAGGAAAGATTTCCACATGTCAAATTACTCAGTCTGAGGATAGGAACAGATTTAAGGCGTTATGGGAAACCTAAGAAAGTTTGTTTTTATCCATAAGACGGTCATTCCTACAACTACTTGTATCTCCTCACATCCCACCACTTTTTATCCACATGTACACAGATTTTTAAAATTTTTTATATACATTTTAAGTTAATTATTATTTATTTATTTTTGAGACAGGGCCTCTCCCTCTGTCACCCAGGCTGGAGCTCACTGCAGCCTCAACGTCCTGGGCTCAAGTGATCCTCCTGTCTCGGCCTCCCATGTAGCTGAGACACAGGCACGCACCCCCATGCCCAGCTAATTTTTTAATTTTTATTTATTTGTAGAGATGAGATTCTGCTATGTTGTGCAGGCTGGTACCAAACTCCTGGCTTCAAGCGATCCTCTTGCCTGAGATTCCCAAAATGCTAGGATTACAGTCAGGAGCCACCATGCCCAACCCCATATATTTTCATAGTTGTAATGCTAGTGTATACATAATTTTGTGATCAATTTTCTTCACTTAACATTGGCTCTTTAACATTTTTTCATGCTGGCAATAATAATAACAGCAGCAACAGCAACTACTATTTACTGAGCATTAACTATGCACCAGCCATTGCAGTAAACACTTTACATCTGACATCATCACAACCAAGGCCATCTCCATGTGAAAGACAAGGTCTGAAGCCAGGACAAGTGAAGTGACTCGCCCAGCAACACAGTTAGTAAACAGTATGGCAGAAAGGGACCCCAGAGCTCACTGCAAACCACTAAATCACACTGCCCTGCAAAATGAGGGGACTTGGCCCTCTTCAAAATGATCACGTTCACAACTGTTTAATATTCCAAGTGGGGGAAGCTGAGTCTTTGCAGTCGGACCTGGCTTCCAATCTAGGAGCTAAACAGGCTCACAGTCCCCTCTGAAATGTGACAAAGGCTTTGAACCTGCCTTCCAGAAGGAGGCAAGTACACCCATCTCCAGAAACTGCATGGCAGGCTAGTTAAGTTCACTCTAATGTTTCAATTCAACTTCACTAGGATCCACTGCATTCTTCCTGGGAGCTGTGAACCAAGCTAGGCTATGTGTCACCAGCTAGAGACAACAAGAACTCGTCCCTAAGGGGCTTCCAGTCTAGCAGGCAGGACAACAGAGAAAAAGTCCATTCAACCAAATGACCTTGAGCAAGTCACTCAACCATGCTAAGCCTGAAAATCCTCTCCCATAAAATCAACACAAAAGTGCAGAATCGCCCAGGGTTACTGGGGTAACTAGAAAGGGAAGGAAAGCACCGAGCACAGTGCCCAGTCCATGATGACCAATCAGCATTTGCTTAATAATTAATTCTCTTCATAGCAGAGGGCATTCGCGTGGGTTCCTTTTTGTGTTAGCAGCATCTAAATGTATACATCCGTATGAGCGTGCATAAGTATTTGTGGATCAAGACAATCACTGGGATCATTTAGGATAAACTTCCCAGGAATAACAAAAACCAGCAAGAGGGCAGGTCCCTCAAGACTGTCTTCTGTCTCAATCCCTAAATGTCAAACTAATCCACTTCCCAAGCTCATCCGATCAGTCTAATCCACACAACTGTACAAAACAGCCTTCCTTCCACTCTCCGCCTCACTCAGAAACCAGGACGGGGAATCTGGCGACAACAACGCCCTGGGCCAGCCGGCCAACAACGTATTTCAAAATACCCCAGACCATTGTCGGTACGTCCATCACATTTCCAGTCAAGTGACTCTCACTTGCAGCCTGTCTTGAAAAATGCAGTCACCTCCCTCCGACCTTGAATCTACATGAACGCTTTAAAGTGTGTTTTCACCTTTCAATTCTGCAAAATTGCTTACTGCTACAGAATCCTTTTAAAGCTTGTCAGGGTGATGCTGCTGATGATAAGAATTATCCCAGCAGGGTTCCGCTTCCACTGCCAGAGTTAATGTGGTCTATTTAAAGGGCAGCTCACCTGCCAATTAGCGCCTGCGGTGTCCGTAATTTAATTTAGGGATATACACTGATCTGCTTTGAAACATGGGGTTAAGTCAAAAAGCGGGCAAGGGCTTCTGGTTCTCCAAACACCTGAAAGCCGAATGCCAACAAGAACAAGTGCCAGGAAGGGGTGTTGAGAAGAGCTGCCCCGGGACACCTATTAACAGAGGATGACTAACAGCACCAGGCTTTTGGGAAAGTTTCTATCAAGCCTTAACTATCACCGATGCCCAAGAATTCATTCCTTGGGGACCACAAGGAAGACAAAAACCTTGTCCCAAATTCTAGTTCAGGCACTGTGTGACCTTGGGAAACTTATTTTGTCCTCTACTTTCTTCATCTGTACAGTGGGGAGAACAGTACCTATGTGTATGGATTGCTATGAGGGAAAAATGAGAAAAAGGAATACATGTAAAGTGTATCCAATAAATGCAGTGAATAAATGTTAGCCATAGTTATTAACATACCTGGCATATAATTGGTGCTCAACGAAAACCAACTATTAATATCACTACTACACGTGCACCAAACAGCATTCCTTTTCCTTGTTTGGGGTTTTGTTTTGTTTTGTTTTGTTTTTGAGGGGTGGGGTGCGGACAAGGTCTCACTCTGTCGCCCAGGCTAGAGCACAGTGGCACGATCATAGTTCACTGCAGTCTTGAACTCCTGGGCTCAAGCGATCTTCCCATCTCAGGCTCATGAGTAGCTGGGACTACAGGTGTACACCACCATACACGGCTAATTTATTTTTTTCTGTAGAGACAAGGGTCTTACTATGTTACTCAAGCTGGTCTTGAACTCCTAGAATCAAATGATCATCCAGCATCGGCCTCCCAAAGCACTGGGATTATAGGCGTAAGCCACCGAGCCTGGTCCCTTTCCCTTTCTTCTAGTAAGACCACCCCTCTTTCCTATGGGAAACACATTCCACTGGGATCCTTCAGCACTATCCTAACCTCCCCCTACTGCAGGGGTGGACAGCTAACCCAGGGCAGGCAATTAACTGGCCGGAACCATGGCATATGCAACTTTCATTTTTTTTTAATATTACATAAAAATAGTATTTATCTTGATTGATAAGTTTTTTGGTACCGCCTTCAATTTTGTGGCCAAAGTGAGTGTGTCACTAACCTCACCCCAGTCTCAGCCCTGGACCACAGGGTCCCTTCGCACAAGTTCTACCAGAGCCACCAGAAAAGAGGCCTTGTCTCCTCCAGGAGCTGAGGTCAGCAAACAATGGCCTGGGGGTCAAATTTGGCCTCCAAACTGTTTTTGTAAGCACAGTGGTCTTGGAACGCAGCCACACCCATTTGCTCCCATATGGTCTGTGGCTGAGTTTCTGCTCCAGTGGCAGAGCTGAGTCACTGCGATGGAGATTGCATGGCTCACAAACCCTATAATATGACCCATAAGGAGGGAGTGTGCCGACCCCGTCCTAGAAGTAGGATCTCTCATCATCCTGGAAACCTGGAGCTACTTGGGGCCATTTTCCACCCCATCATGTAGAGACCCCCCACCTGGAAAGACACCCAACCACAGAGAAGCGGTGCTGAGGGATGACAGATGGAGACAGATTTGGGAGAAGGGCAGGCCCCCTGAATCCAGCTCAACTCCAAGATGATTTCTTAGATACTTGAGTCAATAAATAAATGTCCTTCATCTTTTTTTTTCTTAAATCAATCTAAAGAATTTTCTATCATTTGCAACCACAGGAAATAATGCAGTGAGACAGGGCATGTTCTTCAGTCATCTGACAATCATCTATAGAAGACCAAGAACACACCAAGTGCTGAGCAACACCTGTGTTCCACAGCCATGGGGGGTGAGGGGTGTCTCATCAATGTGACAACACTGCCCCAAAACAAAGCATTGCTCAACAACAACAAAAAAAACAGAAAACCCGCCGGGCACGGTGGCTCACGCCTGTAATCCCAGCACTTTGGGAAGCTGAGGCAGGTGGATCACGAGGTCAGGAAATCGAGACCATCCTGGCTAACACGGTGAAACGCCATCTCTACTAAAAATACAAAAAATTAGCCAGGTGTGGTGGTGGGCGCCTGTACTCCCAGCTACTTGGGAGGCAGAGGCAGGAGAATGGTGTGAATCCGGGAGGCGGAGCTGGCAGTGAGCCGAGCTGGTGCCACTGCACTCCAGCCTGGGCAATGGAGCAAGACTCTGTCTCAAAAAAAAAAAAAAAAGAAAAAAACAGAAAACCCAAGACCAGCCTGGGCAACATAGTAAGAACCCATCTCTAAAAAAAGGAAACAGAAAACCCAACTACAAGGAGCCGAGTGTGGCGGCACACACCTGTAGTCCCAGCTACTTGGGAGGCAGAGGCAGGAGGATGGCTGGACCCCAGGAGTTTGAGGCTGTAATGAGCTATGATTGCACTACTGCACTCCAGCCTAGTTAACAGAGCAAGGCCCTGTCTCTAAAAACAAAACAAAACAAAAAAACCCACACACAAAGAAAATCCAACCCCATGGAGCTGGGCTAGTCTGGAAATAGGCCAGTGATACAAAGGCTATGTCAGGCCAAAACCTCCAACCTTTTGACCTCGCTGTCACAGAGGACTGTCCTAACTTTGGGCATCTCATTTACAATTGAGCAGGAAGAAAGGGAATGGGATGAAGCCAGCTTTATCGCCCCTTTTATCAGGAAAGAACAAGTAATCCCAGAAAATCACAAGGGAGCAAAGAAAGCAAAGAACAAAACTCAAAACTGGCTTAATCCCTCACCGAGATAAAGGAGTACATACCACAGCCTCAAGCAAAATCTGGGTTCTATCAAAGCCAAAGAAGACAGAGGGATGAATCTGAGGGCACACTCTAACAGAATCAGCCACACATGGTATCAGCCATGCCAGGAACAAAGGTAAACCAAGTTCACTCATGTGCCAGCCTGAGAACTCAGTGAATACAAGTGCTCCTAAATCTGTCACATCCCAAACTGAGCCAGCCTGACTGCAAGGCACAAATGGATTGGCAGAGCAGAGTGCCAACAAGGGGCTGAGCTCTGTCACTCTACCATCTTCCAACTAGCCACAAGACTGCCTTCCAGAACCAGGGCTCAGCATAACACACCCGCATCCTACAAGAGTTTACAGCATACCACCTCCTTTATTAAAGAGTAGGAAATAAATTAACCAGGCACAGTGGCATGCATGTGCAGTCCCAGCTACTTGAGAGGCTGAAGTGGGAGGATCGCTTGAGCCAGGAAGTTCAAGGCTGCAGAGAGCCATGATTGCACCACTGCACTCTAGCCTGGCAACAGAGCAAGACCCTGTCTCTTATTTAAAAAAAAAAAAAAAAAAAAGGAAAATTTCTAAGAAGGACTTCTAAAACTTGTATCTCACTTCCTTTTAGGGGCATACGCCATCATGAGCTGAAGAGTCATTTACATTCTGAAAGGAGCAAAGCAAAGGACCCACGGAACTCAGGCTGGATAACTGTGATCTAAAAACTGACAACTCAGAGGCCAAACTGAGTCTTTTTTACTTTTTTTTTTTTTGAGGTGGAGTCTTGCTCTGTCGCCCAGGCTGGAGTGCCAGGGCATGGTCTCAGCTCACTGCAACCTCCGCCTCCTGGGTTCAAGCAATTCTCCTGCCTCAGCCTCCCAAGTAGCTGGAATTACAGGTGCCTACCACCATGCCCAGCTAATTTTTGTATTTTTAATGGAGACAGGGTTTCACCATGTTGGCCAGGCTGGTCTCGAACTCCAGACCTCAAGTGATCCACCCACCTCGGCCTCCCAAAGTGCTGGGATTACAGGCCTGAGTCTTAATTTATGAGACATCAGGATTAAACACCTTTGAAACAGGCAGAGGTCACATTCGGCCAATAGGTATCAGTCCAGCTCCACTAGATCTTAACATGCTGGGACACATTCATACCCCTTAGTAAATAGCCACCGGCCCAGGTCCCTGCCACCCTGGGTGTCAAGAACCCACCCCCGAGGGACCCTGTGGACATCCCCATGATCCAGTGACCCAGGAGTTAACACACAGCCCAAGGGGTACAGCACCCTGGCTTCTGACTTCCTCCCTAAGGCCAGCTTCTTTCTGCCAGTTGTCAACCACTTTTTTCACCTTGAACGGAGCTCTGCATTTTCTCTGCACCTTCAGCAGACATCCTTCCAAGGCTTCCCTTACCAAAAGCAGCTGATTTGCACGTGCAGGAATACAAAAGAAAATCACCAACAGGGAACCAAAAGCAGGGATGGGCGAGTGAGGAACTGGACTTCCCCTCACCATCAAAAGGATGGACCCAGGGCTCCCCTGGCACATGCAGCTTCCTCCAAAATTAATTTTCTACAGAAATGAAATTGTTGCCCAAGGTGACCCAATGAAGCAAAATACAAATTCTGCTTTGAGTGCAATCAACCATTTTCAAAAATCCCCACTGAAGATCAAGGAAGTCGGTCTCTCTCGTTTTACAGTTGTGGGGATATTATCACCGCTTCCCACTGACTAAAGATGCATACAGACCACTGAGAGTAGGGGTTTGGCTTCCCGGGAAAATGAGCAGCATGTTATGAAGTCAGGGTCTTCAAGTGGTTATTTTGAATGCAGTCCTTTGGTGGCCTCTACTGTGCAGGTGGCCAGGTACCTTGCAAGACACTAGAGCTACAAGGATGAGCCTGTAATCCTAACACTTTGGGAGGCCAAGGCAGGTGGATCACCCGAAGTCAGTAGTTCGAGACCAGCCTGCCCAATATGATGAAACCCCGTCTGTACTAAAAATATAAAACTTAGCCAGGCATGGTGATGTGCACCTGTAATCGCAGCTACTCAGGAGGCTGAAGCAGGAGAATCACTTGAACCCAGGAGGCATAGGCTGCAGTGGGCCAAGATTGCGCCACTGCACTCCAGCATGGGCAACAGAGCAGACTCCATCTCAAAAAAAAAAAAAAAAGAAAAGAAAAGAAAAAAGAAAACAAGTAGTTCCATACATAGGTTTGATGGAAGAAGAACTCAGGACTATAGGAGGGGCACAGTCCAGCTGAACCATGTAGGGAGCTCATGAATGGCTTTTTGAAAACAATTCTGAAACTTCAAGAGAGAAGAGAACAAAACCACATGAGACACCACTTCACACCCATTAAGATGGCAATTATGAAAACAGAAAAAAGGAGGCCAGGCACGGTGACTCAGGCCTGTAATCCCAGCACTTTGAGAGGCCAAGGTGAGAGGATCACTTAGGGCAAGGAATTCGAGACCAGCCTGGGCAAGATAGTAAGATACTGTCCCTACAAAAAATAATAAAATTACTATACATATATATATATATGTATATATGTGTGT
Source organism: Homo sapiens (assembly GCF_000001405.40). NCBI lineage: Eukaryota > Metazoa > Chordata > Mammalia > Primates > Hominidae > Homo > Homo sapiens. Next base: position 190,688 of record NW_017852933.1, on the reverse strand, counting down.
GTATATATATATATATGAAAAAAGGGGGTGGTAATCACTCTCTGGTTCTCCCCATGTATACAATTAAAGCTGTATACCTTTTCTCTAATTTAAAAAGCCAGCATTGGCCGGGCACAGTGGCTCACGCCTGTAATCCCAGCACTTTGGGAGGCCAAGGCAGACAGATCACTTGAGGCCAGGAGCTCAAGACCAGCCTGGCCAACATGGTGAAACCCTGCCTCTACTAAACATACAAAAATTAGCCAGGCACAGTGTCGCATGCCTGTAATCCCAGCTACTTGGGAAGCTGAGGCAGGAGAATCACTTGAACCTGGGAGGTGGAGGCTGCAGTGAGCCAAGATCACACTGCTGCACTCCAGCCTGGGTGACAAAGCGAGATTCTATCTCAAAAAATAAATAAAAAGCCAGCACTGGCAAGGCTGTGGAGTTGGCAAGGATGTGGAAGGATGGTGGAGAAAATGGACCTCGTGTGCATTGCTAGTGGGAATGCAACAGGGTATAGCCTCTATGGAAAACCCTCTGATGGTTTCTAAAAAACAATTAAACATAGAATTACCATATGATCCAGCACTGTCCTTGTGGGTATATGCCCCAAAAGAACTAAAAGTGGAAAAAACAAGTATTTGTATCTTCATATTCACAGCAGTACCATTCGCAATAGCCCATAAGTGGAAGACACCCAACTGTCATGGGAATAAACAAAATATGGGCTCTACATACCCTCAAAAATATTGTTCAGCCTTTAAAAGGAAGAAAATTCTGGGCCAGGCGCGGTTGCTCATGCCTGTAATTGCAGCACTTTGGGAGGCCGAGGCAGGCGGATCACGAGGTCAGGGGTTCGAGACCAGCCTGGCCAACATAGTGAAACCACGTCTCTACTAAAAATACAAAAATTAGCCGGGCATGGTGGCGCCTGCCTATAGTCCCAGCTACTTGGGAGGCTGAGGCAGGAGAATCACTTGAACCCAGGAGGCAGAGGTTGTGGTGAGCTGAGATAGCGCTACTTACTGTACTCTAGCAAACTGGGCAACAGAGCAAGGCTCCATCAAAAAAAAGAAGAAGAAGGAAATTCTGACACATACTACAACACGGACGATCCTTGAAGATGTTATGCTAAATAAAGCCAGACAAAAAAAGAACAAATATTGCATGATTCCATTGGTACAAGGAACCTAAAGTAGTAGAATGCACTGAGGCAGAAAGTAGAATGCTGGCTGCCAGAGGCAGGGGTCTGGAGGGAGTGAGTGTTACTGTTTAACGAGTACACAGTTTCAGTTTGTAAAAATGGAAAGGTTCTGAGATGAATGGTGGTAATGATTACTGTATGACATGTGAATGTACATTAAGTACACTCACACTGAATTGTACACTTCAAATGGCTGAAATGGTAAATTTCATTATGTATATTTTACCAGTTTTTTTTGTTCGTTTTGTTTTGTTTTGTTTTGAGATGGAGTCTCACTCTGTTGCCCAGGCTGGAGTGCAGTGCCACGATCTCGGCTCACTGCAAGCTCCGCCTCCCGGGTTCATGCCATTCTCCAGCCTCAGCCTCCCAAGTAGCTGGGACTATAGGCACCCGCCACCACGCCCGGCTAATTTTTTGTATTTTTAGTAGAGATGGGTTTCACCGTGTTAGCTAGGATGGTCTCAATCTCCTGACCTCATGATCCACCCGCCTCAGCCTCCCAAAGTGCTGGGATTACAGGCATGAGCCACCATGCCCGGCCATATTTTTTTTTAAGAGAGAATAGAAGTTTGGCCAGTAGGAGCTTGGGTGAGAGCTGGGGAAGGAAGGAAGGTAGCAGAAGGGAAAGAACTGCCAGACTTGAAGAGTTTCAAGACAATAGAAACCAGGAGAGCTGTTCAAAATACAGGATTGGGCCAGGAACAGCGGCTAACGCCTGTAATCCCAGCACTTTGGGAGGCTGAGGCAGGTGGATCACATGAGGCCAGGAGTTCGAGACCAGCCTAGCCAACATGAGGAAAACCCATCTCTGCCAAAAATACAAAAATTAGGCAGCATGGTGGTACACACCTGTAGTGCCAGCTACTCAGGAGGCCAAGACATGAGAATCACTTGAACCCAGAAGGCAGAGGCTACAATGAGCCGAGATCGCACCACTGCACTCTAGCCTGGGCAACAGAGCAAGACACTGTCTCAAAAAAAACAAACAAACAAACAAAAAAAACAGAACTGAATCATCTAAATTACTGAGAGGCACCAAGCAAAGCACAGGCAGTGGCACTGAAGGCCCTGCCCCACACAGGATCTGGCATTAGTGCTTTAGCTGCTGAATTATGGAGAGGTCTCAAGAGTCCCAAGGCAGGGGTGTGGCAGGAGGGGAGCTTGTGGGACTCAGGCCATCATTTATTTGCAAACTGGATGAAAGAGTTGTGATGTTGGACCTGCCGCTGCCTGTCAGCCCTGGCGTACGGCACGGCATAAGAGGTAGAACAGAGACAGACACAGCCAGCACCGAAGAGAGCCCAAGAAGCCATATCAAGCACTCGATACTTTGTCCCAATTCTACAAGAGACCCATGGAAGAGCTTTAAGTTAGTGGGTTACGGGGAATAAGTGGGGGAGTGGGATGGTAATTAAAGAAGACCACTCCATGATATGCAAAGTGCATCAGAGCTGATCAAGACTGAAGGCAGGAAAACACAAGTCGGGGAGAAAGAAGAGAACTCACTGATGATGGAGGAACCACGAGTGGCTCAGGGACCCATGTGAGAGACAGAAAACAGTGCTCTTTGTGGGACTGGTTTTGGGGCAGAGGAAAGGGAGAAGGAGAAGGCTGGGAGGAAGCCCAAGAGCTGTCCAGGGGACCTGGGTAAAGGGCAGAGCCATTTACTAAGCAAGAAACACAGGAACACATATGGATGAAGATCAGAATTCAGTTTTGGAGACTGACAAGCCCGTGCTGTACACCAAATAGAGACATTCATGAGACAGAGTTTGAGGAAGTGCTCCGGGCTGTGGGTATGACTAAGAATGACAGGCACATACAGAGCAACTTCACCAAGGAATCCAAACAGTATGCATAGAAACAAGAGCCAACAATGAATCCAAGGATGAATAATATTTGAGGGTATGGAAGTGATATGCCAACAAGGATCAGAAAAGAAGAAAGTGTGCCAATAGGCTATGGCATCACAGAAAGCAAGGGAAGCCAGTGTTTCAAAGTCAGAAGATCCTCGATGCCCAAGGCTGCCCAACAGAAAGGGAAGATTAGGCTTCAATTTTACAGGCAGCTCAGCAACAGTAACTGTGTCTCTGGTATATTCTGAATGGCCCCGATCACCTTGTAATTGACTGCCAATCCATAACCTGATGATGATATATCAGTGATTAAAAGAACATCAAATTCCAGCCGGGCGTGGCGGCTCATGCCTGTAATCCCAGCACTTTGGGAAGCCGAGGTTGGCGGATTACCTGAAGTCAGGAGTTCGAGACCAGCCTGGCCAACATGGTGAAACTCCATCGCTACTAAAAATACAAAAATTAGCCAGGCATGGTGGCACACAGCTATAGTCCCAGCTACTCAGGTGGCTGAGGCTGGAGAACCACTTGCACCTGGGAGGCAGAGGTCACAGTGAGCTGAGATCATGCCACTGCACTCCAGACTGGGCAACAGAGTGAGGCTCCATCTAAAAAAAAAAAAAATCAAATTCCAAGGTCATGCCATCAAATGCATCAAACGCCAGTAACGACAGTGGTTCTTTCTCCTTTCCCAAGTGGAATGGAAAATAATTCATTTTTCCATACTGTATTCTGTACTGGCTACTTGGGTTTCCAGTGGCTACAAAGACAGCAAGCCAAGTCTGTGTAGAGCTCTGGGTTGCTTTTCATTAACTTTTGCTTTGTTCCTTAAAAATTAATCACTTTCCCTGTAGCAAACTGTAGTGATCCTGGTATATGGTACCTCAGGAACCATGAAATACAGTACTGCACGCAATGAATAATGCCCTTCCTTCCAACCAAGATGTATTTGTTTAGTGAACATAATTTTATTGAACAACCTGTGTAGTGGCAGACACTATGCTAGGTGTCAAGAGAAAGTAAACACGGTGTCCTGCTTTCAAAAAAGCATGCTACTTTGTGGGATATACAGAAAACTGAATATGGTGTGACAATGAGGGGGTAAAGTGGAATCTCCTGTCCTTTGTTCTGTAAGACAAAGGCAGTCAAGCTTGTCTTTTTTTTTTTTTTTTTTTTTTTTTTTTTTTTTTTTTTTTGAGATGGCATCTCGCTCTGTCGCCCAGGCTGGAGTGCAGTGGCACGATCTCAGCTCACTGCAACCTCAGTCTCCCGGGTTCAAACAATTCTCCTGCCTCAGCCTCCCAAGTAGCTGCAATTACAAGCGGGCACCACCATGCCCAGCTAATGAGCTAAGCTAGTTTGGTCTTTTCCCTGCTTGTCATTTGCAGGAGGCTGCTCAGCACATCCTCATCAGCAGAAAACAGCCAGAGACTGCCCTTTCGTTCATCTCATCACCATACCGGTATAGCACTCTCCCTAAGACAGAGAGGGGCGGCCAGAACGAGAAGGCTGGAGATGCCTTGCAAATGTGTTGGTGGTTCTTTGATTACCAGGGCCAAGCAACAAAAAGATAAGAATTCTAGTCCTGATGGGAACAAAAAGAGCCATTCTTTGTGGCCAAAAGGTCAGCGCCTTAAGAAGGGATGACATGGAGGAAGAGGTTCAAAGTTGAAAGGGTGGTGGGAGAGGAGGGTAAGTGGTTAAACATTTATTAGGTGTTAGGAACTAAAGCAGCTGCTTCAAATGAGGTTCTCACTGAATCCCCCTGACAAACCCTCAAGCTAGGCGAGACTATCGCCTTCGCAAGTGAAAAAAACGAAGGCTCAGAGGGAACTTTCCCCGAGGCCATTCAGACTCACCCTAGCAGTCTGACTTCAAAGCCAGGGTTGCTTCTGCCTTGCTGGATGTAAGTGCCCAGCTGCCAGCTGCCCTTGGCTGGATGGAAGTGGACCAAGAACCTCATGGCTTACTCACACCAATTCCTCTAAGGTCATTCCCCCAAAGGCAGATAAGATATAAACAAGAAGAAGTATGAGGGCCCAGGAAGCCTGAGGGCAGGTGGCCCTGAGAAAAGCTAAATCCCTGCAAAGCTCCTCACCCAGCCTGTAACACTAAGTCACTCATACACAGGGACTCAGGGAGGCGTCCGGGAGACGGGAAGCTGCAGAGACATAATCCAGGACACAGGAGGTAGCCAAAGCCATTGGCAGTGATTTCTATGAGGACTGAAGTAGTCCCTGATGCTGGCTTTTCTCAGACTGGATCCCTCCGTCCCTGGCTGTTGAAGGAGCACAGAAGCATGGCAGAAAATTCAACAGGGACAGGAATCCTTTTTTTTTTTTTTTTTTTTTTTTTTGGTGAGACGGAGTCTCTCTCTGTCACCCAGGCTGGAGTGCAGTGGCACGATCTCAGCTCACTGCAACCTCCGCCTCCCGGGTTCAAGCAATTCTAAATGTGAGTCACCATGCCTGGCTCCAACAGATCTTTTTTTTAAAAAAAATTATTAAAATTATTTTATTGATACATAATATTTGTACATATTTATAGGGTACCTGTGGTACTTTGATACATGCCTAGAATGTGTAATGACTTTCAACAGATCTTTGCTTTTTTTTTTTCTTTCTTTGGGCAGTCTCCGGGGGCTAGAGTAGGCTCAGGCTCCTAGATCTTTGATTCATTTCTGAAAATGAGTAACTGGTGAAATAAACAAGAAACAAAGATCTAGGAGCCTCTCTGAACTTACCCTAGCCCCGGGAGACTGCTCAAAGAAAGAAAAAAAAAAAGCAAACATCTGTTCAAAGTCATTACACATTCTAGGCATGTATCAAAATATCACAAGTACCAAGGCCAGGCACAGTGGCTCACACCTATAATCCCAGCACTTTGGAAGGCCGAAGTGAGCAGATCACAAGGTCAGGAGTTCGAGACCAGCCTGGCCAACATGGTGAAACCTGTCTCTACTAAAAATACACAAATTAGCCGGGCATGGTGGTGGGCACCTGTAATCCCAGCTACTCGGGAGGCTGAGGCAGGAGAATCACCTGAACCCAGGAAGCGGAGGTTGCATTGAGCCAAGAAGGTGCCATTGCACTCCAGGCTGGGCAACAGAGCAAGACTCCATCTCAAAAATATAAAAATTAAAAACATTTTTAAAAAATTTAAAAAAGAACATAAACAATGCCAACTCCCACCCAAGACTGCACGAGCTCACAGCTCCCTAAGATCACTAGAGCACGTCCATGTTACGCTCAGTATTTCTTTACCAAACCATTTAATTCACGTGAAAGAATGAACTTTGTAGTCCAGATTGCTTTACAGCGATGAGGTTCAGATGATCTGTTTTAAAAGGTTCAGTCCTGGTCATCATTTTCACAAGACAAAACTTCCTAGTTAATTAACTAATGCTTTGAGTACACAGTTTTAAAACAGTATCTCTAAAATCACACACACACACACACACACACACACACACACACACATTCCACACATGCAAAAGGCAGAAGTGAAAGGCCCACCTCCGCGTCAGGAGGCTCTAAGGGCCGCAGTCCAGTGACTTCACTCAAATGAGCAGCTGTTACTCCTCGTACGTATACAGGGTAAAGCTTCTGTCTGCAGACCACAGCCTGCCTACTCACCACCTGGGTGCCAGTGCCTGTGTGGTCAGTTTTTGAGGATTTGCACCGCCCCTCCCTGAGTGCTGGAGTGTGGACGGCACCTGCCAAGGGCAGCCCAGAGGCTGGTGAGTGCCACGTGGGCCGTGTGCACCCAGCAAAGCCCACCAACTTCCTGAGCAGGTGCTGCTGCCACCCCACCGCAGTGAAGAGGGCACTGAAGCACGAGGAAGCGACACTGCCGCATCCCAAGACGACAGACACTGAGGGAGCGGCCGCCCTGAGACTGGGACCCATGGCAACTCTCCCACCCCCACACATCCAGTTATCTCCCAAAAGATCTGCCAACCACAGCTGGGCCCTCATCTGTGGCCAAGAAGAGTATTTGAGGAGGTGGCCTCAGGGAGAAGAAAGGTGCTGTGGTCAGGGTGGCACCACACCTCCAATTCTCCACTTTACTCACAGGCTCCCCCACCTCTGGCTGGTCTGAGTGCCCGGCATAGCAGGGCTCTGTGGGGGGTGAGGGGAGTGCTTCTCTGCCGGGAATGAATGAGGGAGTCCAGCATGTTTTGTTCGACAGGTGCTGCAGAGGGAAGAAAGGTCCTTCCTGTTGCTGGAAGAGCCTGGGCTCTGGCCCCCAAGGGTTGCTCCTGCTGAGGCCCCTTGGCACAGCCCAGCGCAACTGAAGCGTTCCTTTGGCCCCGGCCTCTCCTGCAAGAAACGCTCAAATGCATGCACGGATAACTCGGTCAGAGGCTTGTGGATGGCGTAGAGGGGCATGGACAGCCGCAGCAAACATCGAGCCATCTTCCATTCCATGCCTAACATATGACCAACAGAAGGCCAGCCATGCCAAAAACCTGACTGCAGTTCTCAGGAAAACTTCATTCTAATGCCCAAGTGACACGGATAATCCTAATTTTCCTGATCTAGATGAAAAGCAGGGAAACTTCACTCTAATGCCCAAGTGACACGGATAATCCTAATTTTCCTGATCTAGATGAAAAGCCCTGAGAAGCACGCTAAACATTTTTTTAACTAGCACATTTATAATCATTTTTCTTAGATTGAATGTGATTTTTTAAAAAGCTTCCCAATTCAAGAACAATTATCTTTTGATTTATCAAAATATGAGAGGAAGAATATTAATATTTGCAGTGTAAACTTTATATAGTTGTAAATTTTTTTTTTTTTGAGAGGGAGTCTCGCTCTGTCGCCCAGGCTGGAGTGCAGTGCCGCGATCTCAGCTCACTGCAAGCTCTGCCTCCCGGGTTCAAGCCATTCTCCTGCCTCAGCCTTCCGAGTAGCTGGGACTACAGGCGCCCGCCACCATGCCCAGCTAATTTTTTGTATTTTTAGTAGAGATGGGGTTTCACTGTGTTAGCCAGCATGGTCTCGATCTCCTGACCTCGTGATCCACCCACTTCGGCCTCCCAAAGTGCTGGGATTACAGGCGTGAGCCACCGTGCCCGGCCTATATAGTTGTAAATTTTTAAAAATTACTTAATTACACAGATGCAGTGGTGCACACCTATAGTCCCAGCTACTCAATTACAACTTTTAGAACTACAAACTCTTACGAAAGAGACATTAGCGATCATCTATTCCAGTATTTTTCAAAGTGTGGGTTGCAAAATCAATGCAATGTGTCATAGCCAGTTTTCAAAGAGACAAAAAGGAAGAGAAACAGAAAAGCAGAACAGAAAACAGAATAAAAAATATTAGTGCAATCAGCACACAGTAATACCATTCTGTGGACCTGTTCGGACCGTGTAAGTGCACACACGTGAGTGAGGGAGGAGGGCTCTGGAACCACAATGGAAAGCTGCCTTCTCGCTGTGGCCTGTTGTCCTGTGGACCTGTTCCGACTGTGTGTGTGCACACGCATGAGTGAGAGAGGAGGGTTCTAGAACCGCGATGGAAAGCTGCTTCCTGCTGTGGCTTGCGCAGATGCTGGTAGAGTCCAGCCATGCAGCTCGCGTGCACTCATCACTCCAGAGGCAGCATCGCCGCAGAATGCGAGTTCACCTTTATAGGGAGTCTGCCCAGGTCACGCAGCACTGGCTCAGGGTACCCACGGCAGCAAAGCAGCTGCACCAAGATGCGGGTATGACCAACCAGCGGTTCCCCTGCCAGCCCCCTGAAGTGGCCAACTGGTCTATCCACCTCATGCAAAAGTTCCCATGACCTCATAAAAAACCCATCAATTTTCATTTAAAATGCACTCAAAAATAAAGTCATCCACCTCCCTGCAAATTTCAATCCTTACAACTCTTAATTTTTAAGGGCTTTTTTTGTTTTTCAGAATCTTCTGAAAATCTGCACCAAATTAAAGATTCTATTATCCTTACCACTAACTGAAAATTGAAATTCCTTAGACAATAAATTATTTTACACTCCTGGCACCATCTGTCTGAACGTACTCTCTCGCTCTGTGAATCGCTGGCACACCAGACTGCCTCTCCCTGCTCCAGGGAATTTCAGGGAATTCCAGATGCCCCTGATTCTGGTCTAATTTACCATACAAGGCCTGTCCTCTACTCAAACCAATTCTGCAATCCCTTAAGTTAACCATATGGGCAATACAATAACACCTCTACTTAAATCATTCCGAATTTCTGCTATGATATCATTTGATCTTCATGCCCAGGGCAGCAAATAATTAATTTCAAATACTCACTGAGCAACAAAGCCAACACTAGGGGATTGTCCAGTAAAGGAAAATGCTGCCCGGATGCCTCACACCCCCAGTGAGGCAGGGACAAAAGAAATCAGCACAGTGTATTCAGCTGATGAAGGAGCCATTTCTCCACAACTCCACTCTCAACGAAGAAGCACCCAGAACACAGCCACAAATGCATCTAAACAGCCAAAGACCCAGGCTCAGCTCTACACAGCTCACCCGAAGGAGCTACCCATGCCTGGAGCCATGACCAGAACCAGCCACTGCATTTTAATTTCAACTCCAACAGCAGTGGCTGTTTGGCTTCCCTGGAAGGCAGCAGATTAGGTGCATGATGAGGACGCGGTGGAGGGCAGGAGGCGAGGAGGGCAGCACACGTCCACACACACACAGGGGCTCAGCTCTACAAAGCCCGAGACTGAGACTCTCACTTAGGCACCTCCCACAGTGAACTGAATGCTTGTTCTTATGTAAAGTTGTTATTCAGGAGGAAAGATAATACACAACCTTTGAAACCAGCCAAAGTGGTTCCAAATAATTTTTTAAGTATTTTAATTTTTTGAAAAACCATTGAATTGTACACTTCATTTATTTTGAGACAGGGTCTTGCTCTGTTGCCCAGGCTGGAATGCAGTGGCACAATCATGGCTCACCGCAGCCTGGGCCTCCTGGGCTCAAGCAATCCTCCTGCCTCAGCCTCATGAGTAGCTTGGGACTACAAGTGCATGCCACCAGATGTGGCTAATTTTTTTTTTTTCTGTAGAGACAGGGTCTTGCTATGTTGCCCAGGCTGGCATCAAACTCCTGGGCTCAAGCGATCCTCCCACCTCTGCCTCCCCAAAGTACTGGGATTACAGATGTGAGCCAGCACAAAACATTTTTTTTTTAAAGATTCAGCTGCAATTTCAATGTCAGTGTTCTAAGAAAGCCCTTCACCTCTTCTTCCCTCTCCCTCACCTCTTCTTCCCTCTCCCAGTCAGCGATGCTGGAACACTGGGGCACGACAGCATGTGCACCTAGAGGTCAAAAAGAACAATAAAGACAGAGATAGCACTGGAGTGGAAACTAGTCATCACGGCTGGGCAGCTGGCAAAGCAGAGGCCACAGGGGCCCAGAGCTGAGAGGAAGTGAGCGCTCCTGGAGGGGAGGCTGAGACACAGCGCTGGAGAGCACGGCTCGGGGAAGAGGAAGCGGGCACCATGCAGCCAGTGCGTCCCCACACATGTGCACCCACCACCATCCCCTGAACCTTGTCTTCCCAAATGGCTCTTTATGAAGCCTCTGGTGCTCCACCAATCTTTCCAAACTTCTTGCCCACATTTGGGATGCACCATCCGCTACTGCTACCCCCCAACACTGGTCACAGGAGGCTGAGCACCGGGGGCTCCATCCGACCTCACTGGACCTGGGTGCCCATGGCCTCCAGCCTTGCACAGGCAGTCACCCTCCCCATGGCTGTGCCATTCGCTGTCCTGAGGCCTTGGTGCAGGTGGCTCTCCCGACCCCTCCTACTGTGTCTCTCACCCTCCTACTGTGTCTCCCACCCTCCTACTGCATCTCCCATGCTCCTACTGCATCTCTCACCCTCCTACTGCATCTCCCACCCTCCTACTGTGTCTCTCAGGCTCTGTGGCTCTTGCGCACTCCCAGTGTGCCCAACAGGGCCTGAAATGGACTCTAATCAGCATTCCTTAGTGCAGGCTCACGCTCACCTGAAGAGCACCTGTCAGCAGACAGCCTCAGCCAGGGGAGCCCTCCCAGAGTCAACGAACAGCTGTGAGTCCCACCCTGCCTGCAACCCAGCACCAGATGTAAGCGCACACCACAACTGTCGGCAAAGAAGCCAGAGAATGCGGGGGTCGTGGGCTACAGGGAAAGGAGGCCAAGGCAGCCCTCCTGGAACCTCAGTATCAGAGCAGACAGAGACATAATGGCAGAAAGAGCGTGAGACGGGGCATTCCATCTCTCAGCAAGGAAGAAAAGCAAGGCTGCTATGGACATGAAACTGACCACATAGCTTCAAATCAGGCGATTCTTCATATTTTCTACTCAGACAGCAAATGGCAACTGTGGGATGTGACTAGAATCTCTCAATATTTAATTTGAAGAAAACATGACTCAAAAAGAATGGTCCCCTGGCAGCAGGTGCCACAGGGTCACACCAACGCAGCACAATGGCACTTCCCAGCACCGCAGCCACCAAGGTCCTCCTGGAACTGACATTGCTGCTGGCCGCAGACGTGGCCTCAAACCCGTCGCCCCAGCAGCAATCCACAAGCACAGCGCACATCCCTCCCTCCGTGGAACTAAGAATGGAGGCTATTTTCAGAGAAGCTGTCCACTAATTCTGAAAATAATCAATTAACTACAAGAAGTAATAGCAACAATCATCTCAGAAGTGGAATAGGAGGAGAACAGCAACAAGTGTGAGCCCAGCACAAGGAAAGGGGGTGGTGTGCAGGATGTGGGGTGCAGGGCGCAGGGCACAGGCCCCAGCCCCAGGATGGAAAACGGACGGCCGGAAGAGGGGAGGCCTGGCCACCCTCCCAAGAGGATTTCTAGCTGCTCTGTCAGATTCTGAGTCTACTGCCACATAACCACTCCTAAATGACAGTTGGAACTAGGGAATCAGAAGGGAATACTAAGCCAATCCTCAGTGATCTAGGAACTTAAAGCAGCCGCGTCCATTTCTTTGTGTTCTCTTACTCCAGTTGGGGTGCTGTTCCTCGCCTTCCCCCAACTACCTGGAACAAGCGTGGGCTGCAGGGTCTCCCGTCAATCAAGCCAGTGCTCACACCAGGGCAGGCCAAGGGCCTCTGGGACAGGACGGGGAGCTGAGCCATCTGCAGTGTCACATGAAGGATGCTTCTGAGATCAAGTCTGGCTGGAGAAGAGAGAGCCCTAGACCTGCATGCACTATCCTCCTGTGGGCATGGGGGTGGGGAGGAGAGGGAATGGGCCGTGTGTCCCCCGCACTGCTCGGGGCTTCTGTAGGCAATGGGGATGGGGAGGAGAGTGAATGGGCCATGTGACCGCCCCCACAGCTCAGGGCTTCTGTAGGCACGGGGACGGGGAGGAGAGCGAATGGGCCGTGTGTCCCCCGCACTGCTCGGGGCTTCTGTAGGCAATGGGGACGGGGAGGAGAGCGAATGGGCTGTGTGACCCCCACCACGGCTTGGGGCTTCTTAGCCCAGTCAACAACATCGAGGTGAGTGGGCTTCTCTGTGCTTTCTGAAACATCCTTCTGTCTCCCAAACGTGTGGCCAGCCCGGAGGACAAAGCCTGCATGAGCAGGGTGTAGCTCAGCAGGAATGAGAACTGGCCAAATGATGGGAAAAAAAAAGAATTTCCACAAATGGAAAATGAGGGGGTTCACTACACAGATTTACCAGAAAAGGCAGCTTCAGTTGAACACAGCGGTTTCTTTAAATCACACAGCAGTTTCCTTCCCAAGAGAAGCAGGGACCGTGTACCAAGATTCCGCCCGTTACCCTGAGTGCAGCACCGGCCTCTCCTGAAGCCGTCTTTGATTTGAGGTCCCAGAAATGTGACCGATAATAGGAATCAGGAGCGTATGAGAGTTCACAAGGGGAAAAAAAAAAAGGTGATTTATAAATTATTATTTGTTTCACATAAAAAGTGGTAGTACGGCAGCTTTATTCATTCTGCGGTGAGGCCACTTAGAGACAGTGGGAACTCGGAGGGGCCACGGAAGAGGCGGGAATGAGCAGCAGTTGCGACCCTGCTTGCAGTGCAAAGGCACGTGGGGCGGCAGCAGTGACGGAGGAACGAGAGACACCAGAACGGAATCTTGTTCAGAGAAATCCAGACAGCAACTCCTCCGACATCAGCCCTGAGTCCTTCCTGAACTCAGATCTGTGCTGGAGCCAATGGGCCTCCATGCCTGCTGAGAAAAGCTGGAATCTCTGTCCCCACAGTAGAGTTGGGAGAATTCTGTCTACAATCACAAACAGAAGCACTGCAGTGATACAGTGTAAAAGCCTGGTTCTATCTTTAAAATTCCAAGTGGATTTTGTTCAGGGGTAGAGACAGGAACAAGGGAATATCGAAGGTGACGTGCCTTACTTTTCCTAGGAATTAAACGTCCAGCAGCGTTTCAACTATGATACAGTTCCACTACCAGCAGAACCATAAACCACTATGTTGCAGAAAACTAAGACGGACCGCCAGCTATGAGCCCTGTCCTCTGCTGCCCCCGTGACCGTGAGAACCACGGGGGACAAAGGCGCGGAGAACTGACCTGCACTGCGCCGACCGCAGCCTCATTACCCCAGTGGAGTGAGCGCAAAGCCACAACTGTGGATTTAAAAGCTGCGCATTCCTTTGGCTCTTTTCCAGAGCAGCAATTTCATACTTACAGACGAGCGATGCTGCAGGACTACCTGAGAAAACCTCGTGCTGATCTTTAAGATGAAACTTTCCAACTAAGAAACTCTGACATAAACCAGTTTTGGAGGGTCTGCAGCCCTTCTCCCAAGGTGCCTCTGAGGGGTCAACGGAAAGCCCACGGGAGCACATGCCCTTCTGTCCCCCTCTGTGTTAAGCACCTCACTCTGGGGGTGCCCCAGGCTCAGTCGGGTCAGAGATCTGCAGGGCCTGGCCTTGACAAAGGGAACACATGCAGGTTTCTCGAAGGACAGTGTGCTGTGGTTTTGAAAAATTAGTATTATCTTTCTACACAGTGAGTTCTGTTTATGGTTCTCACTGTCAACTTCCCAGCTTCTGTTTTATGAAATGGGAAGATCACCCAGATTCTTCAATGATCCAGAGGTGACAGCCATCTCCTGAACAGAAAGGGTCTTCACCAGGACCTAGGAACACACAGCCTCAAAACCACCAGAGAGTTGACTCTGTCCTGCACAGCAACACCCTCCCCAGGACCCGCACCGTCGGAGCACATCATTTTGTAAAGACCATTCGTACTGGGGTGTTCAACCAATGGTCACTCTTTTTGTCAAGGATTAGAAAGCAGGCAAGTTTGTGAGTTTGATGGCAATACACAGGAGCGAAACCACCTTTTTCTAACAGAGTTATCTGTGCAGATATGACCACCATCAACATACGCATGCGTGTGCAGAAAATAACCATCTGAAGGGGGTGGGGTGGTGGGGGTGGGAGGGCATGTTTCCGCCATAATGCAAAAGCTGCTGAAATCCTACAGAGCAGCAAATGTAACCCCCAAGCCCCGCCCTCCCCCTTCCAGGCCTGTGCATTGCCATGGTGAGGAAAGCCAGTCCTGCTCTGGGGCTCACACTGAGAGGCCTTTGCACCCTCGCTTCCTCCCATGAGAGCCCCCATTCCTTGGCAGCACAATGGCCTATATGTGAGAGGGGGACTGTGGCACTCACCTGACCATCCGCCCCCTTCCCATGAGAGCCCCACCCCTCGGCAGCACAATGCCCACATGTACATGGGGACCAGGGCACTCACCTGACCGTCCCACCCCCTCCCCTGAGAACCCCACCCCTTGGCAGCGCAATGCCCGCATGTGCATGGGGACTGGGACACTCACCTGACCATCCTGCCCCACGTGATGGATCTGGAGGTTGCCCTACAAAGAACGAGAGGAGGAACGGTCATGAGTAGAAACACACCAAGACACCCGCAGACACGGCAAACACGCCAAGACACCCGCAGACACGGCAAACACACCAAGACACCCGCAGACACGGCAAACACGCCAAGACACCCGCAGACACGGCAAACACGCCAAGACACATCACAGGCCACTTGAGAATAACAAGAAAAACACTAGTTCTGCAAAAATTCAACCTCCAGTAGCAACAAAAGCCCCAAAACAAAATATTTAGATTTCTAGGTACTATTTATTATTTTAAAGATGAACAAACAACTCAAAAAGCACTGTACCCATTCCCCCACCCTGACCCCAAATGAAAATGTCATTTTTACTTCATTTTTTATTTTGAAAGAATCTGACTCACAAAAAGTACAGAAAGTAGCAGAGAGAGGTGCTATGTGCATGTCACCCAGCTTCCCCAAAGGGGGACGCCTTGCTGAGCTGTGCGGCATCACCACGCCAGGTCACGGGCTGCACGCAAGGAACCAACTCACTCAACCACAGAGCTACTAAGAGCTCTCCAGTTAGAAATTCATTTTCATTTGTTGTAAAAAGGAACTGTTTTATGTCTGTTAGACCCTGCTAAATGTTTATTTGCAGATATCCTGTTTTAACAAAATAATTTTAAATGAACATGGTATGAATTTATGGTGAGGAGACTGCATACTGTCACTTATCACAAAGCCATCGTTAGTATTATTAGCAATTTCTAACTTACTGCATTCAATTCCTAATGAAAATGAAAGACAATCACCTATACAAGATGGATTCAGTTTTGAAAACTGAAGGATAAAACTAATAATAAAAAATTGAAATTCCAGTAGTCAAGATTTTTTAGCATAAACTATAAAAAGCAAATGTGTGTTGATTTTTTTCTTTTGCTGCCGTTTCAATTTTCCTGCATTTTCAATGACTCTAAGGAAATTAAGCATTCCGACGAACTTCATAGGCTTCCAGGTATTCAAGAACTCTGGCTGAGGTCTCTGGCAGTGAGCTTAGCCTCCCAGCCCCCACCTGTCTGTGCCTTGAGAAGCCAACCTTCCCCTGCCCCTCAAAGGCAGCTCCTGCACTGGAAGGTGCTGCTGGGATCCTGCACCTCGCAGCCACTCAGGCCCCCAACTCCTGCACCTGACCTTGCTGAGCTGACAGGCGCATCTCCCGACATCTCCAGGGAGATGGTCCCTGGCCCACCCACAGACACAGAACCAGGCCCTGCCCCTTCCTGGACACTCTGGCCTCCTGGGACCGTCCCCTACCTGCTCCCCGCCCTGGTGCTTCCTTCCATCCATCCATCTGACCATATGTTTCTTAGTGACCTGGTCATGTCGCTGTGTGGATGAGCCCACTCATTCCCAGTCGCTCATGGCCCCCATATGAATTCATTCCTCCCCTTTCACCTCTTCCTCATTCCGCCCCGGAACCCTTATGCATGTGCTCCCCTCTCAGAATAACCCACTGGGAACTGCTGGTGTCCAAATTAAAGCCACTGCCAGCAGACACGCCCAAGTCCCTGGTGCTCCACGTGCCACGGCATGCATGTGTCCACAGTCTTGCTCATGGGCACTTGGGCAGGAGGCTCTGCGCCCGCTGTGAGTCCCCGATGGCAGGGCTTCTCTCTCCTCTGCTCCCCCACAGCACCTGCACCCAGCATGAGCTCCCGGGAGCCCTCGCACGCCAACATCTCCATGAGTCCCCTTGACCTCAGCACCCGGGCTTCCTAGTCTCTGCTGCTGGTGTGTGTGGGGAAGCCTGAGATCTTCGTAGCGATACACTACTATACACCAAACACAAAGCTGGTGCCATTGGCACGACCTAGAAACAGCCATGTTCCTCATCCCCCAGAGCGCACCACGGTCACTCAGTACAGCACGTGTGCGCTGCTTACTGCCCTGTGCCTGCTGCTGCCTGTGCTGCAGGAAACAGCCCAGAGTCGAAGGATGGTCACCAGCCACCCGGAAGACAGTCCTGCTCTGGCACGCAAACACGGAGCATCGCAACCGGCCGGCCTCGGCTTTCCAAGAACTCAGACTGTCACTCCCGCCTTCACATTCCAGACCCCAACAGCAGCTGAGCCCGCACTTCTGAGCGCGTGGCTGGGTAGAGCTCCAGAAACTGAGACAATCACAGACATGGCAGGTGCGTCAGGGCTATGACCAGCTCTCAGGACTGGCAGCATCACCTTGTGGGATTCCCCACCATCCTATGAAATCGGCACTAATCCCGTAGAGGCCACCAGGAAGCTGGGGCCACATGGCAGGTGAGGGGGTATGTCAGGTCACCTGTGCAGGGGCAGACCCCATCTCGGCCACACTGGGGCCCTCCCCTGGCAGGAAGGGCAGGGCCAGACAGGGAGAGAAGGGTACTCAGAGGGCACTTCGAGCCAGAAGCAGAAACATCTACCCAGGAGATCTTTGCCAAGACAGACCAGAAGCTGTGGAGACCAACGGACAGGAGGGGGAGGCAGTGAGGCCACAGAGACTGCAGGCCTGCTATGTGCACCCTGGAAGCGGAGTCCTGCAGCCCTCGCCCATGTTCCCCATCCTGGGGGCTCCCTGCTGCCCTCGCACTGTGACACCGATGAAGGTCAGGAGCATGCGGGCACAGTGCCTGCAGGGACAGGGCTGCAGCGAGAGATGACTCACCTCGCTGTCCTGCGTGATCTGGACTTGCTCCCCCTGCGGCACCTTGGCGATGTGGAGGTGTCCCTGTGGGATCCGCAGCAAGAAAAGACACCAAGAAGCATCAGAAGAAAATAAAAAGCAAAGGAAACAAGAAACATCTTCCGGAATGTTTGTTCTTGATTATCTGTTTACAATTCAAAAAGATAACTAAATCCTGAATAGTGCAATATAGTCTGTGGTCACCTCTTTAAATTAAGCTTTTGGTTCACAGTAGTCCCCCTCATCCATGAGGGTTTCAAGAAGCGCCCCCTCCCCCCACCACGTGGACGTCAGAAACCGTGGATGGTGCGGAACCCCGTATATGCTATGCTTTTTCCTGCCCATACGTGCCACACAGCTTGGACATGCTGGACAAAGGAATGACTCACGTCCCAGGCTGGACACAGCAGGACGATCAGACTTCATCATGCTACTACCCAGAAGAGTATGCAATCTGAAACTTACAAATTGTTTATTTCTGGAGTTTCTCATCTAATATTTTCAGATCACAGTTGACTATGGGTAATTAAAACCTAGGAAAGTGGAAGCATGGGTAAGGGGGGGTACTGTGTAACACAGAACATGTTCCAGTACTTCACAAAGGAGCAATAGGTCCCAGGAAAGATATATACATCTTTAAATGTTACTAAACAAGTAAATTTTAAAATGTGCATGACACACAGAAAAGAGGGGAAATAGAAAATCACAATGACACCTCTTTTCAAATGATACGTTCAGCTCTCTGGGGATGCTGGGAGGCTACGCAAGCAGTGTATGGCTGAAGCAGGGGAGCTGTTTGCGTGCCTACACTCACAACAGGGCAGGCAACATTTTTCAAATCAAAGAAACACTCATATGACTATTTAAACAGTTTGAGGAAACACTAACAAATGTGATTCAAAAAAAATCAAAGAATCCACTGTTTATACATATGGGCAGACAAATATTTCCTATAAACCTGTAAATGAAATGAATACTTATCTTATTTGAAATTCTCTCTTAGTCGAAATGGATCTTAAACTCCTGTAGAATGTTCTATGTAAGCCTTATGACAAAGTTATCTACTCTGGAACGCTTTCAAAGAACTTCTTACTAACAAGATGAGAGGAACTGCCATTGTGAATGTCAAATAAATTAATAAGCTTATTAAATAAGATTCACTATTCATAACTGTCTCATCTCCTTTGGAAGAGGAAGGGTAATGCCCCCTCTAAAAGCCCCAGAATTTTCTGGAAGCCTTCCCTCTTCCAGACAGCACGCTGAAGCCACACTGAGATGAGAGCCACGACCCACTCTCAACAGTGGAGGACCTTGTTTCCAGGAGAAAGCCCTGGTAACACGGAGGCACACGATGACCTGTCTTCAGAGGGCCCAAGGGGGCTGGTGCCACTAAAAACATAGGCGATGTCTAGTGGTGCATGTAAAATTTCTAGTCACTCAGCAAAGCTTCCAGAAAAGTCTTCTTCTCAGCCGCCCCCTACTCTCGTGCCACAGAATCCAGGAGGTGTTTGTAGAGGGACTTCACCCGGGAGCGAGCCCCTAGGCGCATCAGACTGACCACAGCTTGGGTCACAAAACCCCAACAGAGAACTCCGCATGGGCAAGGCAGGACATTGACTTGCTGCTGGGACAGTGCCCGCCCAACCTGGGTGTGCTGAGTAACTCCAAGGGAAACGCTGCATGGGAACAATGACCTCAAGCTTTTGCCACTGATCCTAGAAGGAAATTACTCTTTCCCTCAGTAAGAGGACGCCTGCACTTCTGAGCTGAGAAATATTTCCGATGCTTCCCAGGAGCACGAGCTGGGGCAGGGACCACTGCACAGCCTGACCCTTGGAGCTGACTGCCCGCCTGCCTGCTGGCAGGACTGAGGTGAGCTGACTGAACGCCCCACCCCACCATGTGCTTCAATCCCTAGGCTCTGCAGCAGCCGCCCCCACCTGTGAAATGTTAAGAGCTCATGGCCATGATGACCTCTACTTTAAATGGGAACCTTGTGCCTCCTCCCAAGCTATCACTGTGCTCCCGAAACACAGCGGAACTGGTGGAAGCCGCCAGGGCCCTGCCGTGGCCCACCCCGCAGCCCCCTTTCCCAAGGTGCGAGGTGGAGAGGGTACGTACTACTTGCACCTGTCCGTCTTCTCCGATCTGGTGGATCTGCACCTGCTGCACGTTGGCCAGCGCGTAGTGCAGGGCCTGCGGCTGCGGCTGTGGCTGCAGGAGCTCTCTGGCAGGAGGTGGGGTGCTCATCATCGGCTCTGTGGGGGCAACAGGTGTGAACGGGGTGAACGAGAAGTTTCTTAGGCATTGCCTTGTGCAGCATGTGTGCACCCCCGTCCCTCACTCTCGACTCCCACAGCAGAGAAGAGGAAATGCTTCATTTTTCCTCGGCTCACTGCATCTCCACTCTTCTGCAGAGATCACTACGAGTGAGTCTTAGGAACTGAGGTTTCCGACATGGAATGCAGAAGGGCCTGAGAGTGGCGTGATGCTGCTATGACAAAACCCCTTTTAGTCCCAACTTATTTAAATGAATGAAGTTCTTAAAGTGGACATTAAAAGCTGTTTCAGGCTGGCAATATTTGTCCATGGGTAATTAAACTAATAGAGCAAAAGTCTCATCCACGCACTTAAAGATACATTTCCAACAAATTTTACTTGCTGTGTTTAATCAAAATGAGATACATTTGCTTTGATGTACTGTGTATTAATTTTCACTGTAATGATGTCTCAATCATAATTTTCTTAAACTCTTAGAATATTAAGAGCACAGAAAAACTTTAATTTTCATTGTATACACGTAGTTTTGTTGCAGAGAATTATAATGACTAATTTTAAAAAGCTTTTAAGCATAAAAATGTAGTCTGGGCACGGTGGCTCACACCTGTAATCCCAGCACTTTGTGAGGCCAAGGCAGCCAGATCACCTGAGGTCACGAGTTCAAGACCAGCCTGGCCAACATGGTGAAACCCCATCTCTATTAAAAATACAAAAATTAGACAGGTGTGGTGGTGGGGGTCTGTAATCCCAGGCACTCAGGAGGCTGAGGCAGGAGAATCACTTAAACCTGGGAGGCGGAGGTTGTAATGAGTCAAAATGGCACCACTACACTCCAGCCTGGGCAACAGAGCAAGACTCCATCTCGAGGGGACAGGGGAGGGAAGCAGAAAGATGAAATTCTGTGAGAGAAGTAGAATGTTGATATGAATGAAAGGAGAAAAATGAAAGACATAAAATTTCTGATTATTAAAGAGAAGCGGGCCAGGCGTGGTGGCTCACGCTTGTAATCCCAGTACTTTGGGAGGCCAAGGCAGGCAAGATCACTTCAGGTCAGGAGTGCGAGACCAGCTTGACCAACATGGTGAACCCTGTCTCTACTAAAAATACAAAAATTAGCCAGGTGTGGCGGCACGCATCTGTAGTCCCAACTACTTGGGAGGCTGAAGTAGGAGAATCACTTGAACCTGGGAGTAGGCGATTACAGTGAGCTGAGATGGCACCATGGCACTTAGCTCCAGGCAACAGAGTGAGCGGGGGAAGGGACGGGGAGGGGCAAGAGAGGGGAGGGCAAGAGAGAGGAAGGAAGGAGGGGGGAGGGGAGGAGGGAGGGGAGGGGGAGGGGCGGAGAGGGGGAGGGGGAGGGGCGGAGAGGGGGAAGGGGAGGGGCGGAGAGGGGAAGGGGAGAGAAAAGCTTTCCATGTATTTTTTACCAATAGCTAATGGTAGGTATTAAATTGCCATAGTACATAGATTCCACTGAATACATTTTTTAAAGTAACAATAAAATGTTGGTTTTTTTTTTTTTTTTGAGACAGAGTCTTGCTCTGTCACCCAGGCTGGAGTGTAGTGGTGTGACCTTGGCTCACTGCAACTTCCGCCTCTCAAGTTCAAGCGATTCTCCTGCCTCAGCCTTCCAAGTAGCTGGGATTACAGGCACCCACCATCATGCTGGGCTAATTTTTTTTTTGTATTTTTTTGTAGAGAAGGGATTTCACCAGGTTGGCCAGGCTGGTTTTGAACTCCTGACCTCAAATGATCCGCCTGCCTTGGCCTCCCAAAATGCTGGGATTATAGGTGTAAGCCACTGTGCCCAGCCACATAACAGAATGTTGATACTTGCAATATGCTAGAAATTGCCTAGCTACACTAAATCAGAATCTCAAATTCATGAGATTCAAAGGAGATTCAACATGCCCACCTGCATGCTGCATGTGGAGAGCTTGGCTCCAGCCAAAGACCCTGACTCCACCTGAGCACCTCCAGTGATGGGTCATGTCCCAAAGCAACCACCGCCAGGCAGTGCTGCGTGCTCCACGGCGGTTTCCTGTCCGCCTGAGCAGTTACAGAGCACTCACCACCACAGGTCCTCGAGCAAGCCTTGTGCACCCCAGGAAGAAAATGACAAAATCCCAGCTGGGCTGAAGCCCACCTCCGCGGAGCTGCTGTTCCTCCACTGACCCTCTTAGCACCTACAAAACCAGCCTAATTCTTCACTTATGTGCTGCTTCTCCAGGCATCTAACCATTATCAAACCTTGTGAAATCTCAATTTCTAACCGTTTCCCCAAAGACAACAGTTTCCAGCCCACTGCCACCATGACAGTCTGTCCCTGGACAGCTCCTCCCAGCAGCTCCAAAACGCTCCACTGGGGCCACAGGGTAGACAAGCTAAGAATGGGTGTGCTCCAGAGTGCACCTTCCAACCACAAGGGCTCCGAGGAAGCTCCTGCACACCAGCGCAGCCAGCAAAACACTCGGCTTCACACAATGTTACACCACCGTCTACTACTGTGCAAATGTTCTGAGTCTACATTTCCAGCTATGAAATTTCAGCTCATTAAATTTACCCTTTCAAGATTCTGGTATCCTAATGACGCAGGCCAACATATCTGGCAGTCGTCAGGTTATATAACAGCAGCTTCTTGCTCACTAAGGTCCTGGCAAGTCATTTAACTTGGGTTTTGATTCCCCATTGGATGAAGCAGACCGCTAACCTTACCAAATGCACGTACCCGAAACACATGGAAGGCAAGCCTGGCAGCAACTCTCCTCGCTCTTCGAGTCTAGGAGTTCCATACGGTTCTTTTTTATGTCTTCTATTTCTCTCCTTGCTATGTTCCTTTTTTCCTTTAAATTCCTGAATGTAATTTTAATAGATTTCAATGTCCTGGTCAGTTAATTCCAGACAGGGTCCCTTCCTATTTACTGATTTTCTGATCATAGGTCACAATCTCCTGCTTCCTGGTACTCTGGACTAGATACCGGAGATTGTGAATTTTACTTTGTTGGGTGTCTAGGTTTTGCTGTCTTTCTTTTAAAAGTGTTGTTACTTGTGATTTAATGTGATCTTTCTCAGGCTCTCTTAAGCTCTGCCTTTATTCTAGGGACAGTTTAGCCTGCCAGTAGGCATGGCCAGCTAGTGCAGTGACTGATCACTGAGGACTCTGGCTAGTGGGAATCCAACCACCACCCAGCCTGGGGTGAGCTTAGGAGCCATTGAGCTCATGCCTGCCTTGGAATCCCCCAAACACCCAAGAAGGTCCCCGTGTAACCCTCTGCTCTTAAGAACTTGATTCCACAACTTTCTGCTGCCTCAGCCTCTCTCAACTCCAACCCATCTCCTCCATGCAGTGATGTAGCTATCTCTGCCTGGCATCTCCCTGTCCCCTCCTCTCATGTTCCTTCTCTCAGGATCACGGTCCTGTGCTGTTGCTTGTCTAATGTCTTAGGACAGCCGATTCACAGATTTTTGTCCAGATTTCAATGGCAAGAGAATTCAATCTGGTTCCTGCTACTGTGCCTGACAGAAATTGTGCCTGACAGAAATCTCCTCTCCTTGACTTTTTTTTTTTTTTTTTTTTTTTTTTTTGAGACAGAGTCTTGCTCTGTAGCCCAGGCTGGAGTGCAGTGGCGTGATCTAGGCTCACTGTAAGCTCCGCCTCCCAGGTTCACGCCATTCTCCTGCCTCAGCCCCCCGAGTAGCTGGGACTACAGGCGCCCGCCATCACGCCCGGCTAATTTTTTTGACATTTTTAGTAGAGATGGGGTTTTACCGTGTTAGCCAGGATGGTCTCGATCTCCTGACCTCTTGATCTGCCCACCTTGGCCTCCCAAAGTGCTGGGATTACACATGTGAGCCACAGCACCCGGCTTTTTTTTTTTTTTTTTTTTTTTTTTTGAGATATAGTCTCGCTCTGTCACCCAGGCTACAGTGCGGTGGCATAATCTCAGCTCACTGCAACCTCTACCTCCTGGATTCAAGCAATTCTCCTGCCTCAGCCTCCCAAGTAGCTGGGATTAGAGGCATGTGCCACCACACCTGGCTAAGTTTTGTATTTTTAGTAGAGACGGGGTTTCACCATGTTGTCCAGGCTGATCTCGAACTGCTGACCTCAGGTGATCAGTTTGCCTCAGCCTCCCAAAGTGCTGGGATTACAGGCATGAGCCACCACGCCTGGGCTCCCTGACTTTTAAACAACATTTTTTACAACTATAAAATTAATGCAGTGCTTATTGGAAATAACTGAGAAACTACAATAAAAGACAAAGGGAAAAATAAAAATTATCCTACTACCTAGAGATAGGCACTGTAAAAATGATCACACATAAATTTTTAATCAACTTCCACATATACCTATATATTTGCAATAAAAATGGTATCATGCCATAAGTATAGTCCTCACATCGCTCTCTGCTGCCCAGCTATGAATATTCAAGAGCAGAAGTCAAGTCATGAGCAATATTCCTACAGCCACATTTCAATAGCCACAGGTTACGCTGCTACATGGTATTTCAGTGAATGCCCCTAACCCACACCCTAGGACTGCTACCTCTCTCAAGTCCCAAGGCAGAATTCCTCATTGTAGTAGAAAGGCCACTGTACTCCAGCCTCAGCAACATAGCAAGACTCTGTCTCAAAAAAAAAAAAAAAAAAAAAAAAATTAGGAGATATTAGAAATTGCCAGATTAGCAAAAGCTAAGAAAATTTGCTAATACACCTGCCCTATAATATAGTTCTTTCAGCTGAATGAAAGGACATTAGATGGTAACATGAAGTCACATGAAAAAATAAAGAGCTCCAGTGAAGGTAACTACATAGGCAGATATAAAAGCCAGTGTTATGATAATGGTTTCTTTTTCCTTCTATATGATTTAAAAGATAAATGCATAAAATAATGATAAACATGTTAATAGGCACACAATATAAAGATGTAATTTGCAAAAATACCAACACAAAGAGGGGCTGAAGCTTGACAGAAGAGCTTTTGTATAGTATTAAAGCTAAATTGTTATTAACCCAAATTAAATTGTTTAAGATACTAATTGTAAAATCCAAATTATCCCCTCAGAGAAGAACTAGAAAATATACAGAAAAGGAAATTAGATGGGACTCAAAATGGAAGCTATGAGAGAAAAAAGATATGACATATATAAAACAAATACCAAAACGGCAGATGTCAGTTCTGTATTTTTTTTTTTTTTTTTGAGATGGAGTCTCGCTCTGTCACCCAGGTTGGAATGCAGTGGCACGATCTTGGCTCACTGCAACCTCTGCCTCCCAGGTTCAAGCAGTTCTTCTGCCTCAGCCTCCTGAATAGCTGGGATTTCAGGCACGTATCACCACGCCCAGCTAATTTTTGTATTTTTAGTAAAGACAGGGTTTCACCATGTTGGTCAGGCTGGTCTCGAACTCCTGACCTTGTGATGTGTCTGCCTCAGCCTCCCAAACTGCTGGGATTACAGGTGTGAGCCACCACGCCCGGCCAATGTTCTGTATTATTATCTTCAATAAAAGGCAAGGGTGGCAGAATGGATTTTTTAAAAATGATTCAAATATACAAACTGGTTGAAAGTGAAAGGATGGAAAAAGATACTCCATGAAAATAACAAAAAGAGATCAGGGTGGTTATATGAATATCAGACAAAATAGACTTTAAGTAAAAATATTGTCAGAAAATTTCAATAACTATAAAAAATCAGAATGCGCTAACAGTTACAGAAGAGGAGACACACATGACTCATATTAGTAACACACAGCTTCATTAACAATTGGGAAATGTAGATTTAAATTGCTATGCGATAACATTTCATATCCCTAATTTGGCACAATTAAAAGCTTGGCAATTCTAAATATTGGCAAGAATATGGAGCATGAGGAATTCTCATCTCCTTCTAGTGAGGCTGTAAATTCATAAAACACTTTGCATGTGAGCCCTCAATGGGAAAAGAAATGATTTTTCTTGGTCTTTGTATATTAGACATGGTACAAGTTCAGATATCCACATTTTTCTTTTTTTTTTTTTTGAGACGGACTCTTACTCTGTTGCCCAGGCTGGAGTGCAGTGGCACGATCTCGGGTCACTGCAACCTCCACCTCCCAGGTTCAGGTGACTCTCCTGCCTCAGCCTCCTGAGTAACTGGGATTACAGGTGCCCACCACCACACATGGCTAATTTTTGTATTTTCAATAGAGACGGAGTTTCACCATGCTGGCCAGGTTGGTATCGAAGTCCTGACCTCAAGTGATCCACCCACCTCAGCCTCCCAAAGTGCTGGGATTACAAGTGTGAGCCACCATGCCCAGTCACAGATATCCAAAAATGTTAACAAATGAATGAATGTATAGCTGCATCCACTGACTTGACTTCCTATTCATTCCCATCTTCAAATCCTTCACAAACCTACCTTGATTGAAGCATAGCATTTCCAGGCCTATCTCAACCTGCAATATCTTTTTTTTTTTTTTTTTTTTTTGATGTTGTCTCGCTCTGTCCCCCAGGCTGGAGTGCAGTGGCGTGATCTCGGCTCACTGCAAGCTCCGCCTCCCGGGTTCACGCCATTCTCCTGCCTCAGCCTCCCGAGTAGCTGGGACTACAGGCGCCCGCCACCATGCCTGGCTAATTTTTTTTGTATTTTTAGTAGAGACGAGGTTTCACCATGTTAGCCAGGATGGTCTCGATTTCCTGACCTCGTGATCTGCCCGCCTCGGCCTCCCAAAGTGCTGGGATTACAGGCATGAGCCACCGCGCCCGGCCTCGACCTGGAATATCTTAATCCATTTTTTTTTTTTAAATGTGTACACTATGCTTTGTTAATTTTCATTGTTCTCTGCATGTCTTCTTATGGTGGTTCATTTTATGTGCCAACTTGACTCTCCATGGAGTATACAGATTAAACATTATTTCTGGGTGTGTCTGTGAGGAGGTTGCCAAATGAGATAAGCATTTGAATCAGTGGACTCAGTAAAGCAGATGGTCCTCCCCAATGTGGGCAGGCATCATCCAATCTGTTGAGGGCCTGAAAAGAACAAAAGGGTGGAGGAAGGGGGAATTTGCTCTCATTTCTTCCTTGTTGCCTTCTTGACTGGGACATTAGTCTGTTCCAGCCTTTGAACTGGGATTTACACCACCACCTCCCCTGGTTCTCAGGCCTTCAGAGTCAGACTGGAATTATACCACTGGTTTTCCTGGGTCCCCAGTTGTACTCTGCAAATCATGTGACCCTGACTAATGTATTTTATAAACTACTTTTTGTGCATATAATATTCATGTCCCCAAGGTCAATATTAGCTCTGTGGGGCAGACAGTATATTTCAGATACATAGGCTGGGCACGGTGGCTCATGCCTGTAATCCCAGCACTTTGTGGGGCTGAGACAGGTGGATCACCTGAGGTCAGGAGTTCAAGACCAGCCTGGCCAACATGGTGAAACCCCGTCTCTACTAAAAATACAAAAATTAGCCGGGCATGGTGCCAGGCGCCTGTAGTCCCAGCTACTCGGGAGGATGAGGCAGGAGAATCGCTTGAACCCGGGAGGTGGAGGTGGCAGTGAGCCGAGATTGAGCCACTGCACTCCAGCCTGGGCCACAGAGTGAGACTCTGTCTCAAAACAAACAAACAAAACAGAAAAGAAAGCAAAACAAAAACACACAAATACACAGAAGACACACAATGAGGATCTATTAATTAAGTGCAAGAACCCTTTCTTTCATTGAAGTAGCACTGCCATTTTCTTTCTCTTCACATATATCACTCTCATCATCAGATACTAGCATACATCAGTCCCTCCAATGGAATATACAGAAGCCATCTCCATCTCAACCCTTCCTGCTGGAAGGGTTGGACAAATACCATACATGAAGTAGCAGCTAAAGGTTAGAAAGAACACACAGACATGATCTTATTTTGGTTTTTGTCTTTTTTCACATGTATCCTGTGCTACATTAATTGTCATTGCTCTCTTCATTCCCTTCCAAATCATTTCACGTGTACATGATATTTGTCTTTTCGGTTAGAGTGTGTAAACAGAGGCTGTAGATGAGTTGGCAGCTAAAGTGTAGTTACTGAGAATATTTCACCACTGGAATCTCAGACTCACCTCTACTGAAGAAAGTGCTAACCATAAAGCTGAAGCATATTGTGGCGATGGCATAAAACAGCAAAAAGATAAAGATAAGCGTTGGGTCACTGCTTTGGATGACTGGTGCAGGTTCAACCTAGCAAAACAATTAGGAAACCAGTTTAGTCATGCTGTAAGCGGTATCACACCAAAACCAAAGAGGAAAAATGAAACATCCATAAGTGTTTTAATAGTCTTAGTGAAACTGATGACTCTGCTTAGTGAGATGGAGAGTTAACAATTTATTTCCTACAGATGGCCCATCCCTCTAGGTCTAAAGTTTTGTTTGCTGAGAGACTAAGCAGTCTCTGAGTTTCCACTGTGAAGTCAACAAAAGCCACATTTCATCCCCTAGAAACCCGAGGCCCATCTGGCCCCACACCATGTTTCTACTTTCCCTCTCAAAGTTTATCCACAACATGCTGCAGCCAAATAGACACTTGCCTTGACAAAGAAAATTATGCACATAAAAATGATGATAATAAAATACAAAGAGAGGAACGTGAAGAAATAGGCTGCCCAGAGCATCCAATTACTGACTCCTATCATGAGCTGGTACTCCTGTGGGAGAGTTGACAGAAATCGAATATCATGTAAAATAATACATCCATACAGTGCCTTAGAGTTTTCAGAATACATTCACAAATATTATCTAGTTTAACGTCTACAATTAAAATGGGTTAAATAATGAGTATTATCATCTCCATTAATCTATCCATAAAGGATAGAATCAGGGCTCAGAAAGTCAAGAAGCTTCATCAAAATGAGTCAGCTAGTGAGTGGCAGTACTGTGATTCTTAAAAGCCCAGAGATCATCTCCCCAGTAATTCACCTTATATTGTTAAGACATGAAAAACACTTAAATGAAGCTATAAACCACTTATATTAACATCTCTTTTCTTTTTATGTACTCACCCAGAAGGTATTTAAAAAATTTAAATACATTTTAATTCACTCACAATGGTTAGAAACAAACATTAAAAATAAGATAAAAAGGAAGAAAAAGCTCACAAAATTTTAGCAATAATCTTTATGAACTATCCATTTTCTTTAGAGGTAGTTGTTTATAGATATATGTGGTATTTCAAGTTTTAACAAAAAAACTTGAATATAATGTATAAGTCTGATAAAAGATTCAAATAAGTGATATAAGTTTTCAGAGGCTATTTTAAATATTTTTACTGAGTTTTATTGATATGTCAATATTAAATTCTATGGCTTTAGTCTGTATAAGGGCAGATATCTGTATCTGCCTGGCACATAGAAGGTGTTTAATAAATGTTTGCTGAATAAATGAATGAATGAATGTGAGAATCTTTGGAAATGCATATTTTTCAAAGTTTTAAAAAATGAATACAGGACCATGTTATTACTTATAGGGGACAAAAATAGAGAGATAAAGTGTCTCTTTTAAGTTTTCTAGGGATCAGTGCTAGAACCAGACTTAACAAACAATTTTTCAATTTGTTCAATTTTAATTGAACAATTAAAATGACAAAGTATATTTAACAAAAGAAGTGCAAGAGTTCTACACAGAAAACTATAAGAAAGAAATGGAAAGAAATTAAATCATAGTAAATGGAAAGATGCCTCACTTACATGATCAGAAGACTCCATATTGTTAAGATGGTAATACCCCTCAATTTGTCCTACAGATTGAATACGATTCCTTTCAAAATCTCTGTGGTTATTTTACATAGATTGACAAGCATATCTTTTTTCTTTTCTTTTTTTTTTTTTTTTTTGAGACACAGTCTTGCTGTCACCTAGGCTGGAGTGCAGTGGTGCAATCTCGGCTCACTGCAACCTCCGCCTCCTGGGTTCAAGATCAATAAGGAAACAGAGAGAGCCCATTTAACCTAACATACACAGAGCATGCCACCCAACAAAAACAGAACACAGATTTTTCTCAAGTGTGCACAGAACATATCCAGGGTAAACCATGTTACTCCACAAAACAAATTTTATTACATTTAAAAAGACTGAAATCATACAAAGTATATTTTCTTATCACAAAGGAATAAAACTAGAAAACAATAGCAAAAGGAAAACTGGAAAATACATAAATATGTGGAAATTAAGCAAAACACTCTTAACCAACCAAAAGATAAATGAAGAAATCAGAAGAAAATGTAGCAACTGCCTTGAGACAAATAAAAACAAAACCACAACATACTAAAACTTGTGAGATGCAGTGAAAGCAGTACTCAGAGGGAAATTTATAGCTGTAAATACCTACGTTAAAGAAAAATAAAAATTTCAAATAAATAACCTAACTTTACACCTTAAGGAATTAGACAAGTAAAGTATACATAAATTTAGCAGAAAAAAGGAATTGAGATAAATAGAGAATAGGTAAATAATAGAGAAATTCAACAAAACCAAAACTTAATAATTTGAAAAGATCAACAAATTGACAAACTTTTAGCCGGACTAAGAAAAATTGAGAAGACTCAAATAACTAAAACCAGAAATGAAAGTGAGAGCATTACTTATGATTTTACAGAAATAAAAAGGATGATCTCAGAGTACTATGAACAACTGCATGCCAAAATATTGAATAACATAGATGAAACGAATGAATTTGTAGGAACATACAACTACCAAGCCTGAGTCATGGAGAAATACAAAATCTGAACTGACTTATAACTAGTAAGGACATAAAATCAGTAATCAAACCACTCAGCAAAGAACAATCCTGCACCAGAGGGCTTTACCAGTGAATTCTACCAAATATTTAAAGAAGAATAAACAATAATCCTTTTCAAACTCTTCCAGAAAACTGAAATGGAGGTAACACTTTCTAACTCATTTTATGAGACCAGGATTACCCTGATAGCAAAGCCAGGCAAAAACATGACAAGGAAAGATTATGAATATTGATGAAAAGTTCCTCAACAGAAATATTAGCAACTAAAATTCACCAGCATTTTAAAAGGGTTATATATCATGACCAAGGAGGATTTACTCCTTGAGTACAAAGAGGATTCAACAAACAAAATCAATTAATTTAATGCACCACATGCAGAGAAGAATGGAAAAAACACATAATCATCTCAATCAATGCAGAAAAATATTAACTTTTTTAAATGATAAAATACTCAATACACTAGAAATAGAAGGACATTTCCTCAACATAATAAAGGCCATATATAAAAATCTGCAGCTGACATCATAGTCTTTCACCAATGATCAGGAGAAAGACAAATATGCCTGCTTTTTCCATGGGCTAGAAATTTAAGTTCTAGCCAGAAAAATTAGGCAAGAAAAATAAAAGCCATTCAAATTGGAAAGAAAGAAGTAAAAACATCTCTGTAGATGACACGATCTTAGTCATACTTACACACAAAAAATAAATTCAGCAAAATTGTAGGATACAAAATCAACACACAAAAATTATTTGCATTTCTATATACTAACAACAGACAATCCAAAATGAAAATTAAGAAAACAATCTTATTTACAATAGCATGGAAACGAATACAATACTTAGGAATAAACAACAATGGAGACGAAAGATTTGCACAAGAAAAACCACAAAATATTGCTGAAAGAAACGAAGGCAAATATACATTAAAAACATCTCATGTGTTTTAAAATGTAGATTTTATCATTACTCAAGTATACTGAAGCCAACAGATCAGGAGACAATTGCCATTGAAAAAACAGAAATAATGATCCATTACTGGGTATATAGCCAAAGGATTATAAATCCTTCTACTATAAAGACACATGCACACGTATGTTTATTGAGGCACTGTTCACAATAGTGAAGACTTGGAACCAATGCAAATGTCCATCAAGGATAGACTGGATAAAGAAAATGTGGCAGGTGGATCATTCCAAGATGGCCAAATAGGAACAGCTCCGGTCTACAGCTCCCAGCATGATCAATGCGGAAGACGGGTGATTTCTGAATTTCCAACTGAGGTACTTGGTTTATCTCACTGGGACTGGTTGGACAGTGGGTGCAGCTCACGGAGTGTGAGCCAAAGCAGGGCAGGGCATCACGTCACCTGGGAAGCGCAAGGGGTTGGGGGATTTCCCTTTCCTAGCCAAGGGAAGCCGTGACAGATGGACAGACGGTACCTGGAATATCGGGACACTCCCGCCATAACACTGTGCTTTTCCAACAGTCTTAGCAAACGGCACACCAGGAGATTATATCCCACACATGGCTCAGTAGGTCCCATGCCCACGGAGCATTGCTCACTGCTAGCACAGCAGTCCGAGATCAAACTGTGAGGTGGCAGCCAAGCTGCAGGAGGGGTGTCTGCCATTGCTGAGGCTTGACCAGGTAAACAAAGTGGCTGGGAAGTTTGAACTGGGTGGAGCCCACCACAGCTCGAGGCCTGCCTGCCTCTGTAGACTCCACCTCTGGGGGCAAGGCTTAGCTGAACAAAAGGCAGTAGAAACTTCTGCAGACTTAAATGTCCCTGTCTGACAGCTCTGAAGAGAGCAGTGGTTCTCCCAGCATGGAGTTTGAGCTCTAAAAATGGACAGACTGCCTCCTCAAGTGGGTCTCTGACCTCCTCAGTAGCCTAACTGGGAGACATCTCCCAGTAGGGGCCTACAGACACCTCATATAGCAGGGTGCCCCTCTGAGATGAAGCTTCCAGAGGAAGGATCAGGCAGCAATATTTGCTGTTCTGCAATATTTGCTGTTCTGCAGCCTCCGCTGGTGACACGCAGGCAAACAGGGTCTGGAGAGGACCTCCAGCAAACTCCAACAGACCTGCAGCTGAGGGTCCTAACTGTTAGAAGGAAAACTAACAAACAGAAAGGAATAGCATCAACATCAACAAAAAGGACATCCACACCAAAACCCCATCTGTATGTCACCATCATCAAAGACCAAAGGTAGATAAAACCACAAAGATGGGGAGAAACCAGAGCAGAAAAGCTGAAAATTCTAAAAATCAGAGTGACTCTTCTCCTCCAAAGGACTGTAGCTCCTCGCCAGCAACGGAACAAAGCTGGACGGAGAATGACTTTGACGAGATGACAGAAGTAGGCTTCAAAAACTTGGTAATAACAAACTTCTCCGAGCTAAAGGAGGACATTCGAACCCATCGCAAGGAAGCTAAAAACCTTGAAAAAAGATTAGATGAATGGCTAACTAGAATAAACAGTGTAGAGACCTTAAATGACCTGATGGAGCTGAAAACCATGGCACGAGAACTACGTGACACATGCACAAGCTTCAGTAGCTGAATTCGTTCAAGTGGAAGAAAGGGTATCAGTGATTGAGTATCGAATGAAATGAAGCAAGAAGAGAACTTTACAGAAAAAAGAGTAAAAAGAAACAAACAAAGCCTCCAAGAAATATGGGACTATGTGAAAAGAGCAAATCTACGTTTGATTGGTGTATCTGAAAGTGATGGGGAGAATGGCACCAAGTTGGAAAACACTCTTCAGGATGTTATCCAGGAGAACTTCCCCAACCTAGCAAGGCAGGCCAACATTCAAATTCAGGAAATACAGAGAACACCAAAAGATACTCCTTGAGAAGAGCAACCCCAAGACACATAATTATCAGATTCACCAAGGTTGAAATGAAGGAAAGAATGTTAAGGGCAGCCAGAAACAAAGGTCAGGTTGCCCACAAAGGGAAGCCCATCAGACTAATAGCAAAACTCTCCGCAGAAACTCTCTCTATAAGCCAGAAGAGAGTGGGGGCCAATATTCAACATTCTTAAAGAAAAGAATTTTCAACCAAGAATTTAATATCTAGCCAAACTAAGCTTCATAAGTGAAGGAGAAATAAAATCCTTTATTGACAAGCAAATGCTGAGAGATTTTGTCACCACCAGGCCTGCCTTACAAGAGCTCCTGAAGGAAGCACTAAACATGGAAGGGAACAACCAGTACCAGCGACTGCAAAAACATGCCAAATTATAAAGACCATCAGTGCTAGGAAAAAACTGCATCAACTAACGAGCAAAATAACATCATAATGACAGGATCAAATTCACACACAATATTAACCTTAAATGTAAATGGGCTAAATGTCCCAATTAAAAGACACAGACTGGCAAATTGGATAAACAGTCAAGACCCATCAGTATGCTGTATTCAGGAGACCCATCTCATGTGCAGAGACACACATAGGCTCAAAATAAAGGGATGGAGGAAGATCTACCAAGAAAATGGAAAACAAAAAAAGGCAGGGGTTGCAATCCTAGTCTCTGAAAAAACAGACTTTAAACCAACAAAGATCACAAGAGACAAAGAAGGCCATTACATAATGGTAAAGG
Organism: Homo sapiens; assembly: GCF_000001405.40. Classification (NCBI taxonomy): domain Eukaryota; kingdom Metazoa; phylum Chordata; class Mammalia; order Primates; family Hominidae; genus Homo; species Homo sapiens. The sequence goes on along the minus strand of NW_017852933.1, from coordinate 156,439 downwards.
GATCAATTCAACAAGAAGAGCTAACTATCCTAAATATATATGCACCCAATACAGGAGCACCTAGATTCATAGAGCAAGTCCTTAGGGACCTACAAAGAAACTTAGACTCCCACACAATAATAATGAGAGACTTTAACAACCCACTGTCAATATTAGACAGATTAACAAGACAGAAGGTTAACAAGGATATCCAGGACTTGAACTCAGCTCTGCACCAAGCAGACCTAATAGACATCTACAGAACTCTCCACCCCAAATCAACAGATTATACATCCTTCTTAGCACCACATTGTACTTATTACAAAATTGACCACATAATTGGAAGTAAAGCACTCCTCAGCAAATGTAAAAGAATAGAAATCACAACAAACTGTCTCTCAGACCACAGGGCAATCACATTAGAACTCAGGATTAAGAAACTCACTAAAAACTGCAAACTACGTGGAAACTGAACAAGCTGCTCCTGAGTGACTACTGGGTACATAACAAAATGAAGGCAGAAATAAAGATGTTCTTTGAAACCAATGAGAATGAAGACACACATACCAGAATCTCTGGGACACATTTAAAGCAGTGTGTAGAGGGAAATTTATAGCACTAAATGCCCACAAGAGAACGCAGGAAAGATCTAAAATTGACACCCTAACATCACAATTAAAAGAACTAGACAAGCAAGAGCAAACACATTCAAAAGCTAGCAGAAGGCAAGAAATAACTAAGATCAGAGCAGAACTGAAGGAGATAGAGACACAAAAAACCTTTCAAAAAATCAATGAATCCAGGAGCTGGTTTTTTGAAAAGATCAACAAAATTGATAGACCACTAGCAAGACTAATAAAGAAGAAAAGAGAGAAGAATCAAATAGACACAATAAAAAATGATAAAGGGGATATCACCACTAATCCCACAGAAATACAAACTACCATCAGAGAATACTATAAACACCTCTATGCAAATAAACTAGAAAATCTAGAAGAAATGGATACATTCCTGCACACATACACCCTCCCAAGACTAAACCAGGAAGAAGTTGAATCCCTAAATAGACCAATAACAGGCTCTGAAATTGAGGCAATAATTAATAGCTTACCAACCAAAAAAAGTCCAGGACCAGATGGATTCACAGCCGAATTCTACCAGAGGTACAAAGAGGAGCTGGTACCATTCCTTCTGAAACTATTCCAATCAACAGAAAAAGAGGGACTCCTCCCTAACTCATTTTATGAGGCCAGCATCATCCTGATACCAAAGCCTGGCAGAGACACAACAAAAAAAGAGAATTTTAGACCAATATCCCTGATGAACATCAATGCGAAAATCCTCAGTAAAATACTGGCAAACCAAATCCAGCAGCACATCAAAAAGCGTATCCAGCACAATCAGTTTGGCTTTATCCCTGGGATGCAAGGCTGGTTCAGCATATGCAAACCAATATACATAATCCATCACATAAAGAGAACCAGTGACAAAAACCACATGATTATCTCAGTAGATGGAGAAAAGGCGTTTGACAAAATTCAACAGTACTTCATGCTAAAAACTCTCAATAAACTAGGTATTGACGGAACGTACCTCAAAAAAATAAGAGCTATTTATGACAAACCCACAGCCAATATCATACTGAATGGGCAAAAACTGGAAGCATTCCCTTTGAAAACGGGCACAAGACAAGGATGCCCTCTCTCACCACTCCTATTCAACATAGGGTTGGAAGTTCTGGCCAGGGTAATCAGGCAAGAGAAAGAAATAAAGGGTATTCAATTAGGAAAAGAGGAAGTCAAATTGTCCCTGTTTGCAGATGACATGATTGTGTATTTAGAAAACCCTATTGTCTCAGCCCAAAATCTCCTTAAGCTGATAAGCAACTTCAGCAAAGTCTCAGGATACAAAATCAATGTGAAAAAATCACAAGCATTCCTATACACCAATAACTGACAAACAGAGAGCCAAATCATGAGTGAACTCCCATTCACAATTGCTTCAAAGAGAATAAAATACCTAGGAATCCAACTTACAAGGGATGTGAAGGACCTCTTCAAGGAGAACTACAAACCACTGCTCAATGAAATAAAAGAGGACACAAACAAATGGAAGAACATTCCATGCTCATGGATAGGAAGAAACAATATCGTGAAAATGGTCATACTGCTCAAGGTAATTTATAGATTCAACACCATCCCCATCAAGCTACCAATGACTTTCATCACAGAATTGGAAAAAACTACTTTACAGTTCATATAGAACCAAAAAAGAGCCCGCATCGCCGAGACAGTCCTAAGCCAAAAGAACAAAGCTGGATGCATCATGCTACCTGACTTCAAACTATACTACAAGGCTGCAGTAGCCAAACAGCATGGTACTGGCACCAAAACAGATATGTAGACTAATGGAACAGAACAGAGGCCTCAGAAATAACACCACACATCTACAACCATCTGATCTTTGACAAACCTGACAAAAACAAGAAATGGGGAAAGGATTCCCTGTTTAATAAATGGTGCTGGGAAAACTGGCTAGCCATAGGTAGAAAGCTGAAACTGGATCCTTTCCTTACACCTTATACAAAAATTAATTCAAGATGGATTAAAGACTTAAATGTTAGACCTAAAACCATAAAAACCCTAGAAGAAAACTTAGGCAATACCATTCAGGACATAGGCATGGGCAGGGACTTCATGACTAAAACACCAAAAGCAATGGCAACAAAAGCCAAAATAGACAAATGGGATCTAATTAAACTAAAGAGCTTCTGCACAGCAAAAGAAACTACCATCAGAGTGAACAAGCAACCTACAGAATGGGAGAAAAGTTTTGCAACCTACCTATCTGCCAAAGGGCTAATATCCAGAATCTACAAAGAACTCAAAAAAATTTATAAGAAAAAATAAACAACCCCATCAAAAAGTGGGCAAAGGATATGAACAGATGCTTCTCAAAAGAAGACATCTATGCAGCCAATAGACACATGAAAAAATGCTCATCATCACTGGTCATCAGAGAAATGCAAATCAAAACCACAATGAGATACCATCTCACACCAGTTAGAATGGCGATCATTAAAAAGTCAGGAAATAACAGATGCTGGAGAGGATGTGGAGAAATAGGAATGCTTTTACACTGTTGGTGGGAATGTAAATTATCTCAACCATTGTGGAAGACAGTGTGGTGATTCCTGAAGGATCTAGAACTAGAAATACCATTTGATTCAGCAATCCCATTACTGGATATATACCCAAAGGTTTATAAATCATGCTACTATAAAGACACATACACACGTATGTGAATTGCAGCACTATTCACAATAGCAAAGACTTGGAACCAACCCAAATGTCCATCAATGATAGACTGGATTAAGAAAATATGGCACATATACACCATGGAATACTATGCAGCCATAAAAAAGTATGAGTTCATGTCCTTTGCAGGGACATGGATGAAGCTGGAAAGCATCATTCTCAGCAAACTATCACAAGGACAGAAAACCAAACACTGCATGTTCTCACTCATAGCTGGGAACTGAACAATGAGATCACTTGGACACAGGGTGGGGAACATCACACACCGGGGGCTGTCGTGGGGTGTAGGCTGGGGGAGTGATAGCATTAGGAGAAATATCTAATGTAAATGACGAGTTGATGGGTACAGCAAACCAGCATAGCATGTGTATACCTATGTATCAAACCTGCACATTGTGCACATGTACCCTAGAACTTAAAGTAAAATTTTTTCAAAAAAAGGGAAGTTCCATCTTAAAGGGAAATAAAAAACAGATCTGCCTGGGCGAGGTGGCTCACGCCTATTGGGGAACCTGCCCCCAGTAGTCACGTAGGTTCTTTTCTATTTTCCCTAAGCGTCGGCCAGGTTGAGAAATAAAGGGACAGAGTACAAAAGAGAGAAATTTTAAAGCTGGGCATCCGGGGGATACATCACATGTCGGTAGGTTCTGTGATGCCCCACAAGCCGCAAAACCAGGAAGATTTTATTAGTGATTTTCAAAGGGGAGGGAGTGTACGAATAGGGTGTGGGTCACAGAGATCTTGTGCTTCACAAGGTAATAGAATATCACAAGGCAAATGGAGGCAGGGTGAGATCACAGGACCACAGGACTGGGGCGAAATTAAAATTGCTAATGAAGTTTCGGGCACCATTGTCATTGATAACATCTTAACAGGAGACATGGTTTGAGAGCAATTGGTCTGACTAAAATTTATTAGGCAGGAATTTCCTCATCCTAATAAGCCTGGGAGCACTATGGGAGACTGGGGCTTATTTCATCCCTACAGCTCGACCATAAAAGATGGCCACACCCAAGGGGGCCATTTTAGAGGCCTACCCTCAGGCATTCTCTTTCTCAGGGATGTTCCTTGCTGAGAAAAAGAATTCAGTGATATTTCTCCCATTTGTTTTTGAAAGAAGAGAAACATGGTTCTGTTCTGCCCAGCTCACCAGCAGTCAGAGTTTAAGGTTATCTCTCTTGTTCCCTGAACATTGCTGTTATCCTGTTCTTTTTTCAAGGCGCCCAGATTTCATACTATTCAAACACACATGCTCTACAATTTGTGCAGTTAACAAAATCATCACAGGGTCCTGAGGCGACATACATTCTCCTCAGCTTACGAGATGACAGGATTAAGAGATTAAAGACAGGCATAAGAGATCACAAGGGTATTCATTGGGGAAGTGATAAGTGTCCATGAAATCTTCACAATTTATGTTTAGAGACTGCAGTAAAGACAGGCATTAAGAAAGTATAAAAGTATTAATTTGGGGAACTAATAAATGTCATGAAATCTTCACAATCCACGTTCTTCTGCCATGGCTTCAACCGGTCCCTCCGTTCGGGGTCCCTGACTTCCCGTAATACACGCCTGTAATCCCAGCACTTTGGGAGGCTGAGGCAAGCAGATCACCTGAGGTCAATAGTTTAAGACCAGCCTGGCCAACGTGGTGAAACCCCGTCTCTACTAAAAATACCGAAAATTAGCCAGGCATAGTGGAGGGCACCTGTAATCCTAGCTACTCAGGAGGCTGAGACAGGAGAATTGCTTGAACCCGGGAGGCGGAGGTTGCAGTGAGCCGAGATCTCGCCATTACATTCCAGCCTGGGCAGCAAGAGCAAAACTCCACTCAAAAGAAAAGAAAAGAAACCATCCATGAAATTCATTCAAAATCCTACAATAAGAGAATCTCTAGTAGAGAAAATACTAAGAAATTAAGGAACAATACTACTTTATTGTTTCAATATTTGAGGCAATTATGTTTCAATATTTGAGGTGATCAATCAATGAATTTAGCCTAGATTAAACTTAATCTAATTGAAATTTTAAAAGACTGGGGTGTCATTTGTACTCTTCTAAGCCAAAGTAGTTAGTCATTTAAAATATCTGTATGTGGAATTGTATACACTAAAGATTTTCTTAGGAGTAAATGTGTTTGATGTAAACAGGATATCAAAGGCTTCAAAAGCCTGCAGGGGAAAATGAAATATCATGCGGTTTTATTACTCAGATTTAAATGGCTTGATTGTCACAACTCTTCCTGCAGCAAATCCCCAATAGTCTGATTCTCAAAAGCTTCCATCGGGAGCCTCATCATTGCCAATGTAGATGGAATAGCTTGAGAGAACATCAACATCCTCACCAAAGGTACTATTCCATGCTTCTCAAGTCCCCGTCTCTCAACAGGGTTTCCACTCCCTGCCACACTTGTCACCTGGACTCCAACGTATCACTAGTTCTGAATCTCAAAAAGACTAGCATACAGTCAGTTCCCTCAGCTACTTTGCTCCACTCATTTTTTGCACAAAAAACTATGAAAAACAAAGCAAAATAAAAACATAACACTCAACTCCAAAGATTTAGCCCCCATCCTGGACAAGTGTCTTTTCTGTATGTAGGGATCCTGGGTGGAGACCCTTGAGTTTTGAGCCTCCAAAACATCTGCATTTAGGTGAATGCGGTGGTTGGGCACTTGCTTTATATTTGCATAAAAATGAGGCATTCCTATAGTTCTCATAAACAAAGAAACACCTTTATCCAAAGGGAAGAGGGAAGAATGAGGTCAGATTCTGGAACTGACCTGGATTCTGGTGTTCCTGAGTTAATATTTATTTAGCCTGAGAGGTGACTGTGCATTCACAATGATTTATCTCCAAGACATGTACTGTAAGCCCTCACTTATCATCATCAATAGGTTCTTGGAAACTGTAACTTTAAGTGAAATGATGTATAACGAAACTAACTTTGCCATAATCTAATTGATATAAACAAGAGTTAAGGGCCAGCATGGTGGCTCATGTCTGTAATCCCAGAACTTGGGAGGCTGAGGCAGGGGGACTGCTTGAGGCCAGGAGTTTGAGACCAGCCTGACCAACATGGTGAGACTCTATTTCTACAAAATTAAAAAAAAATTAGCCCAGGAGTAGTGGCCCACATCTGTCATCCCGGTTACTTGGGAGCTTCAGGTGGGAGGAACACTTGAGCCCAGGAGTTTGAGATTACAGTGAGCTATGATTGCACCACTGCACCCCAGCCTGGGTAGCAGAGCAAGACCTTGTCTCTGAAAAAAATTAAAAAAAAAAAAAGAGTTAAGTTTTTATTGTATATTACTGTTTTCTTTTTTCGGGGGTCAGAAAAACATCACCAAACATCTAAATAAATACCAAAACACTTCTAATATTAAACACTGAAATAAATAATGTGAGCCATATATACATTTAAGACAGATTAACAAACACAAGTAAAATAATGATTTAGATAGTTATTCCAGTTCAGGGTCGCAGGGGGCCAGAGCCTGTCCCTGCAGCTTAGGGCACAAGGCAAGAACCAACCCTAGACTGGATGAATGCCATCACGGGGCACAGTCACGCACACCTCACACTCACTTAGACTGGGACAATGTCAACACGTCAATTCCCCTAAAGTGCACATCTTTGGGATGCAGGAGAAAATTGGAATGCCCAGAGAAAACCCACACAGATACGGAGAGAACATGCAAGCTCCACACTGACAACAGCCCGGGCTGGGAATCAATTTCTTTTTTCCCATCAAAATTATAACAAAATGACGTTGGACAAAATGACATTATTCAAGGGCCTGCTGGATTTGAGGCAGCCACTGAAAGAAAGGATCCAGCCTCCCTGACTGCTTTTTATACCCAGATTTCCATGTTGATCTCTAGTCAGCAACATAATCATTCCCCAAAGTTGATGAAATTTTGATAAGAGTAACAGCTTTCATGATGAGATGAATCAGACATCTCTCAGCTTCATGTGTGACTCCATATGACCAGCTTATACTTGGCTGCCAATGTTCTAAATCACTCATCAGCTTCAAAGAACCCAAGGGCACACACCAGGACAAGGCTTCATCTGCGCTTGCCGCTAATCATGGTAACTCATGGCTGAGGGTGTGCCCAATATTTTGGCACCAACCTGAGCCCCTTACTGCATCTCAAACAGGCTGGGGATGGTAGGTATCAAGGATAGTCCAATTAGTTTTGAAAAAACAGTAAATGTACTGCTTTTCTAGTCCATAATGCTAACAGTTGTGATATATTGTGATACAACTATGGTGTCAGAAAAACATGCAATTGCCCTTAGGGACTGTCACTGATGATACATTTTGATATAAAACTGCAGATTTTGGCCAGGTGTGGTGGCTCATACCTGTAATCCCAGCACTTTGGGATGCAGAGGCGGGTGGACCACTTGAGGCCAGGAGTTCAAGACCAGCCTGGCCAACATGGTGAAACCCCATCTCTACTAAAAAATACAAAAAATTAGCTGGGCGTGGTGGTGCATGCTTGTAATCCTAGCTACTTGGGAGGCTGAGGCAGGAGAATCCTTGAAACTGGGAGGCAGAGGTTGCAGTGAGCCAAGATCGCACCACTGCACTCTAGCCTGGGCGACAACTGCAAAACTCTGTCTCAAAAAAAAAAAAAAAAAAAAAACCTGCAGATTTATTATTGTGAGGAAAGGGTAAATAGCAAACATAAATCCTATTTTCCTGGACCCAGGTGTACCCACTAAGATAACTATGAGTTTACTCTCTGGCAGCACTGTGCCTAGGTATGTGCTGAGTTTAAAAATACAGAATGTTAGCAGTGCCTGGAACTCATCATCAACATTGTTTGCTGCCATATATCTCGTCTAGAGACTACACTTGACTTGAGAAGAAAGTAAGTAGGACTTTGCACAAATTCTGGCAAACAAAAGTGGAGGCTTCCATATAATTACAGAGTCTACACCGTATCGACCTCAGCTCTTGAACTGAATGTGCCCTGTGTACTGGTGGAACGTACAGCTGCACCTGTGCTGTTGGGAGACTTTCATATGAAAGTGCTGATGCTGTACATGTTATGTTCCCATCCTGGACACCATCCATTTTCATCATTCTTGGTTATGTTCTATAAAGTCATCACAGACACTTGAGTTAGGGAATACTGAAAGATTACTCCTAGGGAAAATACTCCTAGGTTCCTGCAAGCCTCTGGTCACATTTTCATCAATTGATCAATACACGACCTGTTTTTTGGGGTGTTTCCGTTTAAAGACACCTTATTTAATACATACTGTTGATTCACTAACACTGACCTCACAGCCAGCAGCAGTATAACTCATGCCTGAATTAAGCTTCTCTAACATAGATATTTTCTCCAAAAGACATAATCAGGGCCAGGCACAGTGGATCATGCCTGTAATCCCAGCGCTTTGGGAGGCCAAGGTGGGCAGATCCCTTGAGATCAGGAGTTCTAGACCAGCCTGGCCAACTTGGTGAAACCCCATCTCTCCTAAAATATAAAACTGTAGCTGGGTGCAGTGGTGTGTGCCTGTAGTTTCATCTACTCAGGAGGCTGAGACAGGAGAATGGCTTGAGCTGGGGGAGGTGGAGGTTGCAGTGAGCCGAGATCACGCCATTGCACTCCAGCATGGGCAACAGAGTAAGAATCTGTCTCAAAAAAAAAAAAAAAAAAAAAAAAAAAGACATAATCATAGCCCTTTTGCACTTAGGAACATGAGACAGTACTTCAGCACTATGCCTGGGGCTGACATTAAACAACAAAATCACCAACATAAAGAACAAAGATGCAAAAAAAAAAAAAAAAAGGCACTAACTATATCAAGTCAAGAATACTTGTTTGCAGTATGAGGGTTGAAACAAGGTGGACAGGGTGTCATCTTCTTTGACCTGGCCAAGGCTGGGAACCACCCTTGGAGAACTCAAAATTTTTTGCCACTCCCTGCATGTCTGCAAATGACCTCAAAAGTGAAACAGTTACTGATTTTGAGTTACACATAAATTTTAGTGAGTTGTTGAATTCACAAATTCAGAATCCACAAATAATGACAGTTAATTCTACTTTCTTAAGACAGTTTAATCTGATGGTAGCTTAAAGTATATTTGGATTGCTATCCAAACCTAAGAACATTGTTGGTGGCTATGAAATTACGCTGAGGGGTCATAATCATCACTTTTGGTAAAACTGCAAAATACCAGATGCAAAGCACCTGATCTAATCTCCCTTTCTCAGGGGGTAGGCAAAGCTGGCACATAAATTTCAAAGCTGAAAGTAGCTTCTTGGGGGCTGGAATCAGGGGGGAACCTACAAGAGCTGGTCAGGAGCAGGAGGAGACATGGGCCTCAGAGAATTCAAATCATCAAAGTTGGTAAAACTAAGTCCACTCTTAAGAATAAAAAAGGTAGGCTGGGCGCGGTGGCTCACGCCTGTAATCCCAGCACCTTGGGAGGCCGAGGTGGGTGGATCACCTGAGATCAGGAGTTTGAGACCAGCCTGACCAACATGGATAAACCCCATCTCTACTAAAAATACAAAATTAGCTGGATGTGGTGGTGCATGCCTGTAATCCCAGCTACTCGAGAGGCTGAGGCAGGAGAATTACTTGAACCTGGGAGGCAGAGGTTGCAGTGAGCCGAGATCACACCATTGCACTCCAGCCTGGGCAACAAGAGTGAAACTCTGTCTCAAAAAAAAAAAAAAAAGGGACACAGCTGGAAATAGAACATAATATCAAAATTTAAGAGCTAGATGCTGGAAATGGAATATAACATCAAACGTTAAAAGCGGCCAGGCGCAGGGGCTTACGCCTGTATTCCCAGCACTTTGGGAGGCAGAGGCAGGTGGATCATTTGAGGTCAGGAGTTCAAGACCAACCTGACCAACATAGTGAAACCCTATCTCTAACAAAAATACAAAAAAAATAGCCAGGTGTGGTAGCAGGTGCCTGTAGTCCCAGATACTCAAGAGGCTGAGGCAGGAGAATTGCTTGAACTCGGGAAGTGGAGGTTGCCAAGTGAGCCGAGATTGGGTCACTGCAGTCCAGCTTGGGTGACAGAGTGACACTCCTCCATCTCAAAAAAAAAAAAAAAAAAAAAGGTTAAAAGTTAGGTGGAAGTGAAATAAAAGGGAAGAATCACAAAGAACAAACCCAGAATGCTCTTGAGTTCCAATAAAGCTGAAATATTTGCAGTTGGCCTTTATGACTAGGCAGGCTTAAAACCACAAGATCCAGGTGGGAAGATTAAGATTAGAGAGGAAAGACAGGATTGATTTCCTTGGACCAGGTAGTTGAAGGCAGAAAGTTTGGTTATTTCCATTGCCTTGAATGAATCCAAGATGCAGTAATCCACATTTCAAATGGACAGGTTTACAGAGGAGATAGACATGGTTTCCTGTTCAAAATGTTTCCTCTACTGTTCATTTTGTTTCATATTTTGTATTACTATTTGGGAAACAGAAGACACGTTGGAAGTATTGCTAGATGCTACAGCTTTTCCAAATAGTCACTGGCAGGCTGGCCTTATGGTGATACTCAGCACAGATGGTGGCAGAGCAGAAAGTTGTGTTTCCTATAGTAATAATAAATCCAGTCTTTTTTTTTTTTTTTTTTTTTTTGATGGAGTCTCATTCTGCCGCGCAGTCTGGATCGCAGTGGCACGATCTCGGCTCACTGTAACCTCCACCTCCCAGGTTCAAGTGATTCTCCTGCCTCAGCCTCTTGAGTAGCTGGGATTACAGGCATGCACCACCACGTCTGGCTAATTTAGTATTTTTAGTAGAGATGGGGTTTACCCATGTTGGTCAGGCTGGTCTCAGTAATAGAGTAGCTGGAACTATAGGTGCCCGCCACCACACCCAGCTAATTTTTGTGTTTTTAATAGTAGAGACGGGGTTTCACCATGTTGGACAGGCTGCTCTCAATCTCCTGACCTCATGATCCACCCGCCTTAGCCTCCCAAAGTGCTGGGATTACAAGCATGAGCCACTGCACCCGGCTGGCCAATAAATCTAGTCTTTACTGAGTACTTACCATGTGCTGAGAACTGCTCTAAATACTTCACATATACACAACTACCCTATAAATAAGACACTATTATTATTTTCATTTTCCAAGTGAGGAAGTATAGTTTATTTTGGTTTGTCCTAGAGCAGGGGCCCCCAAACCCCAGGCCATGGACTGGTACCGGTCCATGGCCTGTTAGGAACCATATCACACAGCAGGAGGTGAGCGGCCGGTGAGCGAGCAAAGCTTCATCTGTATTTACAGCTGCTCCCCATCACTTGCATTGCCAGCTGAGCTTTGCCTCCCATCAGATCAGCGGAGGCATTCGATTCTCATAGAAGCGCAAACCCTATTGTGAACTACGTATGTAAGGGATCTAGGCTGCAAGCTCCTTTTGAGAATCTAATGCCTGATGATCTGTCACTGTCTCCCATCATCCCCAGATAGGATTGCCTAGTTTCAGGAACACAAGTTCAGGCCTCCTGCTGATTTTACATTATGGTGAGTTGTATAATTATTTCATTATATATTACTATGTAATAATAGAAATAAAGTACACAATAAATGTGATGTGCTTGAATCACCCTGAAACCATCCCTCTGCCACTGGTCTGTGGAAAAATTGTCTTCTATGCAACTGGTCCTTGGTGCCAAAAAGGTTGGGGACCATTGTCCTAGAGAAACTGCTGTAGAGCGATATTGATGTATGGAGCTGGTGATGCACTGGTTATATGATGTGAAGCTTCAGAGGTCTTTGATCAAGAGCCATTTTACATTCCCATCACTTGACATCTAAAATCATTCTTTTCCTAACTTCGTTTCCTTTCCAATTTAGATTCCAGGACCTATGTCTTCAATAACTCTTCCAATTCTTCAATTCATTTGTCTCTCCCACCTTCAATCCTAGTGACCTGGCCAAAACAAAACAAACAAAAAACCCAACCCTAAAAGAATCTAACTTTCAACTTTTTTCATTCCAATATATACCCAACTTGCTTAGCCCCAATAAGGAGAGCATTAAACACACATAAACATGTAACCATGTCCTGAAAGCCTAGACTGGGGATAGTTGTTCTTTCCATAATGGTCATGCATAAGAAAGCAATGCCTCAGCCTGGGGTGATGGGGCAGAGCTGAACCCCAGCTGAAACTCCAGATGCCTGGGCAGCTCTTCTCCTCACCCCTCCAGTAGTTACACTAGTTCTGCTTCTCCTGGTATAGGAGGTTCCATTTTCTTTCTTCCTTTCATTGTTCCTGGTCTCATCAGATATCTAAAATGTTTTCCCTGGGTATTCATCTTTTTATTTCTCTCTTTTTTTTTTTTTTTTTTTTTGAGATTGAGTCTTGCTCTGTCACCCAGACTGGAGTGTAGTGTTGCGATCTCAGCTCACTGCAACCTCTGCCTCCTGGGTTCAAGCGATTCTCCTGCCTCAGTCTCCCGAGTAGCTGGGACTACAGGCACCTGCCACCACACCTGGCTAATTTTTTGTATTTTTAGTAGAGATGGGGGTTTCATCATGTTAGCCAGGATGGTCTCGATCTCCCGACCTTGTGAACTCCCGCCTCTGCCTCCCAAAGTGCTGGGATTACAGGTGTGAACCACTGCATCCGCCCCGGGTATTCATCTTTGACTGTCAGCTGCCTTAATTAACTATGTGTACCCAGGAAGAGGGGCGAAAGCCTGGGTATGAACTTCTAGTCTTCCAAGTGAGTACAGGCAGGTAGATGACAGTGGCTGGAGGGCAAAAATGCTGAGCAGTGATTTCAGCAGCAGCACCAGGCTGGGGAGACAGAGGATGGAGTTCAAGCCCCACAGGTAAGGAGCCTTCTTGAACCCCCGACTTTCAGTTGAAATCATGGAATGGTCATGCCTTAGGAGTAAGGATCAATCACGCACTAGGACCAGGATTATGCCCAGAAGTAAAGAGAAAACAGAAATAGGGCAGTCTTTAGTGAAGCTAAAACCAGCCTTCAGTGGGGGCAGAGGGAGTTACCAGTACTCTAATAATGATCCAAAAGAAAATTTAACCCTCTTTGGATAAAGAAATATCCCCAAGAGCCTTCAAAATTTTTCATCTGCAACATCTTGGATTTGATAAAAATATACAAGGCATGTTACAAAATAGAACTCAATGGCATAAAAGAAAAAAAAAAAGATAAACAAGTAATCCAGATACCAGAACTTCCTGGCAGAGACTTTAAAGTAACTATGGTTGATATGGTTAATAAACTCAAAAATGGTACATTTTCCAAGAGACCTGGAACCTATTCAAAATAGAGATAAATGGAAATTCCAGAACTGAAAAATATTGTTTTTAAAATTATTCAATGGAAGGATCACATGAACTGTAATTCAAAATAAATAAGCAAAAAGAAAAATAGCTAAATCTCAGTTGGAAATTTTAATATCTTAAAAATGTATAAATTTTAATATATACAGGCTGGGCACGGTGGCTCATACCTGTAATCCCAGCACTTTGGGAGGCTGAGGGGGTAGATCACAAGGTCAAGAGATCCAGACCATCCTAGCCAACATGGTCTCTACTAAAAATACAAACAATTAGCCAGGCGTGGTGGCAGGCGCCTGTAGTCCCAGCTACTTGGGAGGCTGAGGCAGGGGAATCGCTTGAACCTGGGAGGTGGGAGGTTGCAGTGAGCCGAGATCGCGCCACTGCACTCCAGCCTGGTGACAGAGCGAGACTCCGTCTCAAGAAAAAAAAAATTAATATATACAATATATAACCTATTTAATCCTAATAATACCTGACTGGAAATCAGGTATTATTTCAGGTACTTCTTTCAATGACTGATATAATAAGCAGACCAAAAAAAAAAAAAAAAGAATACAGATGACTTGAAAAGCATGACACTTAGCCAACTTTGCCCAGGTGGCATTTATAGAACACCAGAAGCAAAACCTATAGCACACATAGTTTTTACAAATTCACAGAAAACATTTATCAAAATATACCATGTACTAGTCATAAACAGTTCTCAAAATGTCAAAGAACTGGAATTGAGTATACTCTCTGATGAAAGGAAATTAAAACAGAAATCAACAACAGAAAGATAAGAAGCCCCCAGTGTTTGGAAGTTCAGCAACACATTTCTAAAAATTTTGAAATTCCATGCATCAAAGAAGACATCAGAGTGGAAATCAGAAAATATTTTGAGTAACCCAAAGCGACTATTGGAGTAACCCATAATAGACTTTAAATTTGTTGAGATATTTTTGTTGTAGAATTTAAAAATTACTGGGAACTTCATATTCTCCTGTTTCAGTCTTTATTTTAAAGAATGCTTTGATAAAAAAAAGCAAACAACAAAAAAGAATGCTTTGAGATGGCATCTACTCTCAAGGACTCTCATATCTCTTGAAAGACAAAAAAAGATGGAAAAGTTGCCTGACTGTGTGTGTGTGTGTGTGTGCACATGCACGCACATGTGTAGAGAGAGGTGTGCTAGGGAGATGCCCACAAACTTTTTTTTTTTTTTTTTTGAGACAGAGTCTTGGTCTGTCACCCAGGCTGGAGTGCAGTGGTGCAATTTCACCTCACTGCAACCTCCTCCTCCTCCTGGGTTCAAGCAATTCGCATGCCTCAGCCTCCCAAGTAGCTGGGACTATAGGTGCATACCACCATGTCTGGCTAATTCTTATATTTTTAGTAGAGATGGGGTTTTGCCATGTTGGCCAGGCTGGTCTTGAACTCCTGACCTCAGGTGATCTGCCCACCTCAGCCTCCCAAAATGCTGGGATTACAGGCGTGAGCCACTGGGCCCGGCCGACCTAAACTTCTCACAGTATTTACCTCTAAGAGAAAGAGGTAAGAAACTGATCCGGGAATATGAAGGTAAGTGAGAGACTGAGGGCTTTTAAAATAATTCTACATAGCTTAAGTGTTTTCTAAAGCCTTCCTATATTACTCACACCACATTTTAATATAAAACATTATTTTAAATAACTGACCACTGACCTGTGGCACAAAATCACACACCCCTGGAGGTATACTTACCCAGGTTCAAGAAGCACAACCAGATAGAAAAAACAGTATCACAAAACTGGATAACAACTTAGAATAATAATAATAATTGGTCATCTCATTTTGAAATATTACTATTTGTTCTGGGCTCTATGAACAAAATATTTTATATAAATTTAACTTTCAAGTTTAACAAAGTCCATAATATTTATACTTAGTATGAGGATTCCAACGATGTTTTACTTGGGAGGTTAAGAACCAGTTAATAAGGTTGTAAGTATGTCTTCACTAAATCGATTTAGTAATTCTGTATGTTTTTTCAGAAAATGTTAATTTCTAACCTTTCATTTGAGGGTTTAAATCCATTTTCACTCTTTCAATAATACCCTGAACCACAGTACTTCTGGAAGGCACGTAAGCCAATTCCAAAGGAGAAGGAGAAATTAAGGAAGCTGTGATGTAGAAAGGCACTTCATCGACAGGCTGAGCAGCAAAATCGAAAGGTCCGTTCTTATTTATAGTAATAACAGAGCGTGTTGCCAAAAGCGCAGCACTAAACAGAAATGTGAGGACCATTTCCACAACTAAAGCAATACATCGCCGCCTCTAGAAGAAGAAGAAAAAAGATTATGTTAATTGCCCTAAGAGGTTATTAACTTTGCAAGTTCATTTTTGAATTTTTTAATTTTTAATTTTCGTGGGTACATAGCAGGTATACATATTTATGGGTTACGTGAGATATTTTGATACAGGCACACAATGCATAATAATCACATCAAGGTAAATTGGGTATCCATTCCCTCAAGCATTTATCCCTTGTGTTACAAACAATCCAATTACACTCTTTTAGATATTTTTAAATGTGCAATCAAATTATTTTTGACTCTAGTCATTCTGTTGTGCTAGCAAATACTGCCTTATCCATGCTTTCAAGTTTTTTTTGTACCCATTAAACATCTCCACTTCCCCCTTACCTACCCCAAGCTACCCCTTCCCAGCCTCTGTTAACCATCCTTCTACTCTCCATCTCCATGAGTTCAATTGTTTTAATTTTTAGTTTCTACCAATAAGTGAGAACATGCAAAGTTTGTCTTTCTGTGCCTGGCTTATCTCACTTTACATGATGACCTCCAGTTCCACCTATGTTGTTGCAAATGAGAGGATCTCATTCTTTTTCATGGCTGAATAGTCCTGTATTGTGTATAACTGTAATTCTTTTATATTAAGATAAAAGATACTTCATAAAAGAATATATAGATTGCCAAAAACACAGCTTTACTCTATAATAGCAGCAGTTTCCTAGACTTTTTTCTCCTTTCTACATAACATCCTGCTATTAATCTCTCTCTGTGTGAACTCTATATTTGGAAGAGATAACCTAGCCTTCATACTGAGAAAAGTAAAACAGTAAAAATTGAAATTCAAGGATCAAGCTGTCAGAATTTCCCCCTGTGGCCACTGAGCTGTTGTAATAACCCTATAGGTAGTTCAACTTACCTTTAAAATAAAATTCTTCCAGAGAAGAACCATAAATTTTTCAGACTCCGAGAAATCCATTCTTCTAAAAAGAGAGGAAGTTCAACTCTATGGAGGGAGTAAATATTTTTTAAAAAGAAAAGATTATCTAATGATGTGTAAATTTTAGACAAGCACATCACTTAAATTTAAATTACTTAATTTTATAATCAAGCTTTAAAGACAAGAAATATTTAATATTTAAAATAAGAAATATACAGATTTAAAATATTTGAGCAGTTGTTTATCCCTATTTTTTTTTTTGAGACAGAGTCTCACTCTGTCACCCACGCTGCAGTGGTGCAGTCTCAGCTCGCTGCAACCTCTTCCTCCCGGGTTCAAGTGATTCTTCTGCCTCAGCCGCCTGAATAGCTGGGATTACAGGCGTCTGCCACCATGCCCGGCTAATTGTTGTATTTTTAGTAGAGATGGGGTTTCACCACGTTTGCCTGGCTGGTCTCGAACTGCTGACCTCAAGTGATCCGCCCGCCTCAGCCTCCCAACCTACATTTTTAATTTAGTCAACATTTATGGAGCTTCTAATATGAATAAAATACCAACCACAAAACAAAGATCAGTAAGTTGTTGATGCAAGTTTCCAGGTAAATCTTGCCAGTAGCTTTCCCAATCCCCATGGAAATACTAATTTAAAAACAACAAAAAACAAGTAAGTCACCACCAATGGCAAAGCAACAAAACAGTATAGAAAATCACAGCACAACTATAAGCCCAAAATGCTATTCAATAATCTATCAGATTGGAAGTAACTACCATTAATAGTATTGCTAAGGGGAACAGATTTGCAATGAACTGAATGTTTATGTTCCTCTGACTTCATATGTTAAATCCTAACACCCAAGTTTAAGGTATTTTGAAGTGGGGATTTAGGGGCCAGGCACAGTGGCTCATGCCTGTAATCCCAACACTTTGGGAGGCCGAGGCGGGTGGATCACCTGAGGTCAGGAGTTTGGACCAGCCTGGCCAACATGGTGAAACCCTGTCTCTACTAAAAATACAAAACATTAGCCGGGCCTGGTAGTGGACACCTGTAATCCCAGCTATTCGGGAGGCTGAGGCAGGAGAATCGAAGCAGGAGAATCACTTGAACCAGGGAGGCAGAGGTTGCAGTGTGCTGAGATTGCGCCATTGCACTCCAGCCTGGGCAACAAGAGTGAAACTCTATCTGGGCAACAAGAGTGAAACTCTATCTCAAAAAATTAAATAAATAAAAATAAAAATGAAGTGGGGATTTAGAGAGGTATTAGAATGGGATGAGTTCCCTTATAAAAGAGTCCCCACAGAGATCCCTCATTCCTTCCACCATGTGAGGACACAAAGAAAAGACAGGCCAACCAGGAAAGGGGTCCTCACTAGACAAGGAATGTGCTGCCACCTTGATCTTGGACTTCACAGCCATCAGAACTGTAAGCAATAAACTACTGTTTTTAAGCCACATAGTCTGTGGTATCTTGCTATAGTATCCCAAATGGACCAAGAGAAGGTTCATTCTTATATTGAATATTTTCTGAATACCTACTACATGTCATGTGAGGTGTGGGTGTACAATGGGAAACAAAACAAATGAAACTCATCCCTCATGGTAGGGGTGACGTGGAAGGTTCCTTTTAATAACCCAGGATCTGAAGTTAGACTGCCTAGGTTGAAATCGTACCACTACCATGTGGGATTTCACAACTATGTGACCATGAATATCTGACTTAAATTCTTGGGGCTACGAGAAAGAGAGCTGGAATTCAGAGCCAAGAATGGAAGGGATTAGATTAGGACTTGACTTTATAAGTAAGGAGAAACCTAAAGGAGATTGACCTTCCCTGGGACTGCAAATAATCTCAATCCTTTTAGCTTCTACAAATCCCGGCTTCAAATTATCTCAATCCTTGATACTGGATGAGGGCGCTCCCAAGATTGCAAGTACTGACAGCTGCCTAGTATAAAAAATGAATCCTCTCTGGAAAAAAATAACAAAATGCTATAGTCAACTACTCCTACAAGCAATTTTTCTGAATATGACATAAGATGAACATAAGATACTTTAAAATCTCTACTATTACTACAGAATATCTTTCTGACCTTGGGGTAGGCAGCGATTTCTTAAAATGGATACTAAGGACACAAACCATAAAAAAGGGGCTTTATCAAAATCTAAAATTTCTGCCCATCAAAATCTAACCTAACATCAAGAAAATAAGTCGGGGACTGAGCCTTCACGTCTGCCCTAGCACCAGGCTAGATCTCACAGCTCCAGGTTCTGGGCCTACCTGGTAGACCCAGCTGCCAGGCTGGCCCCTATGGATACAGGCTCCAGGCTTACCCATTGCCAGGCTAGTATCAGCAAACTGAGCCTCCAAGCCCATACTAATGTCAGGCCAGATTCTGCAGTCCCAGGTTCCAGCCCAGCCTGGTGGACTTGGTCTCTGGTCCTGCCCCTGCAGTAGGCTGACCCAAGCACTAGGCAGGCCCCAGTGGCCCTGGGCTTCAGCCCCATCCTAGAACAAGGATGGCACACCTGGGCTCAAACACCTGGCAGGCACCTGCAAACACAGGGCCCAGGCCTTCCCTGTGCCAAGCCTTGTGAACCCAGGTCCTAATGAGAGGTGACAGCGTGCTGGCAGTCCTCACAGCCCTCACTCGCTCTCGGCGCCTCCTCTGCCTGGGCTCCCACTTTGGCGGCACTTGAGGAGCCCTTTGGCCCGCCGCTGCACTGTGGTAGCCCATTTCTGGGCTGGCCAAGGCTGGAGCCCACTCCCTCAGCTTGCAGGGAGGTGTGGAGGGAGAGGCGCGAGCGGGAACCGAGGCTGCCTGCGGCGCTTGTGGGCCAGCTGGAGTTCCGGGTGGGCGTGGACTTGGCGGGCCCCGCACTCGGAGCAGCCAGCCAGCCCTGCTGGCCCCGGGCAGTGAGGGACTTAGCACCCAGGCCAGTGGCTGCAGAGGATGTACTGGGTCCCCCGGCAGTGCCAGCCCACCGGTGCTGCACTCCATTTCTCACCGAGCCTTAGCTGCCTTACCGCGGGGCAGGGCTTGGGACCTGCAGCCCGCCATGCCTGAGCCTCCCACCCACTCCATGGGCTCCTGTGCAGCCCGAGCCTCCCCCACGAGCATCACCCCCTGCTCCATGGCACCCAGTCCCATCGACCACCCAAGGGCTGAGGAATGCGAGCACACGGCGCGGGACTGGCAGGCAGCTCCACCTGCAGCCCTGGTGCGGGATCCACTAGGTGAAGCCAGCTGGGCTCCTGAGTCTGGTGGGGATGTGGAGAGTCTTTATATCTAGCTCAGGGATTGTAAATACACCAATCAGCACCCTGTGTTTAGCTCAAGGTTTGTGAGTGCACCAATCAACACTCTGTATCTAGCTGCTCTGGTGGGGCCTTGGAGAACCTTTATGTCTAGCTCAAGGATTGTAAATACACCAATCAGCACTCTGTATCTAGCTCAAGGTTTGTAAACACACCAATCAGCACCCTGTGTTTAGCTCAAGGTTTGTGAGTGCACCAATCGAAACTCTGTATCTAACTAATCTGATGGGGACGTGGAGAACCTTTGTATCTAGCTCAGGGATTGTAAACGCACCAATCAGCGCCCTGACAAAACAGGCCACTCAGCTCTACCAATCAGCAGGATGTAGGTGGGGCCAGATAAGAGAATAAAAGCAGGCTGCCCTAGCCAGCATTGGCAACCCGCCCGGGTCCCCTTCCACACTGTGAAAGCTTTGTTCTTTCGCTCTTTGCAATAAATCTTGCTACTGCTCACTCGTTGGGTCCACGCTGCTTTTATGAGCCGTAACACTCACCGCGAAGATCTGCAGGTTCACTCCTGAGCCCAGCGAGACCACGAACCCACCGGGAGGAACGAACAACTCCAGACGCGCTGCCTTAAGAGCTGTAACACTCACTGCGAAGGTCTGCAGCTTCACTCCTGAGCCAGCGAGACCACGAACCCACCAGAAGGAAGAAACTCCGAACACATCTGAACATCAGAAAGGACAGACTCCAGACGCGCCACCTTAAGAGCTGTAACACTCACCGCGAGGGTCTGTGGGTTCATTCTTGAAGTCAGTGAGACCAAGAACCCACCAATTCTGGGGACACTACCATGGCTCCAGGACTCAGTTCTTCACAGACCTAGCTTCTGGACTAGCAACCATACACCCAGCCTCCAGGCTGGCACCAGTGGACACAGGCTACAGGTAAGCCCCAACTAGGCACAATGCTAATGCCTAGTTCTAGACCCCTGAGGATAGCAAAATCCATGGATGCTCAATGTCTTATATAAAATGGTGTAGTATTTGCATATAATCTACACACATACTCCTTATGCCTCAGATTTTCTCTAGATACTCATAGTACCTAATATAAAATCTATATAAATATTTGTTACACTGTATTGCTTTTTATTTGCATTATTATCATATTATTATTTTTTTACTATTTTTGGCCCAGAGTTGAATCTGTGGATGTAGAACACACAGATATGGGGGGGTCAATTGTACACATTCTTCTCAAGCACACACAGAACGTTCTCCAGGAGAGTTCATATGTTAGGCCACAAGATAAATCTTAATAAATTTATGAAGCCTGAAATCCATTTCAAATACCTTTTCCGGCCACAATGGTATTATACTAACAATCAAAAATAGACAGAATTTCAGAAAATGCAGACGCATATGGTAATTAAACAACATTCTCCCAAACAACCAATGGGTCAATGTAGAAATTAAAGGGATCATTTAAAAATATCTTGAGGCAAATGAAGACGGAAACACAACATACAAAAATATATAAGATATATAGTATACAGCAAAAATGGTTCTAAGAGTGAAGTTTATAGCAATAAACATCTACATCAAAAAAGAAGAAAGATCTCAAACACCCTAACATTATAACTAGAAACTAGGTATAGGAACTACAATTGGAAACTAGAAAACCAGGAACTAGGAAAACAAGGACAAACTAAGCACAAAGTTCACAGAAGGAAGGATAAAATAAAGATCAGAGCAGAAATAAATGAAATAGAGACTAAAGAAACAATAGAAAAAAAATCAACAAAACTTGTGAAAAAGATAAAACAGACAAACTTTTAGCTAGAATAACTAATAAAAAAGGAGAGGAGATTCAAGTAAAATCAGAAATAAAAAAGGAAACATTATAATGGATACTACAGACATACAAATTATCATTAGAGACTATGATGACAATTATGTCAACAAATTAGATAACCTAGAAGAAATGAAAAAATTCCTACCTGTATTAATCCTACCAAGTATTAATCACAAAGAAAAAGAAAATCTGAACAGACTGATAACAGACTGATAAAATAGACTGACAACAGACTGATAACAAATAGACTGATTAAAAAAAAAGATTGAATCAGTAATAAAAAGTCTCCCATTAAAGAAAAGCCTAGAATCAGATGGCTTCTGGGCTGAATTCTACAAAACATTTAAATAAGAAATAGGACCAATCCTTATCAAACTCCAAAAAGTTGAAGAAAAAATATTTCCAAACACATC
Source organism: Homo sapiens (assembly GCF_000001405.40). NCBI lineage: Eukaryota > Metazoa > Chordata > Mammalia > Primates > Hominidae > Homo > Homo sapiens. The sequence goes on along the minus strand of NW_017852933.1, from coordinate 134,113 downwards.
TTATGAAGCCAGCACTATCGTGACACCAAAGCCAGACAAGGACATACAAGAAAATTACAGGCTGGCCAGGCACGGTGGCTCATGACTGTAATCCCAGCACTTTGGGAGGCCGAGATGAGCAGGGCAGGAGTCTGAGACCAGCCTGGCCAACGTGGTGAAACCCCATCTCTACTAAAAATACAAAAATTAGCTGAGCATGGTAGCACATGCCTGTGATCCCAGCTACTCGGGAGGCTGAGGCAAGAGAATTGTTTGAACGTGGGAGGCGGCAGAGGTTGCAGTAAGCTGATATCATGCCACTGCGCTCCAGCCTGGGCAACAGAGTGAGACTCCATCTCAAAAAAAAAAAAAAAATTACAGGCTAATATCCCTGATGAACATAGATGCAAAAATCCTCAACAAAATACTAGCAAACTGAATTCAACAGCATATTAAAAGGATCATTCACTCACCACAATAAAGTGAGACTTATCTTTGAGATCCAAGGATGGTTCAACATATGCAAGTAAATATTAATACACCACATTAACAGAATAAAGGACAAAGACCATATATTATCTCAACAGATGCAGAAGAAGCATTTGACAAAATTCAATATCCTTTCATGATAAAAACTCTAACCATATTAGGCACTGAAGGAATGTAACTCAACACAATAAAGACTATATATGACAAGCTCACCATTAATATCATACACAAGAGTAAAAAATAGAAAGCTTTTTCCAAAAGTATCTCAGGAAAGGTACAAAGATGTCCACTCTTACGACTCCTATTCAATATAGTAATGGAAGACCTAGCCAGAGCAATCAGGCAAAAAAAGAAAGAGAAGCCATCCAAATTGGAAAAGAAGAAGCCAAATGGTTCCTGTTTGCAGATAACATGAAAACCCTAAAATGTCAGTGAAAACACTGCTAGAACTAATAAAATACAATAAAGTTACAGGATATAAAGTCAACATACAAAAATAATAGTTTCAGCCGGGCATGGTGGCTCACACCTGTAATCTCAGCACTTTGGGAGGCTGAAGCAATTGGCTCACTTGAAGTCAGAAGTTCAAGACCAGCCTGACCAACATGGTGAAACCCCATCTCTACTAAAAATACAAAGTTAGCCAGGCATGGTAGCACACATCTGTAATCCCAGCTACTTGGGGGACTGAGACAGGAGAATCACTTGAATCTGGGAGGCGGAGGTTGCAGTGAGCCGAGATTTCGCCATTGCACTCCAGCCTGGGAAACAAAAGCGAAACTGTCTCAAAAAAAAAAAAAAAAAAGTTTCTATACATTAGCATTAAACCATCTGAAGTGAAATAAAAAAGGCAACTGTATTTACGATAGCTATGAAAAATACTTATGAACAAATATAGCCAAGGAAGTGAAAGAGCTGTATATTGAAAATCATAAAACATTGATGAAAGAACTTGAAGACACAAATAAAAAGAAAGATATTCCATGTTCATGGATTGAAACAATATTGTTAAAATGTCCATACTACCAAAAGTGATCTACAGATTGAATGCAATCCCTATCAAAATCCCAATGACACTTTTCAAAGAAATAGATTAAAAGTCATAAAATTTTTATTGTACCACAAAACCCCAAATATCTAAAACATTTTTGAGGAAAATGAACAAAATGGAGGCATCATACTTCCTGACTTCAAAATATATTACAAATCTACAGTAATCAAAACAGCATGGTACTGCTATAAAAACAGACACATAGACCAAAGGAAGACAATAGATAGCCCCAAAATAAACTCACACATTTACCACCAATTAATGGATTTTTGACAAAGATGCCAAGAACACACAATGGGAGAAAAGATAGTGTCTTTAATAAATGGAGTTTAGAAATGTGGATTATACATGCAAAAGAATGAAATTAGACTCTTATACCATGTACAAAATCAACTCAAAATGGATTAAATTCTTTTTTTTTTTCCTTTTCTTTTTTTTGAGACAGAGTCTCACTCTGTCGCCCAGGCTGGAGTGCGGTGGCATGATCTCCGCTCACTGCAAGCTCTGCCTCCCAGGTTCATGCCATTCTCCTGCCTCAGCCTCCCGAGTAGCTGGGACTACAGGCACCCACCACCACGTGGGCCTGGCTAATTTTTTGTATTTTTAGTAGAGACAGGGTTTCACTGTGTTAGCCAGGATGGTCTCGATCTCCTGACCTCGTAATCTGCCTGCCTCGGCCTCCCAAAGTGCTGGGATTACAGGCGTGAGCCACCACGCCTGGCCATTCGGATTAAATTCTTAAATGTAATACCTGAAACTATAAAACTACTAGAAGACAACGTATAGGAAAAGCTGTGCAACTAGCTCTACCAAATATTAAAACATACTATAAAGTCTCTGTAGTTAAAAATGTGTTGTACTGGTACGTAAATTGAAAGACAGCCAAATGGAACAGAATAGAAAGTCTAGAAATAAACCAAAATACATATAGAAATTTAGTTTATTATATAGGTAACATCCCAACTAACTGGGAAAAAATTCTACTTTATAGTAAATGGTGTTGTAACAAATGGATAGTCATTTGGAAAAATATAAAATGTGGGAGTGGGAAAAGTCTCCATGAATCAAAATCTAGTATCAAGATAAGTCTGATAACATAGTACTTACAAATATGTTTTATGAAGTAAATGTCAACACAAAGCCAAAAGATAAATAACAAACTGGGAGAAAATAACTTGTATCACAGATAAAGGGCTAATCTCTCATATATATATATACACATATATATATACATATATATACACATATATATACGTATATATATACACATATATATATACGTATATATATACACATATATGTATATATACACACATATATACACATATATGTATATATACACACATATATATACATATATATATATGAAGAGGTCTATAAATTGAAGGGGGAGGGATAACCATTAGAAAAATGAAAAAAAAATTTGTTTAATTTATTTGTAGATTCTGGATATTAGCCCTTTGTCAGATGGATTGCAAAAATGTTCTCCCCATCAAAAAGTGGGTGATAGATATGAACAGACACTTCTCAAAAGAAGACATTTATGCAGCCAACAAACATATGGAAAAAAGCTCATCATCACTGGTCATTAGAGAAATGCAAATCAAAGCCACAATGAGATACCATCTTATGCCAGTTAGAATGGTGATCATTAAAAAGCCAGGAAACAACAGATGCTGGAGAGGATGTGGAGAAATAGGAATGCTTTTACACTGTTGGTGGAAGTATAAATTAGTTCAACCATTGTAGAAGACAGTGTGGTGATTCCTGAAGGATCTAGAACTAGAAATACCATTTGACCCAGCAATCCCATTACTGGGTGTATACCCAAAGGATTATAAATCATTCTACTATAAAGATACGTGCACACGTACGTGAATTGCACTATTCACAATAGCAAAGACTTGGAACCAACCTAAGTGTACACCAATGACAGACTGGATAAAGAAAGTGTGGCATATATGCACCATGGAATACTATGCAGCCATAAAAAGGATGAGTTCATGTTCTTTGCAGGGACATGGATGAAGCTGGAAGCCATCATTCTAAGCAAACTAACACAAGAACAGAAAACCAAACACCCCATGTTCTCACTCATAAATGGGAGTTGAACAGTGAGAACACATGGACGCAGGGAGGGCAGCATCACACACTGGAGCCTGTCGGTGGGTGGAGGGCTAGGGGAGGGACAGCATTAGGAGAAATACCTAATGTAGGTGATGGGTTGATGGGTGCAGCAAACCACCATGGCACGTGTATACCTATGTAACAAAACTGCACGTTCTGTACATGTACCCCAGAACTCAAAGTATAATAAAAAAAATTTGAAAAATGAAAAAAAAAAACAGTTCAAAGAAAAATAGTCCTCAAACATAACAAAAGATCCTCATATTCACTCATAACCATAGTGTCTATTAAAACTGACAAGTCATTACTTACTTTCAGAAGCTTTACAACACATTGTAGGTGAGCCTTTATGAAAATAAATACAATCCCATCAAAGTTCCAATAAGCAACTGTGTAGAAATTCTAGTGCTGGAATAGTCAAAAACAACTTTAGAAAAGAACAAAACTAGAGGTCTTATACTATCTGATTTCAAGATATATAAAATTACTGTAATTAAAACTGTGTGGTATTGGTGAAGACACAGATACATACATCAATGAAACTGAACGGAGTCCAGAAATAGACCCACACTAAGATGGTCAATTTTTTTTTCCCACAAAAGTACCAAGGGAACAAAGAGAAGTCTTTAAAAAAAACAGTGCTGGAATAACTGAATATCCTTATGGGGGAAAAACAATAGCACCAACTTTACCTCATACTAGGAACAAGAAATTAACTCGAGATGGGTCACAGACCTAAATGAAGGAAGCTAAAAGTACAAATTTAAAAGAAAACAGGAGGAATGAATAAAATGAAGAAACTTAGGAGAAAATCTCTGTTACCTTCAAGGGGGTAGGGATTTCTTACTTTGCATACCCAAGGTATGAGCCATAAAGGAAAAATTGGTAAATTAAACTCCATTAAAATACAAAAAAAAAAATGTACTCTTGTAAAGATACTGCTAAGGAAACAGAAATGCAAGTGGAGAAAGAAAATATTCATAATACATATCTAATAAAGAATTTTATTCACAATAGGTATTTATTCACAATACATATCTGATAAAAAATACAAAAAAAATTAGCCAGGTGTGGTGGCACATGCCTGTAACCTTAGCTACTCAGGAGGCTGGGGTGGGAGGATTGCTTGAACCTGGGAGGCAGAGGTTGCAGTGAGCTGAGATCACACCACTGCACTCCAGCCTGGGCAAACAGAATACGTAAAGAATTCATACAAAACTACAGGGGCAGAAAACAGACCAGCAGTTGTCGAGGTCTAGGCATGGGAGGATTTCACAAAGGGGTACAAGGAAGACAAAGTAAGATACCCAAAATAGTATCTTCTGCATGATTCCATTCATATAAAGGTATAGGCAAAAATGACATCAATGGTTATAGGGGAGGGGTTTGTGATTGATTAGGAAAGGGCAAGAGGGAATTTTCTGGTGTTACAGAAATGTTCTGTGTCTTGATTAGGTGTGCACATTCTTTGAAACTGATCAAACTGTCACTCAAAATCTGAGCACTTCATTTCATGTAAACTGTATCTCAATAGAAAAACATTTTAGAAATCATTACAATTGCTATATACTGGATACAGACAATAATCTTAAACTACCCAGTGGTGGGGATGGTATCTTGTTCTCCTTTGTCTCTCAAACACCATGGAGCTTAGTGCATTGTGCATTGTTTTATATAAAGCACACGGCCCTGCAAATCTCAATTAATACATGATTAATTTTTTTTTTTTTTTGAGATGGAGTTTTGCTCTTGTTGCCCAGGCTGGAGTGCAATGGCGCGATCTCGTCTCACTGCAACCTTCACCTCCCGGGTTCAAGCGATTGTCCTGCCTCAGCCTCCCAAGTAGCTGGGATTACAGGTGCGTGCCATCACGCCTGGCTAATTTTTTGTGTTTTTAGTAGAGATGGGGTTTAACCATGTTGTTGAGGCTGGTCTCAAACTCCTGACCTCAGGTGATCCAACTGCCTTGGCTTCCCAAAGTGCTGGGATTACTGGCATGAAATACATGACGAATCTTAATCAAAATGGCAGAGCAGGTGTTTGGCTGATGTGGTGATGGGGTAAAATCAATTTGTGATTCATACAGCCTTCCAACTTCACAACTATGCCATTCTTAAAGGATTTTTCATGGAAGGGGGCTTCACATCAGGTGCTTACTCCTTAGTGCAGCTGATCAATACACTCAATACATGTCTGCAAACTTTAAAGGAATTTATGCAGCAGATCCAAGTCTTAAAGGCTATTTAAAAAAAAAGCAAACAAACCTAGAAACAAAGTTCATAAAGCAAAACCATAGCAAAACAAAGATTCAGGCAGAAAGATGTTCATGATAACACTGGAAAACAGTAAGATCAAATGAAAACAGAAAGAATGATTACATAAATCATGCCAATACCTTCAATAAAATCCTGTTCCTCTGTTACAAAGAAGGGATAGATATAGATACACTGTCATGAGAGGATAATATACTACTAAGGTAGAAAAAGTAAACTGCAAAATATTATACATGATATAAACACATTGTTTGGAAAAATATATATGTAGAGAAAAGAAGTACATGTACAGAAAAGAAAAATGGTAGAAGATCTGTTGATAGTATGTCCTCAGGAGGTGGAAAATGGGGGACTTACACATTTTACAAATTGTATGTCTATAGAGTTTGAATTTTATGTAATGTACCTGTATTGTTTTTCTAATTAACTCTTCAGGTGGGGGAACAGGTAAACCTGTGAAGAAGGAATCATCTGAAACACTCTCCCACTAACTTTTTTCTCTTGCTCTTTTAGTGGGTAATGTTTTGGAATATTAACCATAAGTTTTCAATTCAGTACCATCCCTCATTCAATCTTTTATTTTTTGGTCTCGGGGAAGACAGAGCAATACTTAATACCTACAAAGACAATGGCCAGTTCTTTCAGTTGACCCTTTCCAGGGTAAAACAACGGATTGGAAATAATGCACAATAAGGAAATGCCGAAGCCCGGCTCCTCAGCATCATCCCATCCCTTTCACTATTCCCAAAATAGATTTGGGGGATCTTATAGCGCAAGAGTCCTGACTCCAAAACAGCCTGGCCAGGAATAAGTACACATCAACATCCTGGTCCTAAATATGAAACACCCCCCACCCTTATCCCTCATAACTTGGATGCAACCCTTGTAAGGGAAAAGGAGGGTTGGAAGGAGCATGAACCTAAAATGCCTGAAAATTATTAGGGCAACCTGCCAAACTGTAGTCGCAAAAGAACAAATAGTTATTGGAAATTAAGCAATTACATGGTTCATAGCCCTGAATTATTAGAATTAAATTTATACTTACTATTTAATTTCAGCTCCTTTTCTAAAAAGCACTGAACTGCTTTAACTGAAACACTGTAATTTTCTTAATTGTACTTAAATATGTTTCTTTTCTTTTAAATTTTCTGCCTACTTTGCATAAAATGAGGTAGCCAAGACCACCTTAAAGTTCTCAGCTTGACTTGAAAAGGCTTTTTCCTGACTCTAGGCCCAAAACTTTCTTTTCTTAGAGCATGATATGGTTTGACTCTGTGTCCACACCCAAATCTCATCTTGTAGCTCCCATAATTCCCACGTGTTATGGGAGGGACCCTGTGAGTGATGACTGAATCATGGGGATGGGTTGTTCCCGTGCTCTTCTCATGATAGTGAGTAAGTCTCATAAGAACTGATGGTTTTCAAATGGGGAGTTTCCCTGCACAAGCTTTCTTGTCTGCCACTATGTGAGATATACCTTTCACCTTCTGCCGTGATTGTGAGGCCTCCTCAGCCACGTGGAACTGTAAGTCCAATAAACCTCTTTCTTTTGTAAATTGCCCAGTCTTGGGTATGTCTTTATCAGCAGTGTGAAAACAGATTAATACAGAGCATTTTCTTTAGAAAGCTTTTCACTGTAAATTCTTTCTCTGTCTTGAGATATCTGTAACTCTTTTTAATAGCCTCTTACTAGTTTTACAAACCAGAATCATCTTTGTCAAGGACCTGGGAGCCATTCCTTTGAAATGCAATCATCAAGGAAGACGGTCCCCCTATCTCCCAGTTTCTGTGGGAGGGTAGGAGCCTAACTTCCCTGAGAGCCAATTAGCAAACACAGCTGGCCTAATCACGGAGGAAACACTTGTAAACTCAGCAAACAACTCAGTATGCTTCCGACAGCCCTCCAGCACCTTTCTACTCTCATCCTAGAGCTTAAAAACCCTGCCCCACTTTGTTTCAGCAGAGTTAGTTTAGACTGAGTTCTGGTCTCTCTTCCCTAGGACAACAGCTTTGCATAAAGTATTCCTTACATATGTGACTTTCTCTGGTGTAATTTATGCTTTCACAAAGGAAAACTAAGACAAATTAAACTACCTATAATCACTGAACTTCCACAGCCCCTTCTGCCATTTATGGAACACTTAACATGTTCTCGCAATGTAAGTATCAGGACCGCCCTCTGAGTTGGATACAATAGCATCCTTTCCTCTTATAGTTATTTTCAGATATAAGCCTTAGGAAATGGAGGCTTAGAGAAACCAAGCAATTTGCCATAGGTCACAGCAAATAAATTCTGGACTAGTCAGGACTAGGGACAAGGCATTTGCCTCCAAAGTCAGTGCGTTCAAGCACTTTGCATAGCCAATATAAAATTCCTAACAGTGCTTCTATTTGATTTGATTGTGTGTATGTGTGTGTGGGTGTGTGTGTGTTGGCGGGGGGATGAGGAAGTCTCTGGAGGATTTATATGCGTGAGTTTTGTTTGGGGGTCGCCCTTTTGGGCTCTGCGCGCCCATCGCGGCTAGCGGGTGGGCCTCCCGGGCGTCGGGGAGCAGCTGCAAGCGCAGGGGGACGCCGGCAGAAGAAGGACGCGCCAGGACTCCCTAGCACGCACCCTCAGGCCTCGCCGCTGCCGCCTCCGCCTCCGCCGCTGAAGGGCGCGCGTCCACCCGGCGGGACTCCTCCTCCCAACGCCCTCCCCAACCACCAGCCGCCCGCGGGCAGGTTGGCAGCCTGGCCCTCGCGCGGACCCGGCCGGGAGCTGGCTGCACTAGGGCTGGGGGCGCGCAGTGCGCGGAGCGGTAGGAGTCAGCGGTGCGGAAGGCAGGAGGTGCGGGTGAAGCTGTCGGCGGTGCTCGAGGGGAGCACGCAAGAACCTCCTCAGTCCCTCTTCCGCACGTGCGCCCACGAGTGTAGTCCCCAGTTTGTTCCACCTATTATCCCGCAGCTCCAGTGCGCCCCACCTGTTGCCTCACCAGCCCAACGTTACTTCTTCCCTGCTTCCTCGCCAGCCCGTCTGGGGGCGGAGACCTCACCCACCGCCCCACCCACCTCGTCTCATGCTCCCACCCACCTCGTCCCATGCGCACACCCATCTCGTCCCTTGCGCTCACCCACCTCGTCCCATGCGCCCTACCCTATGCCCCAAGTCCCTGAAAGGGCCCCACCTAGGTACCCTTTTGGGTCGTCTTCAGGTTCTTTGCCTTGTCGACCCTCCTGGACGACCCCACATTTCTCCGCCTCTCGCGGGCTTCTCTCTCCCTCGTGTGCCATGGTCACCTTCAGCTGGCCCAGCCGCTGATGACAGAAGTTTAAGAAGATTCATGAGCCGCTGCTCCTCAGGGTCTACTGGAGTTTAGCAGATAACTTCCCAAAGGCCCGGGGTCCTGCAAACCCCTCATGCGGGCCACCCAAAAGATTCCGTCCTGGAGCAGACCCCGCGCCACGCGCGCTGTACTCGCGTTCCTTTTTCCAGCCAGCGCAGCCCCTGCGGCTTCTGTCCGGGACGGTTCTGCGCGTGGGACGCCCAGCCCGCTTCATCTGCGCCCGCTGCCTTTACCCGCCAGCCACTCCGGCGTTTCCACCTCCGTGTATTTCTCATGCTCCCCACGTTCTATAATGCTTGCTCCTCTTGGCGCGCCCCACCCCAATTCTCGCATCCAGTGTGGCTTCCTGTTTAGAATCGCAGCTTCTGATTGGATCACAGGCCAAATTCACTCTTCCCTGCAATGCCGGATACGACTTGCTCCAGCTCCGAAGTTAAGCTTTGTCAGGAGAGGGCGCAAGAGGAACACTGCAGGACAAGGAGTTCTCTTCCTGGTTGGGGAAAAATCCAGGACTGTATAGAACATCCTCCGCCCCAAACTGGGAAAGGAGCCAACAGACCAAAGAATGACTCAGACCAGTCCAGCTTGATGAGTAGATGAGTTTATTGGGACTCACGTGTAGGGCATTTCTTTTTTTTTTCTTTTTCTGTTTTTTTTTTTTTTTTAAGAGGGAATCTCATGGCACCTCGTTTTCATCATCACTGGATGATTTCTCTGGGTTAGCAAAGGTCAGGAAGACTTGTTCCAGTGTGATCTGACAGAATAGTCTTCTAAATCAAATTGCTCTTTAGCTTGCTCCAAAATGCCAAACACCTTTAACAACAGCAATAAAAACACAGTTACCATTGCAATCTCCCCTTCAGCCCCCAACTCAGATGAGCCTCTCCTCCACTCCCCCACTCCTATCAAGTGTATGTTGGAGGACAAAAGGCACAGAAGGGTGAGGTGAGAAGGCGGAAGAACAGAGAATTGAGAAAGTGAGAGGAGGCCATCTCTTGATGGACATGGACTAATAGTCGGATTTAGGGGAAGAAATCAAGGCAATTAAACTCTAGGGGTGTTTGGAAAGTAACCTAACGCTGCTGCTCCTCCCAACAATGCCAGGCTCCCATTCCAAATGCCCGAATCCCAAATACTCCCCACCATTAGTGCTCTCTTACTTAACATGCAATGTTACAAGGGCAAGATTTCTACCATCACCTTTCCCCAGTCCTTGCTGGGAATGTAGCAGTTAAGGATCCCTTGGTTCTTGTGTTTTAAGACACTACTCAAGAAAGGATAATAGGACCGGTGAATAATCTTACACACTTAATTTGAAATCACCAAAATATTGCTACATTTACTTAACTATATACTTGAAGGGGTGGATAGAGGAGGTTAATACAAAAGGCAATATGACCTGCTAACCCAATCTCTTTGGTATCCATGATATAGTTAATGGTTTCGGCAGATTTATTCCTCATGAACTAGTCTTATTATGTGGAGTTCATAGCAATGATTGAGGGTACAAATATTAGCCAGTTCACCTGCCCAATGTAAAACACCTGAGCCTTCTAAAAGTCTAATGTGGTCAGGTGCAGTGGCTCACGCCTGTAATCCCAGCACTTCGGGAGGCCAAGGCGAGCGGATCACCTGAGGTCAGGAGTTTGGGACCAGCCTGGCCAACATGGCGAAACCCTGTCTCTACTAAAAATAGAAAAATTAGCCGAGCAGTGGTGGTGCACTCCTGTAATGCAAGCTACTCGGGAGGCTGAGACAGGAGAATCGCTTCAACCCAAGAAGCAGAGGTTGCAGTGAGCTGAGATCACGCCACTCAACTCCAACCTGGGTGACAGAGTGAGACTCTGTTTCAAAAAGTAAAAAAAAAATTAAAAAAAAAAACTAAAAGCCTAATGTTGCTACGAGACTTTATTCCTAAACGCAGTGCTGAGAATCTGAACCAGGATGTTTTCCTCCCGGCAGTGTGTGGGCAGGTACAGTGTGTTTGGTGGGGAGGACAACAGGAATAATCACAATAAGAACAAGATTAATAACAATAAGGATTAATCATAATAAGAATAATCATAGTAAGAATAGCCTCACGTGTGAAACAGGAAATCACATATAAATCACCAAAGTCAGGCCACTTGTTCTAGTTTCTTATACAGGTGAGTAATGATCCACTGGTGGAGTAGGAGGAAAGAGGGTGGTGTCTATTCCTAATTTAGAATAAACATTTGTATTTACACTTTTATTGCATATTTGTAGATTATAGCAAATGAAATTAACTGGGATTAAAAATGTTTGAAAAAACACATGTTTGTAACAGTGTGGGATTTTTCTTAATGTTAGTCTTAAAGCATGTATTGCCTTCATGATCACACAAATAAATATGAGATATTTCAAACATCGAGCTTAATGAATTATTTAAAGCAAATACACACAAAACCACCCTATCCAGGTCAAGTAATAATAACCCATACATTCCCATGGGCTATTTCCCAGCTTCTGTCCTCTATAAAAAGTATCCATTGCTTTTATTGTTATTTGAGCAATTCCCTAACAGTTCCCTTTTTATCATTTTATCTACACATGCACCCCTAAAATTGTGATTTCAATTTTTCTACTTCTGAACTTTATATGAATGGAATCATCCAGTATTCATTCCTTTCTTTCTGCTTCACTCAATATTATGTTTGGAAACTTCACTCATGTTGCATGTAATTATAATTCATCATTTTCCTTTCTGCACAGTAATCTGGTATATGAATGTTGTATATTTCCCATTTGTTTACTAATAGAGACATGCGGGTTGTTTTTAGTGTTTGACTTTTGTGAATATAACTTATTTGAATATTATTTTACGTATCTCTTGGGAGAAGTGGATGCAAGTATCTCGGGTATATACCTAAAGGTAGAATTTTTGGGTCATTGCTTTTTGTAAAATTGGTTAAGCCAACTTTAGCTTTCCCTTGGAGGTACACAGAACTGGTGAATATCCCTTTCACTCTTCACATAAGGAAAGGCTGGACAAACTGCAAATTAATAGCTTTTATTTAACCTATCAGTTCTCTGATTGGGCAAATACTGGACAAACACCTAACTCAGCATCATGGGAGAGACAGGTGCCTGCAGGGAGCAACAGGACAAGCATCTACTTATACAAGGCAGACACTGAAAATGATATATCAATTGGTAAGAAGATTTAAACATTTTTTAATGCATTGCTAAAGGCCAAGTATTGGTCTAGCATGAGAACATAAAGATCATTCTTTTATTTTTAACCTCTGTGATACAGTTTGCTTTAGTTGTGTTTCTTACATACCGCAGAGTTGGATTTTGCTTGTTAGCCAATCTGAAAAATATTTTTTTCATCTAGTCAGAGAATTAAGCCTTTCTATGTTTACTGAGAGGACCAATATGTTCTATAGAAGTTCTCCCACACTGTTCTGTAATTACATGTCAATGGAAATACACATATCTACATACATGCATAAGACACTCACATGGCACATATCCCCACTCTGGTTGGTTCTATTTATTGTTATATTCATGATACAGAAACATTTATGCATTTTTAAAATATGTATCAATTATGTTATATTTTATCACACAGATACCTTTCATTTAGCCCAAATTTTAGAGGCACATATAGTCAATGCCCACCATTAGTTCTTACACACAAGCTCTGCCAATCAATTTTTAGTTAATGGGAATTTTTTTCATTTGTATATTCTTCAGGAAGAGCTAATAGAAACAGCATTCCTTGTGTTCATGAGTCTTTGTGACTCTTTTCTCTTTTTTTTAGATGGAGTTTTGCTCTTGTTGCCCAGGCTGGAGTGCGATGGTGAGATCTCAGTTCTCTGTAACCTCTGCCTCCCGGATCAAGCAATGGTCATGCCTCAGCCTCCCGAGTAGCTTGGATTACATGCATGTGCCACCATGCCCGGCTAATTTTTCGTATTTTTAGTAGAGATGGGGTTTCACCATGTTGACCGGGCTGGTCTCGAACTCCTGACCTCAGGTGATCACCTGCCTTGGCCTCCCAAAGTGCTGGGATTACAGGCGTGAGCCACCGCGCCTGGCCTTTTGTGACTTTTAATCTTGAAGGTCACTTCGACTGGAGGTAAAAACCTTGCTTGTGTTTTTCTTTCATTGAATATCTTTATTTATTTTTCATTTTTATTTTTAGAGACGGAGTCTTGCTCTGTCGCCCAGGCTGGAGTCGGTGGCGCGATCTCGGCTCACTGCAAGCTCCACCTCCCAGGTTCACACCATTCTCCTGCCTCAGCCTCCTGAGTAGCTAGGACTACAAGTGTCTGCCACCATGCCCGGCTAATTTTTGTATTTTTAGTAGAGACGGGGTTTCACCGTGTTAGCCAGGATGGTCTCGATCTCCTGACCTCATGATCCGCCCGCCTCAGCCTCCCAAAGTGCTGGGATTACAGGCGTGAGCCCCCGGCCTCAGTGAGTATCTTAAACATCTGACTTGCTCTCCTGGCATAAGACCTTCTTGTTACAAAATCTGCACTCGATCTGACTTTTTCTATTATAAAATGCTTGTCTTTTTTGTCTACATATATAAAAGTCCCTGCCCCATTTTATTATTAAAGTGAAGTAGTTTATTAGAATATTCCTTGGTGTTAGTGATTAGGGGTCAGTTTTTTCAGGTATACTGGTTGCCCTTTCAATGAGTAGATTTGTGTTCTTTTATTTCAGGAAATTTTCTTGAATGATAGGTTTTAGTATTTGTTCTGTGGTTTTGCTTTTTATCTTTGTGGACTGCTTTCATAATTGTTTTGAATTGATATTGCCTTATTTCTCCCTGACAAGTTCTCATCTATATTTCCATTTGATTGTTTTTCTATTTTTCTCTTTTCCAATCTCCATTTCCCTTACACTTTCCACACTATTAGCTCTTGAAAAGTAAGTGTTTCTTAAATGTTTACTTAAAAAACTCCAGCTGGGTGCAGTGACTCACACGTTTAATCCCAACACTTTGGGAGGCCAAGGCGGGTGGATCACTCGAGGTCAAGAGTTGGAGACCAGCCTGACCAATATGGTGAAACCCTGTCTCTACTAAAAATACAAAAATTAGCTGGACATGGTGGAAAATGGTCTTTTACTTATGATATTTTTCTATGGAGTTCAATTATAATCTTTTAATTTGTTCATGTTTTAGTGAGATGAATTTTCTTATGGTTTTGGAAATAGTTTCATATATAGGAGATGGGGTGCAACAAAATAACTTTCTTTTTTTTTTTTTAGACGGAGTCTTGATCTGTCTTGCCCAGGCTGAAGTGCAGTGGCATGATCTCGGCTCACTGCAGCCTCCATCTCCTGGGTTCAAGCGATTCTCCTCCCTCAGCCTCTCAAGTAGCTGGGACTATAGGCATGTGCCACCACACCCAGCTAATTTTGTATTTTTAGTAAAGACAGAGTTTCACCATGTTGGCCAGGCTGGTCTCAAACTCCTGACCTCAGGTGATCTGCCCACCTCGGCCTCCCAAAGTGCTGAGATTATAGACGTGAACCACCACATCTGGCCTAATTTTCTTTTTTGATATTACAAATAACTTTATACCATTGTATTACTATAGTTAACAATTTAAGTGAAATGGACGAATTCCTTGAAAAGCACAACATACAAAACTGACATAAAAAGAACTACCTATTCCAAAACCCCATCAAAAAGTGAGCAAGGGATATGACAGACACTTCTAAAAAGAAGACATTTATGAAGCCAACAAACACATAAAAAAAAGCTCAACATCACTGATCATTAGAGAAATGCAAATCAAAACCATAATGAGATACCATTTCATGCCAGTCAGAATGGAGATTATTAAAAAGTCAAGAAACCACAGATGCTGGCAAGGCTGTGGAGAAATAGGAAAAAACACTTTTACGCTGTTGGTGAGAATTTAAATTCGTTCAACCACTGTGGAAGACAGTGTGGTGATTCCTCAAGGATCTAGAACCAGAAATGCCATTTGACCCTGCTATCTCATTACTGGGCATACACCCAAAGGAATACACATCATTCTACTGTAAAGACACATGCACATGTATGTTTATCGCAGCACTATTTGCAATAGCAAAGACGTGGAACCAACCCAAATGTCCATCAGTGATAGACTGGATAAAGAAAATGTGGTGCATATATACCATGGAATACTATGCAGCCATAAAAAGAATGAAATCAGCACGGTGTGGTGGTTCACGCCTATAATCTCAGCACTTTGGGAGGCTGAGGTGGGTGGATTGCGAGGTCAGGAGATCGAGACCATCCTGGCCAACATGGTGAAACCCTGTCTCTACTAAAAATACAAAAAAATTAGCTGGGCGTGGTGGTGTGTGCCTGTAGTCCCAGCTACTTGGGAGGCTGAGGCAGAAGAATGGTGTGAACCCAGGAGGTGGAGGTTGCAGTGAGTCGAGATCGCGCCACTGTACTCCAGCATGGGCAACAGAGCAAGACTGTCTCAAAAAAAAAAGAAAAAAAAAAAAAAAGGAATGAGATCATGTCCTTTGCAGGGACATGGATGAAGCTGAAAACCAACATTCTCAGCAAACTAACACAGGAACAGAAAACCGAACACTGCATGTTCTCACTCATAAGTGGGAGTTGAACAGTGAGAACACATGGGCACAGGGAGGGGAACATCAGACACTGAGACCTGTCAGGGGGTGGCGGGGAAGGAGAGGGAGAGCATTAGGACAAATACCTAATGCACATGGGGCTTAAAACCTAGATGATAGGTTGATAGGTGCAGCAAACCACCATGGCACATGTATACCTATGTAATAAACCTGCACATTCTGCACATGTATCCCGGAACTTAAAGTAAATTTAAAAAAATAATAATAATTTGCGAATAAATTCTGCTCCGCACCCTCCAGAGCCAGGGAAAACGGTCCAAAACTGGGACTGCAGACTACTCCTGCTTCAAGACCACGACCACTCCTGTGCCAGGGAGGGAGAGGGGCAAGGGCGTGTAAAATCATCACAAAACTATCCACTGTTTTGAAGTGACTTTTTTATTGGTTCAGTATTCATTTGGTTGCTATAAACTTTTGATTGTTTTCCATAGTCCTGACAAAATTGGTTCAGACAGTTTCTGCTAATTTTTGAAGCTTTTGTGAGATGGTAATGAGAAGTTATGCGTATTCTACCTTTTTGCTGACAAATTGTTCTCCAGTTTCCCGTATATTGATACTTAGTTACTATTTCCCTCTGCTTTGTGGTTAGTTTCCTTTGGCAGGTGAGGGACAGGAATTTTCATCAATTGAAGTATTTTGATATTCTTCTGTTTCCTTCTTATGGCATATTAAATTGATTATCTGAACCAACAATAACAAGTGATTTAATGGATGAATGGTAATATTTTGATTAGTTTGTAAGCTTCTTAGTACATATTCATCTTCTTCTATTAATACAGTGAAGTGCAGTTTCTTTAACAAATAGAACTTTTTCTAAGGGAATGAAGCGACTCAATTCTGTGATTCTTGCTAATATCTGTATGAAGTTAAATTATGCTGGACATGTCCTTATTTCTCTTTGCTACCCTAATTCTAAAGGGCACTTCTATTTTCTAAGTTGCTTCTCTCTAACCTCCAAATTAATATCTCTCAAGATTAACATTTATAGCTTTGCACATTTTCAAGCCTCTTTATTTATTTCCCCCTATAACCAGGATTTTGATTGACTAGGTCTAGTTCTCAGAGATTTTTTTCAGTATTTCCCAGCTCATGATGGATCTACCGCTGTTGCCACTGTGTTCCGTATTCTCTTTTCTGCAGAATCCTCACCTGCTCTCTATGAGAGATTCCCTTGTTCACTGTCTCCTGTAGCACTCAGATTTGCTTTTCCCTTGGTGCATCCAAAGTGGGTGTTTCAATCTACGCTGTCTTTTAGAATGCACAGTTTTCACAACCTTCTTCCTACTGGGATAGAGTTAAGAGGTTATAGGGATTTTATTTGTCTGTTTGCTAGGTATCAAATAATCACAAGCTTTTACAGGTTAGGGCCATGACCACTAATTGAAATGACTATCCTTTCTCATTTGAATTACTTTGGCACCTCATCTGAAATCAACTGACTATACATGTATGAATCTATTTTTGGACTCTGTATCTTATTCTATCTATCTATCTATCTATCTATCTATCTTCTATCTACTTACCTATCCATCTATTCATTCATCCATCCATCCGTTCATCCATCAATCCATCCATCCATCCATCCATGCATTTATCTTCTCTGTCTCTACTCATGCTAATACCACACTGTCTTAATTATCGTAGTTTTATAATAAGGTTTCAAATAAGTTGGTGCAAAGTCTTGCAATTAAAAAAGTATAGTTTGGGATAATAAAGTTCTTTTGAATCCAAAATCAATTGGCCATACATGTGTGAATCTATTTTTGAACTCTGTATCTTATTCTATCTATCTATCTATCCATCCATCCATCTGTCATCTATGTCTCTACTTATGTTAATACCACATTGTCTTAATTACTGTAGTTTTATAATAAGTTTTAAAATGAGTTGTCACAAAATCTTGCAATTAAGAAAATATATATTTTTGGATAATGAAGTTCTTTTGAATTTCCATATAAATTTTAGAATCAGCTAAATTTCTACCAAAAATAAAAAGCCTCTAGGATGTTGATTGAGATTGTTTTGAGCGTATAAATCAATTTGGGGACAATTGACAATTTAAAAATATTGAGTCTTCTGATCCATGAATAAGGTATATTTCTCCATTATCTCAAGTCATCTTTAATTTTTCTCAGCAATGTTTTCAGTCTTCAGTGTACAGGTACTGCACATCTTTTTTAAAATTTTCCCTAAATGTTTTATGTATTTCATGCTACCACAATGGTATTGCCTTGAAAATGATATTAGCAATAGATATTTCTAGATTTCCTTACTCAAAGTGAAGATGTTTCATTCTAGTCCTCCTTTGCTGAAAAGTCTCTTTTTTGGTAGATCATTCATTTTTATTGCTGAGGGTATTCCATTGTATGAATAATTCACAGTTTGATTACCCATTCACATGTTGATGGACATTGGGTTATTTTCAATTTTTGGCCTTTATAATTAAAGCTATTTATGAATGTTTGCATACAAGTGTTTCTATGTTCATATGCTTTCATTTCTCTTAAGTAAAACTTCTAGAAGAAGACATCCAATCAAGCTTTTGTGACTCTGTATTGGGCAAAGTTTTTTAGATATAGCACTAAAAGCACAATTCACTAAAAAATGATAAATTTAACTTCACCACAATTAAAAACGTTTGGTTCTTAAAAGATGCTTTGAAAAAAATAAAAGGCCATAGTCTGGGACAAAATATTTGCAAATGGCTTACTACACAAAGGGCTGATATTCAGAACGTACAAAGAATTCTCAAAACCCAATAGTAAGAAAAAAGACCAATTCAACAATAAATGAAAGAAAAGTTCACCGGTCACTTCACCAAAGATGATACACATGTGGCAAATAAGCACATGCAAAGATGTTGAGAAGTTTCATCATAAAAGGGTGTTAAATTTTTTCAAGTGCTTTCCCCTCTATTGAGATTAATGTATAATACAATATAGATACTAATCACAGAGATTCTTTCCCACAGAGAAAATGCATTATGCACATAAGCTTTGAATCTTAGTGCTATCTTGTACAAATTTTGTGGTGTTGAGCAAGTTTTTACATTGTGTAAGGTTTAGTTTTTTCAAAATGAGGATAACATATAACTTGAGTTATTGTCAAGATTCACAGTAATGTAGGTAGAATTATTCACATGTAATAAGTAATTGACTACCAGTAGCTCTGATGAGATTTGTAGAGCCTCAGATACTCACTTTCTGTACTGTAATTTATGGAGTTAGGAATACTTTTCAACAGGAACACAACATATTCACCTCTTGGATATCATAGTATTTGCTGATGCTCATCCCAAGGTTATAAATGGGTACCAGCAGGAATGAATCAAGCAGAAAGTTTTTAAAAGTATTATTCCAATCTGCAATGAAAAAGATAATGTTAGCATGCTTTATATGAAATGAACTGTCCCAGGATAACAAAAGTCTCCCAAGTTGATAAAATTAAACAGAGAAAATTAAAAGCTGTAACATTATTCTCACAAACCCTCCGTTTTTAGCATAAAGTATACTACCCCTGATTTCTTGAAACATAGTTTGTGTTGATAATTACAGCTTTGGAAAATCCTTTTGGGAAAGCTGATGTCCATATCATCTGTCTTCCTGTCATCTCATGCGAACAAGAAACCAATGCTGATTATTTCTCATACCGTTTATTTTATATAACCAATGAAAAAGCAAAGATGTGATAGGAAATGTAGCCTAGGACTCAACAGTGGAAAGAGGATAAGGAATATATCATCAGTTGAAAGGACATACATCCTCAGAGAAACAAACTTGATGCTGAGATTCCTCTAAATACTAAATTAAATATGTATAACAGTTTATGAATATATATGAGTAAATAAGAAACATGTTTAAGAGGTAAGGCTCTGAACTGTCACTGTAAGACTTCAAGACTGAGTTCAAATTACTGGAAAAAAAGATGAAATTATA
Source organism: Homo sapiens (assembly GCF_000001405.40). Lineage (NCBI taxonomy): Eukaryota > Metazoa > Chordata > Mammalia > Primates > Hominidae > Homo > Homo sapiens. The sequence continues at coordinate 114,294 of NW_017852933.1, read as the reverse complement.
AGTCTGAGCAAAAAGCATATTTGTAAGATGCTTTTGTGGCCAGAATTGGTTCCCTCCCGTGGGTTCTTGGTCTCGCTGACTTCAAGAAAGAAGCCACGGACCCTTGCGGTGAGTGTTACAATTCTTAAAGATGGTGTGTCCAGAGTTGTTCCTTCAGATGTTCAGATGTGTCCCGAGTTTCTTCCTTCCAGTGGGTTTGTGGTCTTGCTGACCTCAGGAGAGAAGCTGCAGACCTTTGTAGTGAGTGTTACAGCTCTTAAAGGTGGCACATCCAGGTTGTTTGTCCCTCCCGGTGGGTTCGTGGTCTCACTGACTTAAGGAATGAAGCCTACAACCTTCGTGGTTAGTGTTACAGTTCACAAAGGTAGTGTGGACCCAAACAGTGAGCAGCAGCAAGACTTATTGTGAACAGCAAAAGAAAAAAGTTCCCACAGCATGGAAGGGGATCCGACATTGCCACTGCTGGCTCTGGTGGCCAGCTTTTATTCCCTTATTTGGCCCCACCCACATCCTGCTGATTGGTCCATTTTACAGAACACTGATTGGTCCATTTTACAGAGTGCTGATTGGTCCATTTTACAGAGTGCTGATTGGTCCATTTTACAGAGTGCTGATTGGTCCATTTACAATCCTTTAGCTAGACACAGAGTGCTGATTGGTGCAATTTTACAGAGTGCTGATTGGTGTGTTTACAATCCTTTAGCTAGACACAAAAGTTCTCCAAGTCCCCACTCCACCCAGAAGCCCAGCTGGCAATCAGTACTCTGTAAAATGGACCAATCGGCACTCTGTAAATGGGCCAATCAGCGCTCTGTAAAATGGGCCAATCAGCAGGATGTGGGCAGGGCCAAATAAGGGAATAAAAGCCGGGCACCTGTGCCAGCAGCCCAGCTGGCTTCAACTCTCACTTTGACAGAAGAGAGGGTGTCACCTGAGTGAGGAGGTAGAGGGTAAGTTTGCACCTAATATGTAAATTCTTATGACATTCTTATGACAAAATGGTAGAAGTATGTCTTTCCCTATCAGTGATTACATTAAATATAAATAGATTACTGCTCCAATTAAAGGATAGAGATTGGCAGAATGGATTTTAACAAGCATGATCCAACCATATGCTACCTACAACAGATTCAATTTAAATTTAAAGGCACAAATAAAAGTTTAAAAGACAGAAAAATATATTCAATGCAAACGGTAACCAAAAGAGAGCTGGAATGATTCTACTAATGTCAGACAAAATAGGCTTTAAGATAAAAACGGTTATAAGAGATGAAGGACATTATATACTATTAAATGGGTTAATTCATGAAGAAGATACAACAGTAACAAACATATATGGTCCTAACAACACAGCCCTAAAATATATGAAGCAAAAACTGACAGATTTAAGGGCTTTCAACAATAGTAGTTGGAGATGTCAATACCCCACTTTAAATAATTATAGAACAACTACATTGATCAAACAAATATAAGATATGAACAACAAAATAAACCACCTGACCTAAAGGTATATATAAAATACTCTACCCAACAATAACAAAATACACATTTTTTTCTCAAGTGTACATAAAAAAATTATCCAGGACAGACCATTAATTAGGCCACAAAACAAGTCTTAATAAATTATAAAAAACTGAAATAATATGAAGCATCTTATTATGACTGCAATGGAACAAAATTAGAAATCAGTAACAGAAGGAAATCTGAAAATACACAAATATGTGTAAATTAGACAATACAAACTTAAGCAACAAATGAGTCAGATAAAAAATCATAAGGGAAATTAGAAAATACTTTGACATGAATGAAAACAAAAATATGGTATACCAAAACTTATAAGAAAAGCAGTTTAGTTTTTTCACATTTATTCTTACATTTAAAACTATTTCAAATAAATAATCTAGTCTTCCACCTTAAAAACTGGAAAAAGAAGAGCAAACCAAACCCAAAGCCGGTGGAAGGCAGGAAATAATAAAGACTAAAACAGAGATAAATAGAGAATGTAAAAACAACAGGCCAGGGAAAATATACAATCCCTTTAAAGAATCAACACAAATCAAAGACCTTTATATTGACTGACCAAAATAAGAAAGAAGCCTCAAATTATTAAAATCAGGAAACTAAGAGAAGACATTACTACCAATCTTACAAAAATTAAAAAACATTACAAGAGAATACTATGAACAAATGTAGGGCAATTGATAACCTAGATGAAAAGGACACAATTCATAACCTAGATGAAAAGGACACATTTCTAGAAACACACAAACTACAAAACTAACTCAAGAACAAGTAAAATATCTGAATAGACCTATAATAAGATATTTAATTAGTAACTAAAAACCTCTCAGCAAAGAAAAGGTTGGGATAAGATGGCTTCAATGGTGAATTCCACCAAACATCTAAAGAATAATTTACATTGGTCCTCCTGTTTGGTTTTTAAATAAACAACCAATTGTCCTATTCTCTGACACCCCAACTGGGTGTCCTACAATTGAATTCAATTCTAGCACTACAAAGTATTTTCGAATTTCCCTTGTGATTTTTTATTTGACTCATTTGTTGCTTAAGCTTATAAGTTAGCACAGACTCCATGGGTTAAAGAACCAATCCCACAAGATTGCACCCGCTTTAGACACAGCCACAAATAGGGAATACAGGGTACCTGCACTTCTGCCTGGATAACTACAAATGTTAGGACTCCCACAATTGTTCCTCTGGTTTGATAATGTGCTAAAAACAACTCACAGAACTAAGGAAAGTGCTACATTTACAATTACAGTTTATTACAAAAGAACAGGCAAATGAAGAAGTGCACAGGGCAAGGGGCATGGGACACAGAGCTTCTGTGCCCTCTCCAGTGTGCCACCCTCCCAGCACACCGATGGGTTCACCAACCCAGAAGCTCTCCAGATCTCATTGTTCAAGAGTTTGTATCAAGACTTCATTATGTAATCATGATTGGTTAAAGCAATGGCCTTTGGTGACTGAACTCAATCTCCTGTCTCCTTCCCTCCTGGAGATCAGGGGTGAGGATGTGGGCTGAAAGTTTCAATCCTCATCACATGGTTGATTCCTCTGGCAACCAGCACCTATCCTCAAGCTATCTAAGGGCCTTCCTGGGGTCACTTTATTAGCATAAACTCACGTATGGTCAAGTTTTGAATAAGAAAAGATATTCCATTCATTCCAGAAATTCCAAGGACTGTGGGAGCTCTGTGCCAGGAACAAGGGATGAAGACCAAATACATATTTCTGTTATATCATACCTTCTCAAACTCTACCAAAAAATAGGTCTTATGGTTGTTTGGAAAACAATTTCCTCTCTAACAAAGAGTAAAGGCTTTTCTATTTGAAATCTTTGAATTATCACTTTGAGTAAATGAATGACTATTATTTTACAGTGACCAGTGATTCTATTTTGATGAAGTGTTTTAAGCCTTTAGTATTTGACATACTTCCAAAAATCAAATTTCAAATTCTAAAATTAAGTATTTTCCTTTTTTTTTTTTTTGAGACGGAGTCTCGCTCTGTCGCCCAGGCTGGAGTGCAGTGGCGTGATCTTGGCTCACTGCAAACTCCGCCTCCTGGGTTCACGCCATTCTCCTGCCTCAGCCTCCCTAGTAGCTGGGACTACAGGCGCCCACCACCACGCCCAGCTAATTTTTTGTATTTTTAGTAGAGATGGGGTTTCACCGTGTTAGCCAGGATGGTCTCCATCTCCTGACCTCATGATCCACCCGCCTTGGCCTCCCAAAGTGCTGGGATTACAGGAGTGAGCCACTGCGCCCGGCCTAAAATTAAGTATCTTCCAAAAGGAACTCCTAGATGTCCAAGAGAGACATAGTAGGCTTATTTAATATGTTAAAATTATATAGGAAACACTGGCAAATAAGAAATGGTGCTTGACTTTCTTTGAGTCATATTTACATAAAAGTGTTATTAAAGTATGTTCCAAAATTGTAAGAAATTCCTACAATTCTGATATGTCTTGGTATATGTTATCGGTAATCATTACAATGATGTTAAATTGTATGCCACAGAAATAATCAAATATCCTTGTCAATTATGTCTTTAGGCTGGGTGCGGTGGCTCATGCCTGTAATTCCAGCAATTTGGGAGGCCGAGGCGGGTGGGTCACCTGAGGTCAGGAGTTCAAGACCAGGCTGGCCAACATGGCAAAATCCTCTACTAAAAATACAAAAAAAAAAAAAAAAAATTAGCTGGGCGTGGTGGCCGGCGCCTGTAATCCCAGCTACTTGGGAGGCTGAGGCAAGAGAATTGCTTGAACCCAGGAGGTGGAGGTTCCAGTGAGCTGAGATCACGCCATTGCATTCCAGCCTGGGCGATAGAGTGAGACTCTGTCTCAAAAAAAAAAAAAAATTCTGTCTTTAACTATGTCTATTCTAAGAGATTTGTCATTCTCAATTATTGTTTTATTTTGATTCTTCTCAAAAAGTGGTTTATAATCAGCTACAGTCCAAAATTGGCTTCTTCTTAAGGAACTTCATGGAAAGAACTATGACAAGTACTCTTGAATCCAGGTTTCTGATAACTTTGGAGATCACACCATTGGAGTGGGCAAAAACTTCCAGAGCTCTAATAAAAAACCTGATGCATTCATGAGGGTTGCTAACCCAACATCAAGTGGAATAATAATTAGCTACATGGGACTAAACTGATAGAGGACAAAGATGATTTTTAATAACTTTTTTGCTTGAAACATTGCTGATTCTTTTTATGTTTTGCTTCCAGAGTTAATAAACCTTTTTTCTTTTGAGCTATTCATAGCTTACAAAAATTGGGTAAATATACCTTTGTGGGCAAATTTGAAGCATTTGCCTTTCTCACTACTGGATTTCTCCCAAATTTGGAAACTGTGAGTATTCTTAATTTATGGCAAAATAGTTATTTGCATAAGTTCAATAAGGATCTGTTTTATTTTATAACAGGACATAATTAGATACACTGGCTATTTTATCAAGGCTTTGGCTGGAATGGCATATTTTCAGAGATGACCAGACTGCTTGGAGGAATTGAGATTAGCTTTACAATTTTATAGTGCTGATAAAAAGCCCTTTGGAAAGTCTGGCATGGTTCCTTGTCTACACAGTTCCCTTGTATGGTTTCTGTGCTTGCACTAAGTAAAGAATGTCACTTTCTGGCAGGGCCACGAGCCTCAGTATATTTTGGGAACTCAAGAAGAGAGAAATTAACCCAATTCATACAGGTATTACAGATACAGCCAAGCAAATACTTGGTTTGGCTTCCTAGCCTCAAGACTTTTAAAAGTCTAATCCAAAATTTAGTATAAAAGTCCCAGCAAAGCCAACTTTTAAAAGCCATTCACTATGCCCACTGTGTTTTATGTAAATAATCAGGCGAAGTATCATAAGCCCCAAGTTTATTTTGCAACTATGCATCTGACAAGGGTCTAATATACAAAACTACAAGGAACTGAAACAATTCAACAAGCCAAAAACAAATAACCCAAATAAAACATGGGCAAAAGGAACAAACATTTCTCAAAAGAAGACATACGAGTAACCAAAAAATATATGAAAAAATGCTCAATATCACCAGTCATCAGGGAAATGCAAATAAAAACCACAATGGAATATCATCTCACATCAGTCAGAATGGCAATTATTAAAAAGTCAAAAAACAGATGCTGGTGAGGCTGTGGAGAAAAGAGAACACTTATACACTGTTGGTGGGAATGTAAATTTGTTCAGAAACTGTGGAAAGCAGTTTGGGGATTTCTCAAATAACTTAGAACTACCATTTGACCCGGCATTCCCATTACTAGGTATATACGCAAAGGAAAATAAATCATTCTACTAAAAGATACATGCGTCTGTATGTTCATTGCAGCATCATTCACAATAGCAAAGACATAGAATCAACCTAGGTGCCTATCAATGGTGGATTGGATAAAGAAAACGTGGTACATATACACTATGGAATACTATACAGCCATAAAAATGAATGGAATTATGTCCTCTGCAGCAATGTAGATGCAGCTGGAGACAAAAAGAAAGAAAGAAAGAAAGAAATGTCTAGAACCTACAAATCCACAAACAAAAAAGTAGATTGGCAATTGGGAGAGGCAGTGGGGAGAGGAGAATGGGATGTAACTGAATGAGTACAGGGTTTATTTGGGGGGTGATGAAAATGGGATTAGATGGTAGTGTTGGTCGCACAACATCGTGAATATACTAAAAGTCAGGGAACTGTGCACTTTGAAGGGTAAAAAAGGTGAAATTTATGTTATTTGAATTTTACCTCAATTTTCTGAAAAAGAAAAAGAAAAGCCCGATGAAGTGGATAAAATGTTATTTCTGCATTACTGATGAGACGCGTAGGTCACGTCACGTTGCCTCAAGTCAGACTAGCACCAAAATTGACTACACCGCTCAAACCCTTCTATCTAGCACTAAACAATAAGCCAAAAAAAAAAAAAAGTTAAAATTCAACCCTAAGTCCCTATGGGTTTTCATTTGTTAGAGGCGCGCGCTTTCGAGCTCCGCGCGCCGACCACGGGCAGCGGGTGGGCCCCCTGGCGTCTGGAGCAGCGGCCAGCGCAGAGGACGCAGGCAGAAGGAGGAAGGGCTGGCCGGGGCTCCCGAGCACTCACTGCTCAAGCCTCGCCGCCGCCTCCGCCGCTGCGGGGTGCGCGTCCATCTGGTTGGGGCTCCTCATCCCAACACCCTCCCCAACGGCCCGCCGCGCAGCCGCCCGCGGGCGAGTCTGTAGCCTGATCCTGCGCGGACCCGCCAGAGGCACACCAGGAGGTGGGGAACCGGGGGCGCCCGGGGCAGACCGGGGTGGGAGTGTGGGGAGCCGGGGACGGAGTGTGGGGAGCCGGGGACGCGCGGAAGGTGCCGGGGGCGCGCGGAGGAGCCGGGAGCGCCACCTCAGTCCCCCCACCGCCCCACCCCGCGCATGCTCCCAAGAGCCCCAGACCACCCTTCTCCGGCTTCCGAGATACTTCATCCGTTGCTTGTCCTGGCCCACCGCTCAGTCCCCCAACTCTAGGACGACAGAGGTTAGGGATAAGGGGAATGAGACACGCGCCTTGGCTGCAGCATTCAAGGTGAAGCCAACTCAATAGTCAAAATAAAGACTTTTATACAATATTTTTACATTTTAAAATAAAATGTAAAGATAAAATTTCGTGAGGAGCTGTATTGGCATCTACAGCAAAAGGAAAAGTCAGTAATCCTGAGCCGTCTTTGTTGAAAATTTTTGTACTCTGTTCACTGTGGATTTTTTGGCATTGATTTTTATTTTAAATATTGCATTTAGATGTTTTAGTTTAATATTTATCATGACTACTGAGTGAATCCCGTACATTTTGTGCCATAGGTGAGTACCTCACTATGGTACAGCTCTACCCTGCTGCCATCTTCACTGTGGTAGTGGCAGAAGTCTAGGGGGATGTAAGTAACCACCTCCTCCGCAGGGTCTGTTAGGGGTTAGCAGGGAACTTCCAGAGGCTCAGGCACAGGAGCTTACATGGCCCCCAGGCTTGTCCCAGGACAAGGTCTCAGGGAAGGGCGGGGAAAAGAGATTTACACCAGCTTTCTCAATACTGACCCCTGCATTACTAAAAAGTTTATTAATCTTCTTTCTGTTAAGTCATAATTATAATAATAATTTCATTATTTTAATAATAATAAAATAAACCTCAATAACACCTAATATTTAATATGCTACTTATTAATAATACTTATTATTGGAGGCTTGGGACAATTAGTTCTCTGTGCCTCTGGTCTCAAAAGAAGTGATGCAACCAAGACTAGTTTTCTCAGTGCTACTTTACTGAGGACCTGGGTGATGTGAACCAAAGCTTTATCAGGAAGATGATTTGAGATGATTTGCAGAGTTGTCCTGTTTCTACAGGATTCACTGGAGTGAATTCCTATTATTGAGGTTTCTTATTTTGTCATTGTTAAAATAATGAAATTACTATTATAATCATGACTTAAAGAAGATTAATAAACTTTCTAGTAATGTGGGAGTCAGAAATAAGATTTCTATTTAATCGGGGCTAAATTCCTGAATTTACTATGGAAGCAAATAAATATCTGGCTTTCTTATTTCATATCTCTTTTAGTTGATGAGTATTTGGTTTTGCTTTTTTTCTCCTTGTTAACTTTAAAAAAAAAACCACACAATTTATAAATTTAGACAAGAAGAGACTTTCTTATACGAGGTTACAGCCTGCAAGGTGGGATCCTATGCTGGGAAGCACGCTGTATTATTCCGTTTTCATGCTGTCTATAAACACATGCCTGAGACTGGGCAATTTACAGAAGAAAGAGGCTTATTGGATTTACAGTTCCACATGGCTGGGGAGGCCTCACAATCATAGTGGAAGGCAAGGAGGAACAAGTCACATCTTACATGGAGGGCAATAGCAAAGAGAGAGCTTGTGCAGGGCAACTCCCATTTTTAAAACCATCAGATCTCGTGAGACTCATTCACTATCATCAGAACCGCAGGGGAAAGACCCGCCTCCATGATTCAGTCATCTCCCACTGGGTCCCTCCCACAAGATGTGGGAATTATGGGAGCTATAAGAAGAGATTTGGGTGTGGACATGGAGCCAAACCATATCACATGCCTTGGCCAAGATCAGAGACAGGCACTTTGAAGGAGGAGGGTTGGGGTAGGAGCTTTATGCTCAACAGGTTGGCTAAATATACATATTCAACAGGTGAGAGAAGAAGCTATGAATATTCATGAAAGTGGTCCTGATGCATGTGTATTTAACAAACATGCATGTTACATACAACTCATGTTCATTTTGGGGTGGTTGCAGCATTTAAATGTATTACAATTCAGCCTGATACGTCAAAAGGTCTTTTCAGGACATGAAGGCATGCAAGTGTGCAACCTCTGTAAGTCAGCCAGAACCATCCTATAGTCGGTAGTCTTATCAGGAGAAAGTTACTGAAATCAGTCTCTTGTCCAATCAAGCTGTAGTTATGGCTGGTGGAACAAGGGGTCGGTTAGTCAATATCTGTGATTTGGATGAGTTGTAATTGTTTTAATATTGCATATCTTCAGCCGGGCACGGTGGCTCATGCCTGTAATCCCAGCACTTTGGGAGGCCAAGGCGGGTGGATCATCTCAGGTCAGGAGTTCGAGACCGAGACCAGCCTGGCCAACATGACAAAACCCCATCTCTACTGAAAGTACAAAAATTAGCCGGGGGTGGTGGCATGCACCTGTAATCCCAGCTACCTGAGAGGCTGAGGCAGGAGAATCACTTGAGATCATGCCACTGCACTCCAGTCTGGGTGACAGAGAGGGACTTTGTTTCAAAAAAAAAATTTATATATATATATATGCACATATATACATATCTATATAGATACATAGATACATATACATATCTATATAGATACATAGATACGTATATATGTATATACATATATGTTTGTGTATATATATATATACAGAGAGAGAGAGAGAGAGAGAGAGAGTGAGAGAGAGAGAGAATCACTCTGTTGTCCAGGCTGGAGTGCAGTGGCACGATCTCGGCTCACTGCAACCTCCACCTCCCTGGTTCAAGCAATTCTCCTGCCTCAGCCTCCTGAGTAGCTGGGATTACAGGCACATGCTACCACACCTGGCTAATTTTTGTACTTTTTGTAGAGATGGGGTTTCATCACGTTGGCCAGGCTGGTCTCAAACTCCTGACCTCACATGATCCGCCCGCCTTGGCCTCCCAAAGTGCTGGGATTACAGGTGTGAGCCACTGTGCCCAAGCCATGTTCCCTATCTTCTCTGAGCAGGGCTGGGGAAAACAAAAACAAAAATATTGCTTATCTTCAAGCCAGTGCTTGTTTAGCTGCTGGAGAAAACAAAAACTCTGTGGCAGTTAGAACATAGCTTTTTTCTTTAAGTGTAAGGGTGCGTGACTTAACCCTTCCTGGCATGGCCTTAGATCCTGTTTATAATTTGTTATCGTATTGCCACAAAGAGTCTGTTCTGTCAGTCTTGTGATCTCTGTATTAACATTAAGGCTGCTCAGTTGTGTCTAAACTCTAAAAGGGAGAGGATGTAATGAGGCATATCTGATTTGCCATCCCATCATGGCTGGAAACTAAGTCTTTAAGGTTTTTCTGGGGTCTGCTTGGCCCAGAGGGGGTTCATTCAGTAGGTGGGGGGCATAGGATTTTATTTTTAGTTCACATTCACAAAAACAAAGGGCCAAAAAAGTCTTACTGTGTCACACAGGCTGGAGTGCAGTGGTGCAATCTTGGCTCATTGCAGCCTCCATCTCCCGGGTTCCAGCAATTCTCCTGCCTCAGCCTCCTGGGTAGCTGGGATTACAGGCACCCGCCACCACACCCAGCTAATTTTTGTATTTTTAGTAGAGAGAAGATTTTACCATGTTGGCCAGGCTGGTCTCGAACTCCTCACCTCAGGTAATCCACCCACTTGGGCCTCCCAAAGTGCTAGGATTACAGGCGTGAACTATCATGCCAGGGCTATATGTCTGTGCTTTCTAAACCCAATAAATGTGATGTAATATTAATGCTAACAGCACACGTGATGGGCCAGAAACATTTCTATAAGCCCAGCGGCTCTGGGCATAAATTTCTAGGGATGGTGAACCGAAGAAACAAAATTGTGTCATTGAAATCAGCTTTTCCCAACCACCAGTGTCTTCTCTCTCTCTCTCTTTCTCTCTCAGTGTTCACTTATTACATGGCTACTCTGTGCCAAGCACTGTTGCTAAACACATTATGTACAATTTCTCATTTCATTGGTACTGATTTTGACACTTACTCATCCACTGTCTTTTATCATGATGTGACCATTTCCTACAAAATGCCCTATGTAGCTTCCAACCAAAATACCACAAAGCACAACTTCAGCAGTCCTGCCTCTTGACCTTCTCCCAGGCTCTGCTCTCGCTCATCTGTTCCATCCTTTGCATTGGCAGAAGACCCATCTTTCTAAATGCTTACTCTCTTGGAGCATGTAATTTCTTTCCTAGGAATCACCATTCTCAGCTGCCTGACTCCAAGAATCGTTCTCAGTTTTATCTTCTGATGCTCCTAGACCTCAGCACCTTATTCCAGCCTAACACATCTGGCAACTCACTGTTCCCAGAGCTATTCAACATGCCTTCCACCTCAGGGCTTTACTTGGCCTGTAATGCCCTCTTCCTCTCTTTCTGCCAAAGTAGCTTAATGATTAGGAATATAATTCTGAAGTCCAACCATGGGCAAAGCCAGCTCCTCTGCTGACTTGGTGGATGACCTTGAACTAAATTTCTTCCCTTCTCAGAGCCTCCAATGGACAGTAAAACTAATAACAACACCTCCCTACCTTAGAGGTTGTTGTATAATTAAATGAGATAATATACATAAAGTGCATGGTGCAGTATCTGGTACATAGTAAAGATCAATAACCTGATGTTATCATTGTTGTCGTCACTATTATTATTTCAGACCTTGGTTTCTCCCCACTCTTTCATGAAGCCCTTATCTAACCACTCCAGGTCAAAATCATCTCTCTTTTCTTTGAATTAACTTACTTTTCCTATCACTGATTTGATGACTAGGATTTATTGCCTTAAGCTTTACATCATTCCTTTCCGATTTTATTTCCCCATCTCAGGTAAAAACTCCTGGAAGAAAAGATCCTGCAATTTGGCTTTTTGTGAGATGGAAAAGATTACACCTTGCCCTGCAAACTTCCCCCCTTTAAAGGCGAAGGTTTGTTAGGTTAGTTAGCCTGTGAGAAAACTGTGCGTTCTTAGCAATCAAAGGCCAGACATCTGGGGGTACAGGGGGGAGGAAGACTAGGATAAGAGACTCTAGACGGGGACAGAATTAAAAGGAAAAAAAAATTAAATAAGCCTCCGTCTCCTTTTATCTCCTAGCAGTAGGCAGTAATTTAATAAATAAAGGAGCCCCGTTAGCGTTTTCCCTGTCCATTCTTTCCCAGGCACGGTGACCTAGACAGCAGCAAAAAGCGAGTTAATAGGGAGGGGTTATGTAGGAAGCAAAAGTCAAGGAATGTGGCTACAGCTGATTACAGGAACTGAGAAAGTGGACCAAACAATATTGACTCCCAGCACGCCACCGCGATGTCCATCTTGGGGAATCCGTTGCTGGAAGGGACCCATCTCGCCCACCCTTAGGGGTCGAGGTGGGCGAAGGGGGAGGAGAGGGCTGGCGGGGCGGGGCGGGGTTGCTCCGCCCCCGGAGGCTGGGCTGTGACCAGCAGGCGGCTCCACAGAGCAGCGGGCGCGCTCATAAAGGGCACAGCCGAGGGTACGTGGATCGCGGTGCGGAGACTGAGGTTAGAAGGCACAGGTGGCGAGATGAGCCGGGTACCAGCGTTCCTGAGCGCGGCCGAGGTGGAGGAACACCTCCGCAGCTCCAGCCTCCTCATCCCGCCTCTAGAGACGGCCCTGGCCAACTTCTCCAGCGGTCCCGAAGGAGGGGTCATGCAGCCCGTGCGCACCGTGGTGCCGGTGACCAAGCACAGGGGGTGAGTGAGGAGGGTCGGGGTCAGGGGCAGGAGAAACTGGAAAGCGGGGAAAGGAGGAGCAGGAAGAGGAGGGGTGGGAGAAGGGAAGAGACGGCTTGCCTAACCGTTGCTAACAGCTGCCACTTTTAATAGGCGCTACCCGGTGTGCTAAGTGGGCGTTTTACAGGTGTTACCTTGTTTATTTCAGCACACTCTCCACCTAGGGAGGTATTGATACCACCATTTGATTGGTGGAAAACTGAGACTCAGAGAGGTTAAGTGACTTACCTAAGCTTACACAGCTACTAAGTGGCAGAGCTGGAAAGGTTTTCTGATCCAGAGCCAGACTTCTGAACATACTGTGCATAGTGTCTAAGGGAAGGGCAGAGGGATGCGGGGGCTGGAAGAGGGCCAGTGGGGTGGTGAGGAAGGAAAGAAAAAGGAAAGTATATGGATACTTTCTAAGAGACCCCAGCATTGATGGGAAGGGGCTGAAGCTGCTCCCTCTCTCCTTGTAGCTACCTGGGGGTCATGCCCGCCTACAGTGCTGCAGAGGATGCACTGACCACCAAGTTGGTCACCTTCTACGAGGACCGCGGCATCACCTCGGTCGTCCCTTCCCACCAGGCTACTGTGCTACTCTTTGAGCCCAGCAATGGCACCCTGCTGGCGGTGAGCAACTTCCTGTCCCGGGGTGGAATGGGGCCCCTGGGCCCAGATTGAAGCTCAAAAGTAAGTTCTCCGCAGCAGGGGGAGTCTTGATTGTGACTACGCGTGCCCCTCTGCAAGTGACTGGATACCAGCAACAGTGAAGGTTATCTGTGTCCATGTATCTATTTCTAGGACTGCCTGAGGATGCATAACACGGCACCAGCGCCCACTGCTGCCTCAAGCATGTGACAGTGTGGAAATAATAATCTTGTTGTCATTCTTGCATATGTCCTTGTCCTATACTCAGTTGCCCCAAATACGCAGCTTGAATGAACCCATTAGCCAAGGGAAGACTTACTTACTGAATCCTTGTCGACATGGAAAAGAAGGGGTGTTCTATAATCCCTGGGAGTCTTCAGAGGGGTATACGGTGTGACCTGTTTTAATATCTAATCATAGTTTCAAAAGGTAGCAGTAGCTTGTGTTTATGGAGTACTTTTTATAATGCATCAGGCACTTTTCTAAACATTTCACATTTATTAATCCTCTTAATACTTAAAACTATTCTATGATATGGGTAATATGATTACTCCCACTTTATAGATGAGGAAACCGAGTCAGAGCAACTATGTTCAACTTACCGAGGTTTATGTAACCAACAATTAGCATGGTTGGACTTCAGAGCTGCTCAGTCTAAGTCCACGGTCCATAGGTCCAGACTCTTCTAAGACCACCGCCATTTTAACTGCTACATATTGGGCACTTATGTGCCAAGAAGGAGACGCTGATCACATTCAATTCTGCAAAATTCCTCTATGGGTGTTTTTATTAACTCCCCTTCCCCCCAATTTCTGTTGAGGTCCTTGAGGCTCAGGTTAGTAGAGTCACTTTGCTTGAGGTCACACATCTGGTTAGTGAAAGACTCAAGAATCACTCCCAGGTGTGACAGTTAACTCTTAAGGTCTGTGCGCTCCAAGCTGGGTCTTACAATGTCCCTCCTTTTCCCCTGAATTTCTGGATCGCCAAATAATCTGGCCGTTTAACACTCCTTTGAGAATATCTAGCTTTCCCCAACTTACACTCATCCAACCGAGATGGCATTCATACTACCTGCCAACAGCGGTTCCCTAGGGGGGTAGAACCCAAGGCTTTGAAACTAGATGACAGCTGAATCTGCTCAGTGACTTCGTGATTCACTTCCTCATCTGTAAAATGAGGTTGATGATGCCTATTTTTTGATGATCAGCTGAGATGAATAACAGGGAGAGGAGTGCAGAGGATGGTTTTTACTAGCGAGGCATAATTTTCAACCTTCGCTGTGTATCGGAATCACCTGGGCTGTCTGGGTCTCACTCCTGGAAGAGATACAGACTGGGTTAATCTAAGGGTGGTATCTGAGCATCTTCACGAAGCTTTCCACATGTGCAGCAGGAACGGAGAGCCACTAAGAGTTTCATGGCCGTTGTCCAGATGTCAATTGGCAACCTTCTCTCTCTAGTTCCTTCTTAATTTGGTGTTTTGAGAATCCTAGGGCAAGAAAAGAAAATGGGCAGTTCTTGAGGGCTCACCATGTGCTAGATGTTTCCAGATATGCCAGTGCATTTAATCCTCACAATAACCCTCTGAATGGCTGGCATTATCTTTTTTACAGGTGAGGAAACCAGTGCTTAAAGATTAAAGTGTTTGTTCAAAGTTGCATATCTCGTAAGTGGAGGAATCGGATCCAGGTCTGACGCCAAACCCATGCTGTTTGTAGGATGCTATAAAACTTCCTAAGCTAATATTTTAGAACTGTTTCTTCTAATTTATGCAGTGGACAGGGGTTCCCCTTGCTCACTGTCTCTCTTTTCCTCCAAGGTCATGGATGGAAATGTCATAACTGCAAAGAGAACAGCTGCAGTTTCTGCCATTGCCACCAAGGTAAGATGAATGGCTGGCTGTACCATTAAGGTGAGCTGTCAAGTGGGGTCTGGTGTCTCAATCTTGAGAGACTAAAGGAGAAGTGGGGAACTTATTTTGGTTTCCTGTTGGACATAGCTGGAACTCCAGATGTCAGATATATCAGTAATTCACGAAATTATTAGCTACCAATTAGTGTGCATGACCAGATTTCAAGTACCTTATGTGCATAATTCTCAATCTTCCCATCAGTCTTGAAGAATCGAAATGAGAAATTCTCTCCACCTTCCAGGTCAAGGAATATGGCTCAGAGAGCTTCTGTGAATTGCCCAGGATCACACAGCTAATAAGTGCTAGAGTAAGAATTTAATACTTGACCTCTCTGGCTTCCAGGACTGGCTTCTTGTCCCTGTACCACATTGCCCCTGGTAAGACAGTATAATTGTCCCATAGACCAAAGCTAGTACTACACAAGAGGCTGAGTGAACTGAACATATCCAAGCCAGATCCCTGTATTCATTCGACAAGTATTGACTGGGCTTCTATCATGTGTCAGGCACTGTTCTAAATGTTAGGGAAATGGCAGTGAGAAAAACAGAGGGGCACACACAGGGGAGGTAGACAATACCAATAAAAAGGAAAACACAGGCTGGGTACAGTGGCTCACGCCTGTAATCCCAACATTTTGGGAGGCTGAGGCAGGCGTATCACTTGAGCTCAGGAGTTGGAGACCAGCCTGGTCAACATGGTGAAACCTCGTCTCTTGTAAAAACACAAAAATTAGCTGGTCGTGGTGGTGGGCGCCTATAATCTCAGCTACCCGGGAGAGTGAGGCAGGAGAAACGTTTGAACTCAGGAGGCAGAGGTTGCAATGAGCCCAGATCGAGCCACTGCACTCTAGCCTGGGCAAAAGAGTGAGTGTCTTAAAAAACAAAACAAAAAGGAAACAAAACAAAACAAACAAAAACATCTGTTGAGTTTAATAATGTGTTAAATAGTAATAAATAATATGTAATTAAATAATTAGTACATATTAATAAATGATTAATAGCGTGCTTAGAATTTGCTAAAAAATAAAACCAACAATAATCCAAAAAGCCACATAACATGTTAGGTGAAGATAAAGCAGAAGTGAGAGTATTGGAGAAGCTGTCACATTTTACATTATCCAAGAAAGGCCTCCCTGAGAAGGTGACATTTGAGTCAAAGCTGAAAGCAGTGAGTTAGCGAACCATGCAAAAACACGGAGGGGCACTCCAGGCAGAGGGAACAGTAAGCAATGGGGGTGATGATGTTCCCAAGCAATGTCAAGGCATCCTATAAGAAAAACAGCATTTTTAAAAGTTAGAGTTAAGAGGATGAGGCTTAGGAAACAGGGTGTCTGTGGGAACGATTGGAGTCTGGAGTCTTTCACATTAAATGTGGAAGTACAAGGTCTTGGGACACTGGTTTTCCTAAGTTATTATAAAGGAAACGTGGTAACCCAGGGAAAGTTGCAGCAGCAAAGACCAGGTGTTCAGGTTGCATGTCGAGGTTTTCTAGATACCTGCTGGGGAGGGAAGAATGGGAGGATTAATCTGGTAATTGTATGCGAAGGGAGTAGACCAACAGCACCCACCTCAATGAACTGGTTTTTAGTTATATCCAGACCTGACTCAACTGAAGTAATCAAGGACTCCTTGCTATGTTTGCTGGTAATTTGGGAACAGAATGAATCTTGTATTACTGTCATTTGCAAAGAGCTTTAGTCTTTTTCAAACTCATTTCCAGCCCCTTGTCTGGACTACGAGTTTCTGTGAGGAAGGCAGAGAAAGTATTAATGGCCTCATTTTACGCATAAAAGAATAGAAACTTGGGTTTCCTGAAGTCATACAACCAGGTTCCTGCGGGTCCTTTTGAGGCCACATGGTCTTGTCCCAGATAAGAAGTTTCCAACAGAAGCAAGCTATGCAGCAGCATTAGCTAGGGAAGTTTTTAAAAACTCAAATTCCCATGCCTACTGAATCAAAATCACAGAGTGAGGATCAACCAGGTCTGGAAACCACACTTTTGTAGACCCAGCCTGCAATAACACTGCTTTGTTGCATTAATAAAAATCTGTGCTCCCAGAAGAATCAAGAAGCCTTGGGTTGACACTTCAAAGTTTAGACACTTCAAAGTTTAGGCTGAAACTTCACAGCTTTATTTCCAGGGGCTCAGATGAACTGTTTCAATAAGGAACAAAGGGTCTATTTTACTTGTTGCCTTGAGAGTAGAATATTTTCTTGTCCATCATTTCTCTTCTATTTAGGGCTCTTGTTGGGGAGAATAAGTATACGGAGCTCTAGGGTCTGATGAACATAATACATTTTTTGTGCTTGGGTCTCACATAAGCTTCATTGAAGCCTCTGATATGTTTTCTCAAGGTGATAGTATATATTAGGGTTTAGCACTAACATACATTTATTCAACAAATATTTGAGTGTCCACCAAATGCAAGGTTCTGCGCTCAGCATGGGGTAAGCAAAACCAGATACAGTACTTGCCCTCATGTAGTACAGGGTCCAGTGGGGGAGGCAAGATATAGTCCAAAGATCACATCAATAGGCTGGGCGCAGTGGCTCACGCCTGCAATCCCAGCACTTTGGGAGGCTGAGGCAGGCAGATTACCTGAGGTCAGGAGTTCAAGACCAGCCTGACCAACATGGAAAAACCCCATCTGTACTAAAAAAAAAAAAAAAAAAAAAAAAAAAAAAATTAGCTGGGCATGGTGGCAGGTGCCTGTAATCCCAGCTACTTGGGAGGCTGAGGCAAGGGAATTGCTTGAATCCTGGAGGCGGAGGTTACAGTGAGCCAAGATCACACCACTGCACTCCAGCCTGGACAACGAGTGAGACTCAGTCTCCAAAAAAAAAAAAAAAATTCACACCAATAAATATGAAACTACAACGCTGACAAGTGCTGTAAGAGTGTAAAGCAGTATGTCTTGATCTAGCCTGTGGCTGTGTCTCTGTAGGGGATATTTGAGCTGAGATTGAAGGATAATCAGTTACTTGTGAGGGGGAGAGGGGACAAAGCAGCCTAGCATCGTATGGCAAGGAATTAATTCATGCAAAGGCCCTGTGGTTGAAGGAAGTACATGAGCTTGGGAAGCTGCAAGGAAGCCAGTATGGCTGGAAGACAGGAAGTGCAGGGGAACATGGCATGGTGGTATGAGAGACAGCTTTAGAGATAGGAGGGCCAGACCATGCAAGGCCTTGGCAAATGCAAATGAAACAGACTTTCAGACTCTTTAAATGAGAAACCCAGCAGATTCATATACGTGTACTTAATAACCTGCATGCTTAGGAGAAAAGATTGAAGTGCCACTAATGCTGTTTAATAAATCTTATAAACATATGATTAAAAATCGGCTGGGTGCAGTGGCTTACACCTGTAATCCCAGCACTTTTGGAGGCCGAGGCAGGTGGATCACTTGAGGTCAGGAGTTCGAGACCAGCCTGGCCAACATGGCGAAACCCCATCTTTACCAAAAAAAAAAAAAAAAATTAGCCAAGTATGGTGGCACATACCTGTAATCCCAGCTACTCGGGAGGCTGAGGCATGAGAATCGCTTGAACCCAGGAAGCAGAGGTTGCAGTGAGCTGAGATCACACCGCTGCATTCCAGCCTGGGCGACAAAGCGAGACTGTCTCGGAAAAAAAAAAAAATTTTAAAAATATCAATTATCACACTATTACCAGGGCAACAAATTATCAAGTAAGACAACCAATTAGAATTACACATTTAGTTTAGGAAGTTGAAGGTTATTTTTATGGGATACTGTAACAATTTCTGAAGCTCACCTGTACTTTCAAGAATAGATTCATATTAACTGAGAACAGAAGAAAATGGTAACAATTAAGGAAAAAAATCTAATTATCCTTATCAGACAGCAACATAAGATTTCTAGTCTTGTGGATATTATCATTTTGAAACCTTTTCAAATCAGAGACGTTAAACTATATTTTATGGCACAGAATGGTATCTCTCCTTCGGTAGCTGCAGGAGATAAAATTAATTCCTAATATTTCAGAGATGCTGTTTTGCTAGTAATTAGTAGTTAAGAAGACTTTTCACTTTTTAAATATTATACTCCAAAATTCCAGTGAGTAGCATTTTATAAAAGAACAGACCACAGGGAACTCAAAGTTTACTAAATGGAATAGAGAAAAGGCAGAAGAGGGTTTTATTTAATACATATGGTGTCGAGGGCCAAGTGATGTCTTTCCTCTATGCCAGTGGTTCTCCACTGAGCATGAGTTTGCCACCTGCTCCAGAGACATTTAGGAGTGTGCAGACGTTTTTAGTTCCCACAACTTGAAGGGGTGGAAAATGCTACTAACATCTAATGGATAGAAACCAGAGATACTGTTGCACATCCTATAATACACAGGTTGGTGCCCCTCCCCAATAAAGAATTGTCCAGCCCAAATGTTAGTAGTACCGAGGTTGAGAAGCCCAGTGCTACCTCTTGTAGGTCATAGTAGGTATGTACCAGTTCTGTGCAAATAAGACTACCTCTGTCCTCATGGGGCTTAAAGACCTGTAGAAGAAAATCTACAAACAAATAAGTGCTATGGCCTGGTGCATTCTATCAAGGAGGTCAGAAAGGCTTCATTGGAGAGGTGGCACTGGACGTGAGTTGATCACAGAATCCTGCTCTCAAACACAGACACCCTCAGGAGATGCCACAAATGCTAATTCTACATTCGTCTTTAGAGGAAGACAGAGGCAGTGAAAAGATCAACAGAGTTGGCCCAGTGAATATAGCTAGAACCCTGGGAAGGAAGGGCTCACAGAATCCAGGCAGCTCTTAGAAGCAGCTCAGAGCTCTGAGAAGTGGGTATGGCTGAGCATGTACCTGAGATATGAAGAAAGGACATGGGCTTTGGAGTATGGAAGACGTGACTTTAGAGCCACACTGTGCCCTTCAATAGTTGTAAGACCTGGCTAGGTGCGGTGGCTCACGTCTGTAATCCCAGTACTTTGGGAGGCCGAGGTGCACAGATCACCTGAGGTCAGGAGTTTGAGACCAGCCTGGCCAACATGGTGAAACCCCATCTCTATCGAAAATACAAAAATTAGCTGGGTGTTGTGGCGCACACCTATAATCCCAGCTCCACGGGGGGCTGAGGTAGGATAATCACTGGAACCCAGGAGGCAGAGGTTGCAATGAGCCAAGATCGTGCCACTGCACTCCAGCCTAGGCGACAGAGCGAGACTCCATCTCAAAAAAAAAGAAAAGAAAGAAAGAAAGAAAAAGAAATAAATAAATAATTTTAAAAAGTAGTTGTAAGACCCAGAGCAAGTTCACCTTTCTGTTACCAGGGCAACCTCAGTCTCTTCATCTGTAAGAAGAAGATAGTAGGAGTCCCCAACTCGTAGGGTCAATGTCTAGACTAAATGAGATCATGGGGGCAAAGCATTGGCATACATTAGCTGTTCAGTGAAGCCTTCTTCCTTCTTTTCCCACTTGATACGGGGGAAACTAGACACAAAAGGAAATTCTCTTGATTGCCTGCAAGCTCTTGAGGGAGGCAGAAGAGAGGGCAGAAGTCACCTGATACTCAAACCATCTTAGTTTTTTACCCGTCTGCTAGGGTCTCCCTTGACCTTTGCCACTTCATTTCTCTCATATAGTTTCTGAAACCTCCCAGCAGTGAAGTGCTGTGCATCCTTGGGGCTGGGGTCCAGGCCTACAGCCATTATGAGATCTTCACAGAGCAGTTCTCCTTTAAGGAGGTAAGTCCAGGGGTGGGGGTGGGAGAGAAGAGGGAAGGGGGTGGTCCTTGACCTGTCTATACTGCTTCACTGCACCACAGGTTATTCTGAAATAATTAAGTTGTGAGCCCCATCTAGACCATTCTTGTATCTTCATGACTTCCCAGAAGCCCTGATGGAGGGGATGGAGGATAAGAGTCAGGGGAAGATCTGATTACCTGTTTCCAGTCCTCAGTTCAGAGGGCATTTGTCTGAGGATACAGCAAGCTTACTCGGTTAAAAGATTCTATTATATCTCTTGTATACATTCAGTTGTCCTTTTAGCTCCTGTCTATTATGTTTTTCTTAGGAGAATCCAGAGTTTTTAAGTATTCAAGGTTATGGATCAAGAAACTGGGTGGGATGAGACCTGGAGACCAGGAGGCCACAGCCTCTCTCTTTTGCAGTCTCCATACTGGTCCACCTTCCCCCCACTGCGTCTCATGCTTCCCCCTGGGAATTTTTGATGCTATTGTTATTTTATGTGTGTGTATGAAAGGGATGGAGCAGTTTTAAAGTATGATTTAATGATGAAAATAAAACCACTGCCTTGAGAAATATAGACTATTAGGTGAGTGCAAAAGTAATTGCAGTTTTGGCCATGACTTTTTTTTTTTTTTTTTTTTTTGAAATGGAGTCTCGCGCTGTCGCCCAGGCTGGAGTGCAGTGGCATAATCTCGGCTCACTGCAACCTCCATCTCCTGGGTTCAAGTGATTCTTGGGCCTCAGCCTCCCAAGTAGCTTGGATTATAGGCGCCCACTACCACACCTGGCTAATTTTTGTATTTTTAGTAGAGATGGGGTTTCACCATGTTGGCCAGGCTAGTCTGGAACTTCTGACCTCAGGTGATCCACCTGCCTTGTCCTCCCAAAGTTCTGGGATTACAGGCGTGAACCACTGCGCCCAGTTGCCATTACTTTTAATACAAGGAAGAAAACAAAAGAAAAATGCCCTTTCATCTGTTTTCAAAGACAGTTAATGTTTTCTGATCTTCCCTCTTCAGCTTTTTATAACATAGCTTTAGTCACGTTAGATATGCACCATTTTATATCCTCTCTTACTGAATGTTCTAACATCACTTTTCAGGTTATCTAATTTTTGCATAAAATTTGCATAGTCTTCTATCAAGAAGGGTGAAGAGGTTAACCATGCACTTCCGGCCGGGCAAAATGTCCTGTTTTTCACCTTGCTTGGTGAACTTGCTTAGACATAAAGTTTGTTTCCGTATGTATTATATTTCCTTATGAGAAATTCTGTAGGCCTTATTTTCAGTTGACGGGTGACAAGCCCTTGACCCAAACATTGAAACCTGTCAAGCAAGTCGGCAAGTCCCCAGCTCCTGGTGAGGCCGCTGCCCCACCCTCCAACCCCAGCACCTTTCAGGATTCCAGCCGTAGCTACCATTCTTGGCCTTTTCATTGGCTATGCCATTTACCTTCAAACTCGTCTGATCTTGAATTTCCTAAGTATTCTTCACCGATCAAGTTATTCCATGAAAAACATTATCATAAATAATCCTTCATATGAATCTCCCACCCATTACAACTCCTTTACGGGGTCTCAGACATAAAGTGTGAGTTCCACACAGACTTTGCCAGTTATATTTCCATTTTACAGATGTGGAAACTAAGGCTGAATGACATGAAGCAATTTCAGGAAATAGCAGAGTGGAGATTGGTTCCAAGCCTACCTGGCTCCAGAACTTGCTCTGCTAATCATTATGCTATTAATATATAATAGCTATGAAGTTACTGAGGCTGTGCCTCTTGGCCTAGAAGTGAAATACTTCCACTCATTTTAAAAGGGGAAAGTGGTAGAGAACGCTGATTTTCAAATACCTGGCTAGGTGTCTAAGTTAATGCTGTACCCCTGATCAAATGTCCATTCTCCATGGGGAATGATTTAGGAGTGATTTAGATAACCACTGACCCCTATGCCAGAGTAGTTCAACTTTCCCTCCGCATCCCTGGGCTCAGTGTAACATAAGCAGCCAAAAAATGGCGCCAATATCCTTCTTGTTACTCCCAATGAAGGTGAGGATATGGAACCGCACCAAAGAAAATGCAGAGAAGTTTGCAGACACAGTGCAAGGAGAGGTACGGGTCTGTTCTTCGGTCCAGGAGGCTGTGGCAGGTGCAGATGTGATCATCACAGTCACCCTGGCAACAGAGCCCATTTTGTTTGGTGAATGGGTGAAGCCAGGGGCTCACATCAATGGTAAGTAGAGTGGCTCCATAAGGCATGATGGGTGGTGGCCAGGCTCCTCTCTAGACGGGACCAGTCGACTACATTTGCAGAGCCAGTTTATTCATGCAGAATGCCCAAGCTATTTAAGGGCCTTGAAAACATGTGAGATTGAAAAAAACAATATTTGGCTGGGTGCAGTGGCTCATGCCTGTAATCCCAGCACTTTGGGAGACTGAGGCAGGTGGATTGCTTGAGGCCAGGAGTTTAAGACTAACCTGGTCAACATGGCAAAACCCCGTCTCTACTAAAAATACAAAAGTTAGCCAGGCATGGTGGCTTGCACCTGTAGTCCCAGCTACTCATGAGGCTGAGGCATGAGAATGGCTTGAACCCAGGAGGCAGAGGTTGCAGTGAGCCAAGATTGTGCCACTGCACTTTAGCCTGGGCAACAGAGAGAGACTCTGTCTTAAAAAACAAACAAACAATATTTGCTCCAAGAAATGTAAAAGGGAAATTACAAACCTGAAACTAAAGAATATTTAATGTTCTATAAAATGTAAGTTTTTTTTCTTTTTTTGGGACAGGGTCTCACTCTGTCGCTCAGGCTGGAGTGCAGTGGCGAGATCTCAGCTCACTGCAACCTCTGCCTCCTGGGTTCAAGCGATTCTCCCACTTCAGCCTCCCGAGTAGCTGGGACTACAGGCATGTGCCACCATGCCCAGCTAATTTTTTGTAATTTTTGGTAGAGACAAGGTTTCACCATGTTGGCCAGGCTGGTCTCGAACTCCTGGCCTCAAGCACTCTACCCACTTCAGCCTCCCAAAGTGCTGCGACTGATTACAAGTATGAGCCACTACGCCTGACCATAACATGTAAAATTATGGCAAATGGTAATTCACAGCTCAATTCTAAAATGTGATGAAATTTAAATCAGAAAGGCCAAATGAGTCACTTTTTCTTAACACTAAGAATTATAAACCTTTAAATTTCTTTTGTACTGTAATTTTTTATGTGACATGTATATGCTTTTTAATATGTGTGATAGGATGAGGGGCAGGAGAGGGGGCTCTAGACATGAGGGTGCCTGGGGCCTCTGTAGACCTTCAGATGGCCCTGGGTGTTATAGCAAGAGCTGGTCTACATCTAATACTACTGCAGGTGCTGTCATGAATTCTTTGTATAATTCTTTGTATATTAAATGACATTATTCTATGTATAATGTCATTTAATACTTATAACCAACTTATGAGGCAGGAACTATTATCATAAACATTTTATAGGGGGATGAACCAAGGCATGGAGAAATTATATAACTTTTCCAAAGTCACAAGTTTTTGTTTGTTTGTTTGTTTGTTTGTTTGAGATGGAGTCTCACTCTGTCACCCAGGCTGGAGTGCAGTGGCATGATCTCAGCTCACTGCAACCTCCACCTCCCATGTTAAGTGACTCTCCTGCCTCAGCCTGCCGAGTAGCTGAGATTACAGACACACGCCACCATGCCAGCTAATTTTTTTGTATTTTTAGTAGAGATGGGGTTTCACCACATTGTCCAGGCTGGTCTCGAACTCCTGACCTCAAATGATCCACCCGCCTCAGCCTCCCAAAGTGCTGGGATTACAGGCGTGAGCCACTGTGCCAAGCCCAAAATCAGAGGTTCTTGATGGCAGAGCTGGGATTTGAACGGAGGCACTCTATCCTCAGAGTCCAAGCTTTAAATGATACTCATGATTGCCTTCCAACAGGAAGACTGGATTCTGGTGAGCAGAGCAGGCAAATTTTAGAGGATTTAAAGATGGTCTTGGTGCCCTGTGTTTTAGTGACAAGCACATGGTGTGAACTCAGAAGCTAAGAGCTTTGCACACGTGGGCAGATGAGCCGGCGAGAGCCAAGTCAAATGATGACGCATTCAATCATACATGCTGACTGAATCTCTACCGTGTGCCAGGCACTATTCTAGATGCCAGGGATGCCACAATAACCAGGCAGTCAAGGTCACTGGTTTCATGGTGGTTAATTTCAGTGAGGAGAGATAGACAACAAACAAACACATAGAGGAACTAGATCGTTCTGGCTAAAGATGAGACCGGAAAGAACAAGGCCCTGGGTGATAGAGGCTGGTGGTGGAGGTGGAAGGTAGAAGCAGAGAGAGGTGTTTTCAATAGGGTTATCTGAGAAGCTCTCTAAGATGTGTTTTTTGAGCTGTGACCTGAATGAGGAGGAAGAGCAGCCATGCCAAGAGCTGAAGGAAAGGCATTCAGGGTAGAGGGCACAGCAGATGCAAAGGCCTTGAGTGTGGAAGCGAACATGGCGTGTTTGAGGAATGGATCAAAGTAATTTGAAAGTCTCAGGCTGCATGGGACTGGTGGTCAGACTGGGTCCAGGGAATGGGTAAGAGGTAAGTCAGGGCTGAGTTTATGGACAATAAGACCATTTCTGGAAGGACCTGGGAAATCAAAAGGAACCAGTTCATGGTGAAATGGGTTTCCAAGGCTGCATCTTCAGAAAGATGGACTTGATTTTTTTTTCAGCTTAAAACAACACATTATTATCATCTCACAGTTCCCGTGGTTCAGGAGACTGGGTGTGGGTAGCTGGATCCTCTGTGCAAAGTCTCACAAAAAAGAAATTGGGCAACATCCGGGCTGCAATCTCATCTCATGCTCGGGGGTCCTCTTCCAGGCTCCCATGGTGTGGCAGGATTCAGTTCCTTACACTGGAGGATGGGGGGAGCCCCTTTCCTTGGGGCCATTCTCAGCTCCCAGAGATGACCCAAATTTCCCACCATATGGACTCTCCATCCTCACATCCAGCCACAGACAATCTCCCTTATGTTGGATCCCTCTCTCACTTGGAATCATTCTCCAGGAAGGGCTGACTTGATTTTGAGTCAAGGCATCTCTTCTGTTTTCCTGGCCCAGGGACAAAATTGGTTTATGTGTTCACAGAGGCAACACATACATTTAAGAAAAATGTGTCACAAGCGCAGACAACAGGGAAATACCAACAACAGATTTTACTTAGTTTACAGCTCAGCGGAGGGACAGGCCCAGTTCCACCCTGCCCCATGCCTCCCTCCTCCTGCCCCCACACCCTGTCAAGCCTGTCTGCGACCCTCACTCATTTAGCCCCATCACAACCAAGCCAGAGCCTTGTTTGAGTCAGGCTTCTCTCTCTTTACTGCCTGGCCCACCTCCATCCGCCTGAGTGACCTCACACAACCCTTTGAGAACTCGCCCGGCTCATAAGCAGTGGTTGTGCAGGGGAAATAGTCCAGTGAGAAGGAGTGGCCTGAGAAACGGGGGTTTTGTTCCCACCAGCTTATGATTTATTTACAAGCTTCCTTAAGCTAGTGCTTTTGTTCTATAGAACTCTCCGCACAAACAACCTTCAAGATGGACATTTTTACACAACTCTCTTTGGAAATTAGAATGAGGGAGAACAGAACGGGAGGGAACAAAGGGAGAAAACGGGGCGGCAGTGGAAGAAGGCATATAAATGCTGTCTTATATTTGTATAAGGCTTTATAGCAGTTTTCAAAGACTAGCCAGCCAGGGGCTGGATCCAGCCAGCAGATGTGTTTGGTTTGGACCATAGAGTAATCTAAAACTCAAGGAGTGACATATGCAAATAGATTTCCTGTTTCTCTTCTAAGAAAACAACTGGGGCATATCTGGTAACAGTGGATCTACATTCACACGTGGTAATGATTAGCTGGAGCTGAACAATGACTGTCCCCTTCGGAAGGGCCTGCTGGCTTCCCCGCCCCTCAGTCTCCACCACATCTAATCCAGTCCCTCTGACCAGCTTTGTTCATTTTCATTACCTCCCTGGCCTTGCAGGCATTTGGTGGCAGCCTCTGCATTCTCCTGTGTCCTGGTGCCAGGGGG
Source organism: Homo sapiens (assembly GCF_000001405.40). Classification (NCBI taxonomy): domain Eukaryota; kingdom Metazoa; phylum Chordata; class Mammalia; order Primates; family Hominidae; genus Homo; species Homo sapiens. The sequence continues at coordinate 87,387 of NW_017852933.1, read as the reverse complement.
CGTGACACCTTGGATTCATCATTCTGGTCCTGGACTCCATAGAGGATGTGACAGTTCAGGGCCAGGACGGAGCCAGTTTTCTTTCTGACGAGACTTCTCCATGACCCTGACACTGAGTTTTTGTTGTTGTTGTTTTTTTTCTTTTGTCATGAGTTAAGAGAGAACCGGGGGTGAGGAGAGGGAAAGGGGCATAGTGGCAGGCGTCTGTGGTCCCAACAGTTTGGGAGGCTGAGGCGGGAGGATCACTTGAGCTCAGGAGTTTGAGGCTGTGGTGAGTTTTTGTTTGTTTGTTTTTTGAGATGGAGTCTCACTCTGTCGCCTGGTTTGGAGCACAGTGGCGCAGTCTTGGCTCGCTGCAACCTCCAACTCCCAGGTTCAAGAGATTCTCCTGCCTCAGCCTCCCAGGTAGCTGGGATTACAGGCGTGTGCTACCATGCCCAGATAATTTTTGTATTTCAGTAGAGACAGGGTTTCACCATGTTGGCCAGGCTGGTCTTGAACTCCTGACCTCAAGTGAACCACCCACCTCAGCCTTCCAGAGTGTTAGGATTACAGGCATGAGCCACTGCACCCAGCCTGTGGTGAGTTCTGATTGCACCACTACACTCCAGCCTGGGCAACAGAGTGAGACCCTCTCTCCAAAAAGAAAAAAATAGATATTAAAAGAACTGGTTGAGGGTGAGGAATGGGAATGATGGAGATCAAGAGGAGAGTGAGGTGTGAATAAGCACCAAGTGATGTCTCTGTTTCGGGATTTTTGTGAGGAAGGTGTTCCTGTTAAGCAGAAGAGGTGTGAGCGCCTAGGTGCTCTCTCAGACCTGGATTCACCCATCAGATCCTTAACCTTGGCAAACACCTTCACTTCTTTGAGCCTCCATTCGTGCATCTGTTAAGTGAGAACCAGACTTTGAAATGTACTTGCGAGAACCATAAATAGTACGTGCAAAACATCCCACAGAGAGTAGACACCCTGTAAATGAATGCTATGTCGTCTCAAAATCTTTTAGCAATGAGGTGGGATATAGAATAGAAAGGCAAAATGGTAGGTAGTTTTTTTTGTTTGTTTGTTTGTTTTTTTGAGATGGAGCCTCACTCTGTTGCCCAGGCTGGAGTGCAGTGGCATGATCTTGGCTCACTGCAACCTCCGCCTCCCAGGTTTAAGCAATTCTCATGCCTCAGCCTCCAGAGTAGCAAAGACTACAGGTGTGAGCCACCACGCCTGGATAATTTTTTGTATTTTTAGTAGACACAGGGTTTCACCATGTTGGCCAGGCTAGTCTCAAACTCCTGGCTTCAAGTGATCTGCCTGCCTCAGCCTCCCAAAGTGCTGGGATTACAGGTGTGAGCCACCACACCTGGCCTATTTCTTAATAAGTATTTCGTCCTACTGATTGGGAGAGCATGGCCTGGGGAATGAGGGGGTATTTTGAATCTGAGTGTGTTCACGAGTCCTTTGTTCACCTCTCTCCTGTGCTTTGGGCTTCTTAGCAGCCTTTGGCACTAATCCTGGGCTTAAGGTCTGTTTTGCTGTCTCTTAGCTGTTGGAGCCAGCAGACCTGACTGGAGAGAACTGGATGATGAGCTCATGAAAGAAGCTGTGCTGTACGTGGATTCCCAGGAGGCTGCCCTGAAGGAGTCTGGAGATGTCCTGCTGTCAGGGGTGAGGCCCTTCTGACCCCAGTCAGGGCTGCCACCTGGCTGGCCTCACCTGGATCCCAGGGTTTCATTAACTTCCCTTCCAGTTTGGTCTGCTCCAGACCTCAGCCACCCCACCTCCTTGTAGGGGAAGGAGCTCCTAAACATTTTGCAACCCTCTTTAATTCCATTCCAGAAAAATATGGGCATTATGGGTGGTGACATGTGTGTTCCTGGAAGGAGAAGCTCAGTGGATTTTATTTTTTTGCTGGGCTGTCCTCTAAAGAAGTGGGATTGGAAGCTTCTTGCAGCCTGGAAACCTTCCCAATGTGGCCAACATGATAAGACTGTGTTGCCCACCTTCTGGCCTCATTTTACGGTTATAATCAGCATAAAACAAGAAGGGAGCTGCTGGCATGCATGTTCAGATAACAGCATGTCTATTTCCTCACTGACACAATGATCTTGGCAGGACAGCTCCCTGAGCACCAACTCGAATCTCTGTGTTTATGGTATCACAAAAGCAAATGCCACCCCAAAAGGATTTCGGGGCCAGCCTCCTCCCTAATATCATTCAGTGTACAAAGGATCTCTCTCTTTTTTTTTTTTTTTTTAATCAAATTTATCTCTTATCCAATTCAGGAATTCCCTGGGCTGGCTTCAAAAGCCAACCCTGCACAGACTTTAGCTTCATGCCTGGGTCAGCGTATGTTTGTTTCCTAGGCCGAGATCTTTGCTGAGCTGGGAGAAGTGATTAAGGGAGTGAAACCAGCCCACTGTGAGAAGACCACCGTGTTCAAGTCTTTGGGTAAGATCCATTGCTCCCTGGGCACAAATCCAACTAGCGCACAAGGCAGGTTCACCCATTGGTGGAAAGAGCAATGAGTCACCAGACTCTGCAGCTGAATCATTGTGCTCCATCATTCAGGTCAATTATTTACATGGTTTAGCCTAGTGCTAAGCCCATGAACTCTGGAACTGAGCAGTCCTGGGTCAGAGTCCCTTCCCCGCCACTCAAAGGCAGGTGTCCTTAGGCAAGTGATCTGACCTCTGTAGGCCTCAGTTTCCTCACCACCTGTTACCATTGAGGATTAGGTGGGATTTGCATATAAAATGAATCAGTTCGGTGCAGATCTTGATGAAATTCAGAAGGTACCCTTCAGAGGTGGAGGGGGCAGGGGACAAAGATGTTAAAAGACAGGAACCTTAAGGGAAATGGCAGAGACCCAACCTGAAAGAGTCAGATGGAAAGTATAGCCTAAGCCCTGTTCATTCCCTCCTTCCCTACTCTCCCACTTGCTGCTTTGAGGAGGGCTTCCATGGGGAGCCCCCTACCACCTGAGTTGTATGGGGTACCTTATAGAAGCCCAACAAAGGGTGGGCTCCCAGTGGCCAGTCTGTCCCTTGCCCCAGGTCCTCTTCCACCCTATGAGATTGAAGGAAACAGAAGTACATGGGAACAGGCTGAGCTCGGTGGCTCACGCCTGTAATCCCAACACTTTGGGAGGCCAAGGTGGGCAGATCACTTGAGCTAAGGAGTTTGAGACCAGCCTGGCCAACATGGTGAAACTCCATCTCTACTAAAAATACAAAAATTAGCCAGGCGTGGTGGTGCACATCTGCAATCCCAGCTACTTGGGAGGTTGAGGCAGGAGAATCACTTGAACCCGGAAGGTGGAGGTTGTAGTGAGCTGACATCGTGCACTCCAGCCTGGGCAACAGAGCAAGACTCCATCTCAAAAAATAAATAAATAAAGTACATGGGAACAGAGCTGATACACCTAAAACACTGAAATACTCCCAAACTGGTTGGTAAACAGTTGCTATCCTGAGCCCCTCGAGAGTGCCCTCTGTCCCCCTCTCATGACCTTCCATACTTCGTGATCAAGCAGCAAAAGAGTAAATGCCTGGCAGAGCATCAGGAGCGCTCTGGCCACCCAGAGCCCATGCCATTGGTTAAGTATCCATGCCTTGCAGGTTGGTAAATGTCTTTAAAATCTCTCATGCACTGGAAGACAAAGGCAATACAATTTTATCTGGAGCCTGGTTCAAAGACATCACATGGATCCAGTTTTGTCTGAAAACTTCAAAGGTCATGGCAGATCAGAGGTCAGCCAGCCCTTACTTAAGGAGCCAAAATGCTGCAGAAACTTGTTCTGTCCTTTTTGGCAATTTTTGCTTTCTTACTTTTGGGGATCAGTTTATTGGTGCATTGTTTCATCTAACAGATGCGTATCAAGCACCTAATTATCTGTGCTGGGTGCAGAGGTTAAGGTATCTACCAAAATTACAAGACAAAGGGGAGATATCAAAGGATGCAGCATTCAAACTGGACCAAGCGTCAGAAAACTACAGTCCTGGGGCCAGACCTGCTCTGCTGCCTGCTTTTGTGTGGCCTATGAGCTAGAAATGGTTTTTAGATTTTCAAATGAATGGGGGGAGAAAATATTTCATGATGTCTGAAAATGATACAAAATTCAAGCTTCAGTCCCATCAATAATTTCACTGGAACACAGCCCACAGCCAGGCTCTTTTGTTTACCTGTTGGCTGTGTTTTCTACTCTAAAGGCAGAGTTGAATAATTGTAATAGAGACCCTGTGGCCCACAAAGCCTAAAGGATTTACTGTCTGACCCTTTTTGAAAAGTTTGTTCAGGCCAGGCGTGGTGGCTCATGCCTGTAAGCCCAGCACTTTGGGAGGCCGAGGTGGGCGGATCGCCTGAGGTCAGGAGTTTGAAACTAGCCTGGTCAACATGGTGAAACCCTGTCTCTACTAAAAATACAAAAAAAAAAAAAATTAGCCAGGCATGGTGGCATGCACCTGTAATCCCAGCTACTCAGGAGGCTGAGGCAGGAGAATCACTTGATCCTGGGAGGCAGAGTTTGCAGTGAGCCAAAATCGCGCCACTGCACTTCAGCCTGGGCAACAGAGCGAGACTCCATCTCGAAAAAAAAAAAAATTAAAAAAAAAAATTTGCTCAGCCCTGAGCTAGATTTAGAAAGATGCACAATTTGTTGGTGGGTGTTTCTTACTATCATATTCTCTGCCCCTTTGCAGACAATTGAAGCCTGAGCTCATCTCTGGGTATCAGTCCCTGTTATTCCAATAGGCATTGGCAACATGGACATGTATCAGGAAACTTCCAGCCATGGGGCCTGGGTTGTTTCAAGAAAAGTTGTTTTGACCAAAGGCGAACCAAATTTCTGTCTATTCTAGGAATGGCAGTGGAAGACACAGTTGCAGCCAAACTCATCTATGATTCCTGGTCATCTGGTAAATAAAACAAAGGAACTTGATGTTGAGATGGATGCTTGAGGAATATTGCTGCTGGTTCTCATAATTTCTAGAGTAAATGAGGGAGTCCAGTCCCCAGTGAACTCTCCTTTTGTGCTTATCATGTTTTACCTTAAATGCTGAGATCCTCATTTATGTTTGTAGTTGGAAAGCAAAGCTAGGTAGCCATTTCTTCTGTTCTACCAAGTTATAATAGCATTCATTTCCCTTTATATTTCCCTGAAATAAAGCACATTCCAATTGTGCAGTGTTTGCTTCGGTAACTTCTATTACTATCACAAGGAAACTGAGAGGGATCAGATGCTCCCATTTACTCCCTGGGGGAGCTACACTGGCTATAATGAAACTTCTTTTTTATGTATTTATTTAGTAGTTACAACTCACATACTCTAAGATCCACTAGTTTAAACTATACAATTCAGTAGTGTTTTTTTTTTTTTTTTTTTGGATGGAGTTTCACTCTTGTTGCCCAGGCTGGAGTGCGATGGCATGATCTCGGCTCACTGCAACCTCTGCCTCCTGGGTTCAAGTGATTCTCCTGCCTTAGCCTCACGAGTAGCTGAGATTACAGGTGCCACGCCACCACACTCAGCTAATTTTTGTATTTTTAGTAGAGACGGGGTTTCACCATGTTGGCCAGACTGGTCTTGAACTCCTGACCTCAGGTGATCTGCCCGCCTCGGCCTCCCAAAGTGCTGGGATTACAGGCGTGAGCCACGGCTCCCGGCCAAGCCTGGTCATTTCTTACAAGTGAAATTCTACTATATGTAGTCTTTTGTGCCTGACTCCTTAATGCTTAGAGGAAAAATGGAATTTCTGTATAGATCAGGGCTCCTTTGGTCATAAGTGGTAGAGACTACAACTCAAACTACCTTAAGCTGAATGAATGGAGAATGAGATTTATTGGCTCTCGTAATTAGGAACACACAGGTAACTGGTTTCAGCTACAGCTGTATTCAGGGGCTCCAACTGTCACCAGGGCCTGGTCTTCTTCCCCGTTGGCTCCATTATCAAGTTCTCCCTGGTAGTGGCAGGACATTGGTCAGCAGCTCCTGAATTGTATTCTGTCCTCTTTAGCAACTGAGCATAAATATTCTCTTCCTTTACAGTTAGATGTTCCAGAACTGAGAGTTACTGGACCATCTAGGTCACATGTCTATTCCTGAGCCTAACATTGTGGCTGAAAGACATGGAATAGACGGGGTGAGGTGGTTCATGCCTGTAATCCCAGCATTTTGGGAGGCTGAAGCAGGAGGATTGCTTGAGCCCAGGAGTTCGAGACCAGCCTGGGCAACATAGCAAGACCCCATCTTTTAAAGAGATGGAATACCCTGGCCAGGCTCAAGCCTTGTACCTATCCCTGAACCATCACGTTGTCCAGGGGGATCAGATGCTCTGGTTATCCAGGCCTGGATCACATGCCCACCCTTGAAGTCAGAAGTGTCATCTGCGCATCTGCCCACATGAGCTGATGGAGGGAAGGTGTCTCTTAACAAAAAGAGGACTGGGTAGTTGAAAGGCAAAATCTAAAGATGTCCACTACAGTATCCATGTTAAAAGGGCCATTAAGGATCAGCTAGTCGATCTTCAACTTACGGATGGGGAAACTGAGGTGCAGAGATACTTTCTCCAGGCCCCCTGAATCACTAGCAGAACCGTGTTGTCCTTGTCCTGCCAAAGGCCCTGTCCAAATCCCACTCCGACCCTAGCCTCACCCCACCCCTTCGCTTTTTGCTACTCCAAGGCTGGTTTTCAGATAAGTCAGCAGCAAAGCATGGCTCTGTTTTCCTGACCATACTCCTCCTGGGAAGGACTCATGCTCCAGATGGTTTAGCCAAAAGTTTATCATATTTGCCAGACTGTCTGGACAGGGGTCTTTGTGCTGAAACAAAATACCCACATTACCCACATGATCTGATTCTGCATATCTCAAGTGACTATGGAGTCTTTCTGAGGAATCCTGATGGTCACTACCCTAAAGGATATATAGAGAAGAGCATGGAATGATGAGAATATTCATATATCTTTTCTTTCATTCTTTTCGCAAGAGCCCCTATCATAACCCTGTGCTAGCTTACTAAGATACAACAGAAAAGTAGTCCTCAGCCCCAGAGAACACAGCCTCGAAGAGAAGACAGATGTTAAAAAAAAAAAATTACAATAATTTGGTGTTACAGGAACATGGTTCAGGGTCCCTGCAGGAAATGCAGATGTTCCTTGACTTATGATGCAGTCGTGTCCCAATAAATTCATCAAAAGTTGGAAATATGTGGCCGAACATGGTGGGTCATGCCTGTAATCCCAGCACTTTGGGAGGCCAAGGCAGGCGGATCACCTGAGGTCAGGAGTCCGAGACCAGCCTGGGCAATATGGTGAAACCCCGTCTATACTAAAAATACAAAACTTAGCTGGGTGTGGTGGTGCACACCTGTAGTCCCAGCTACTCAGGAGGCTGAGGCAGGAGAATCACTTGAACCCAGGAGGCAGAGGCTGCAGTGAGCCGAGATTGTGCCAGTGCACTCCAGCCTGGTTGACAGAGCAAGACCCTGTCTCAAAAAAAGTTGGAAATGTGTCAAAAATGCATAGAAAACACCTACCAAACATGATAGCTTAGCCTTGCCTACCTTAAATGTGCTCAGAACACTTACATTTGCCTACATTTGGGCAAAATCATCTGGTAACACGGTACACTGTTCACTGTCAATTGATTATCCTGGTGATCACATGGCTGATTGGAAGCTGTGGCTCGCTGCCTCTGCCCAGCATCCTGAGAGAATATCTTACCAGTTTCTACTGAATGCGTATCATTTTCACACCATCGTAAAGTCAAAAAATCTTAAGTTGAACGATTGTAAGTGGGGAACTGTCTGTAGATGCCACACTCAAAAGGTGTGATTGAAGAGAATAAAGAGACTGTTTAGGAAGAAGCACCCCAGGGTTAGCAATAGTAGGAAATCACTACCACTGCTAAGCTTGAAAGAGCAGTTAGTGAAACCCAGAAACAACTAGAGCTATAGCAGAGGGCTGCCAGATGGGAGAGGTGAGCTTAGATGAAGGCAGCTGCTGCCCTGAAAAGAAGAAACAGGTAGAATAAATGCCTCAATCTTTCTTTCTCCCACCTTCTGGTATCTTGTTAGTAACTCCCATTGGCCAGACCCAACCAGGATCCCAAGGGCAAGGGAGCCCTTTGATGCAGTCCAGAGCCCAACCACCTGGGACACAAAGTAGGTTGGAAAATAGTAGAGAGAAGTTCTGGAGAGGCAAACAAAGAGAGCTTGCACAGATAGGAAGCTACTCAACCCAGACTAGGGGCAAAGAGAGAGGGTATGTCTCCCAGTGAGGATGGCTATATGGAGGAAGACTTTTCCAGGCAGAAGGGTGATGGTATGCTAAGGCACAGGCATATGAGAGACATGTATTCAGGAAGCCACAAGAAATCTAGTATAGCTGAAATTAGGGGACAGGGAGAGGAGTGGTCAGAGATGGGACCAGAGGTTTGGAGGAGAGAATAGGGCTCTTTAATCATGCAGGCCTTCTGTGTGGTGGTGAGAGTTTGAAAAGCAATGGTGGCTGAGCCCAGTGGCTCACGCCTGTAATCCCAGCACTTTGGGAGGCTGAGGCAGGTGGATCACCTGAGGTCGGGAGTTCGAGACCAGCCTGACCAACATGGAGAAACCCTGTCTCTACTAAAAATACAACATTAGCCAGGCTTGGTGGCACATGCCTGTAATTCCAGCTACTTGGGAGGCTGAGGCAGGAGAATCACTTGAACCCAGGAGGCTGAGGTTGCGGTGAGCTGAGATCGTGCTATTGCACTCCAGCCTGGGCAACAAGAGCAAAACTGCGTCTTAAAAAAAAAAAAAAAAAAAAAGCAACAGTAAAGTAGAAAGTGACAAGAGACTTACATATTAAAAAGATTACGTGACTCAACCAGCCTTGTGGAGAATGAATTAAAGACAGATAAGGATACTTACAGCAATCCAGTGAGTGATGGTTGGGGGCAGGAACCAATAGGTCATCTTGCAAACATCAAAGAGGATTTAGCTCTGAGACATATTGAAAAGTTGAAAGGGCCTGGTGACCAATTGGGTGATGAAAAGAAGTATTGGGTTAAATTTTCCATTTATGAAAAATGAAGATTTAGAGCTGCATGTTTTAATGCAGCTGAAACTGAGCACGATCACTATTTGGGTCTCGATAATTCATTGTGGTGGTGGGCTGTCCTGTACATTCTAGGATGTTTAGCACCCATTGTTTCTACCCACTGGATGTCAGTTGCACCACTGTTCCCCTATCATGGCAATCAAAAAATGTCTCTAGATATTGCCACATGTCCTCTAGGAGACAGAGGGCAAAATCATCCAAGTTGAGAACTGACAACCTGGAAGAAAATGGGTTCAGTCCTGGACACACTGAGTATGGGGTACTTGTGAGACATGTGAGAGGAGATGTCAGATTAGATTTGGGCTTAAGTATTTGGTGCCCAAAGCAATGGTCTGGGCTGGTAACTTGGACTTAGGAATTCTGAGCATATAACTGACCTGTACTACACAATGGCCTGAAATATAAGCACAATACACATTTACCACACTATAACTTCTCAAACTCTCCTCTTCGGTGAAATGCTCCCAGCTGCTTTTCCCTCTTGTTGACTTTTATGTCAAGCTACATAGAGGGGGAAAAGAGGGGCCAGGAGGTGGTAGGGGTGACCAGATATTGGATTGAGCTACTCTAAGCATCTAGTTTAAGAGATGGAGGTCTGAGATCAGTGAGTACTTGAAGCTCATCCTGGCTCATAATCCTCTTGTCTTTGTCTCTTATCAAGGCCTTTGTATTGCTCTGGCATCTTCTCTTAGCCCCTGTAGTTGGTATTTAGTTCGAAAGATCTGGAATTCTTAGAACATTGATAACATCTTATAACATGGTATAAACCTTTTTTTATTATATAACAATACTCTGTGACGAAGAGACTATATCCTTGATGCTGAGAACTTTGGAGAACGCTCACCTATTAATTCTGTCAATCATAAAAGAAAAGAACCCCTAAGAAGAGCATAGAGGTACCTGATGAGACCCCTAGTGGCAAATATCTCCTAAAAAGGGATGAGAGTCAATGTTCAAGTTCATTTCTACCAACCTGAGTGATGGCTCTCTTGCTATGATGTAGTTACAGCAGGGGGTGGAGCAAATATCTCATTAGGCAGATTCCGGGCAATAGGTGAAGAGGGGATTCTGGCATCTATGATGATGAAATATAATAGTGGCAGGCACAGACTACAAACTTTTTTGAGCACTTTCTATTTGCCAACTGCTTCTGTGCACGTTAATGAAGGAAAGCACAACTTCAGTTTATTCCACAAGATAAGGTATTTGTAAACAATCATCCCCTAATGCAACGTGTTTATTCAATGGCTAACAAGCTTTCTGAATATATTCATTGAGGAAGAATAAGCCAATTGTTCATCAGATTTGAGCATCTGTATCCTCCCTAAACTTGAATCCTCCATGATGCCTCTTGAAGTAACCCAAACAGATGTGCATCAGAAAGCAAGCTGAAGATAAACAGCTGTTTCTGTATTATACCCAGAATCAACAGTAAATTCCACTTGATGTAAGTCAGCCTGTAGAGATCTAATGAAGCTTAGCTCTTCAGTGGGGTTTCAGTTTGAATTTGGGATTGCCATTGAAAAAATGTCAGCAGCAGTGTTGTCAGTTTCTTTTTTCTTTTTTTTTTTTTTTTTTTTTGAGATGGAGTCTCTCTTACCGCCTGGGCTAGAGTGCAGTGGTGCAATCTCAACTCACTGCAACCTCCACCTTTTGGGTTCAAGCAATTCTCTTGCCTCAGCCTCCCAAGTAGCTGGGATTACAGGCACACGCCACCACACCTGGCTAATTTTTGTATTTTTAGTAGAGACGGGTTTCCGCCATGTTGGCCAGGCTGGTCTTGAACTCCTGACCTCAGGTGATCTGCCTGCCTGGGCCTCCCAAAGTGCTGGGATTACAGGCATGAGCCAAGTGTTGTCAGTTTCTATCGTGGAACCTACACATATTCAGATATGCGGCAATGGTGACAGACAACAGTAAATAAACCATGTGTACATAATAAGCATGAAAATGTGAAATTTCCTTTGACAATCAAATCTTCCCTCCAAAGAACTTAGTTTTTTTTCCCCTTAAGTTTCACTAGGTGTTTACCCTTACAAAACTCATCAATTGCAGTTGGACAGACTTTTTTTCTGTATTTTTCTTGGTCTCCTCCCCAACCCTCTTACTTAGGACAGTATTATTCTGCTAGGACTGCCATAACAAAATGCCACAGACTGGATGGCTTCAACAACAGCAGTTTATCAACCGAAGTTTATTTTCTCACACCTTTGGGGGCTGAAAGCCCAAGATCAAGGTGATTGCAGGGTTGGTTTCTCCTGAGGCCCCCTCCTCGGCTTGCAGACGGCCACCTTCTCACTGTGTCCTCACGTGGCCTCTCTGTGTGCCTTCCACCTAAGTGTCTCTTCCTCTTCTTAGGACACCAGTCCTAGGCCAGGTGCAGTGGCTCATGCCTGTAATCCCAGCACTCTGGGAGGCCGAGGCAGGTGGATCACCTGAGGTCAGGAGTTTGAGACCAGCCTGGCCAACATGGTGAAACCCCGCCTCTACTAAAAATACAAAAACTTAGCCAGGCGTTGTGGTGCACGCCTGTAATCCCAGCTACTCAGGAGGCTGAGGCATGAAAAGTGCTCGAACCTGGGAGGCGGGGGTTGCAGTGAGCTGAGATCACGCCACTGCACTCCAGCATGAGTGACAGAGCAAGGCTCCATCTCAAAAAAAAAAAAAAAAAGGGAAAAAAAGGACACCAGTCCTACAGGATTAGGGTTGCATTCTTATGACTTCATTTAACCTTAATCACTTCTTTAAAGGTCTTATTTCCAATTACAGTCACATTAGGGGTTAGAGCTCCAACATATGAATTTGACGCAATTCAGTCCACAACAGGTACCACCTGTATTCTATCTCTTTCTTCACTCTCCCCACCACCACTCTGTCTCTATTCTCAGGCAGGAGTATTATAGACGCATTTCCATTACTTGTAAACATGTACACATTTGTTAAAGGGTTAGATGCATTTAAGTTGGGCATCAAGCCGCAGGCCAGGAAAGAACTCTAGTCTCTACCACTAGGCAAAGTCATAGATCTCAGGAGAGAAAAAGAATTGGAATTCCCAGGTTACACAGATCGGAAAGCAAGCAGCAGGATAATGTGATGAGATTATAATTTTAAATCCAGAGATAGAAAAGTAAAGGAAGTTTCTTTCATTTTCCTGTCATGCATATGACCCTTTCTTTATTCAAAAGTATCAAAAAGATAGGCTGGGTACGGTGGTTCACACCTGTAATCCCAGTGCTTTAGGAGGCTGAGGTGGGAGGATTGCTTGAGGCCAGGAGTTTGAGACCAGCCTGGGCAATGTGGCAAGACCCCACCTCTACTAAAACATACAAAATAAGCCAGGTGTGGGGGGTGTGAACCTGTAGTCTCAGCTACTTGGGAGGCTGAGGTGGGAGGAGATCATTTGAGCCCAGGAGGTTGAGAATACAGTGAACTATGATCATACCACTGCACCCTAGCCTGGGTAAGAGACTGAGACCTTCATCTCCAAAAAACAAAACAAAACAAAACAAAACAACCACAAAAACAATTATATGTACATATAAGATAACTGAAGAGAAATGCCAGATTCTTGTTATGAAGTCTCCTCAAGTTTCTCATGGAGATTTATTTGGATGGGCATAGCCTACCTCCCAGAGTAAAGTTTGGGTCTCTCTCTCAGGTAGGCATTTCCGATGCCCTAGAATCCATTCCCAGTGGTCTGGCATTGGGTAAAGAGGGGGTGCCGCCTGGAGTGCTGCCAGCGGGCCACAGCATCACCCCAATGCTCCAGGCCAAAACTCTCCATCACAGGCTGGTGTCGACCAGCTGCCCAGGCTGTTGAAGCACCTGCTTCCTCCTGTTGATAGCATTCAGAACTTTCTTCCTGGGACCCAGCTGCATTTGTATGCTCTGAAGGTCCTCATCAGAGCAGAGCAGCAGAGCTTCTAGATCAATCTGCTCTCTCTTGAAGATAGGCAGGAATTCTTCCAGGTGCTGAGACAGCAAGAACACTTCCAGGGGCGTGGCATCGACCACATCTTCCTCCCACTCCACTTCATCGTCATCCCACGGCAGATCATCTTTGAGGCCGTTTTCCTCTCCCTCTTCATCAGCTGCACCCTCATCAGCCTCTGATGCTCCTTGTCTTTGAAGCAATTCACTGGGCAGTTTAAAACCAAACTCTCTCTTGCTATCTGAGATGTCTTCAGGACTCGATATCCTGTTCCTTCTAAAAACAATACTTCCTAGACCTGGACGATTGAGAATGGATTCATGGTGCACACTGCCGTCCTCCTCTGCTGACAACTGGAGCTTCTCTTTGAAGTCCCCTGAGAACGAGTCTTCCTCTTCCTCTCTGAACACTTCCATCACGTTCCTCTGCCCACTTCTGCCTTCCTTCCCCACCTGTTCTGCTGTATCTTTGTTCTTCTTGAACTTGATCTTGAAAGTGTCTTTAATGCCCTTAGATAGTGACCCGAATGTGCCAGGAGCAGAAGCATTTGAAGGGGATGATCTGGAGAAGGTACCCTTGGAAGAAGAGAGAGTCCCGGATTCCTCCTTGCTGTAGGTGTGGGCCATCTTATTTTGGTGCTTCTCCTGGAGCCTCTCACACTCTTTGATCTGCCTCCTGGCATTCTTCTGAGCCTGCTCCTTCAGCCTGGTGACCTTCTTGGGGTTCATGATGTTCTGTGCAGTGGCAGCCTTGTCCAGGAGAGCAACACATTCATTCTGCTCCCTGCTGGCAGCAGCATCCAGTGGAGTCTGTAAGTCATTATCCAGGGCAAAGATGTTGGCACCAAAGTTGACCAGGAATGAGACGCAGTGGGCATGGCCATTGGAGGCTGCAAAATGTAGAGGAGTGTTTCCCCAGATGTCACACCTATCAGGGTCCCCTCTAGAAGAGAGAGAGAGAAAAAAAATACATGTTGGACTTTTTTTCTCTGAACGCAGGCCCAAAAAAATCAAAACAAAAATAAAGAACAAAAGGCACGTTAATACAAACATGTTCATCCTGACTTGACATTGTTATAAGATACTGGCTGCAAGTCCAACTGTCTTAGAACCATCCCATCTTAAAACCACATGGCCAGAAACAGAGCCCATCTCTACCGTGTGTCTCCTTTTTGTTTGTTTCCTTTGTTTTGTTTTGAGACAGGTTCTCACTCTATCTCCCAGGCTGGAGTGGAATGGTGTGATCACAGCTCATTGGCAGCCTTGACCTCCCAGGCTCAGGTGATTCTCCCTGCTCAGCCTCCTGAGTAGCTGAGACTACAGGCATGCACCATGACACCTAGCTAATTTTTTGTAGAGACAGGGTTTCACCATGTTGCCCAGGCTGGTCGCAAACTCCTGGCCTCAAGCCATCTGCTTGCCTTGGCGTCCCAAATTGTTGGGATTACAGGTGTAAGCCACCGTGCCTGGCTGTGTCTCCTTTTTAGAAGTGAGAAAAACTTACTAAGAAATTCTCCAGCCAAACAACTTTCTTGTCTCATTGGCCAGCACTAGGTTACACGCCTAAGAGATGGGAAACATACTATTGTGTTTAACTTAGATCAATTAGATTTTGCCCTGAAACTAGGGATAGGATTGTTCAATGGCTTATCAAGAAAATAATAACATCAAAATCCTAATTTGTAGCATGTGCCAATTTCTGTGGTGTAAATACATCCACCATGGCAAATTTCAAGCTACCAATGTAACATCACTGGACAGAGTTTGGAAGAGATACACAGTAGCGTACCATTATCAACTATTTCCCCCATGTAGATATAATGGACATGAATCATCTTAAGAGACAGGTAAGAGTGAAATGTATTAAAATAAGTAGAAAGTGAGACTTTCGTGTTATCTTTTTAATATAATTTGTTAAATTATAAGTTTATATAATTTTTTTTGAGATGAAGTCTTGCTCTGTCGTCCAGGCTGGAGTGCAGTGGTGCAATCTCGGCTTGACTGCAACCTCCACCTCCCAGGTTCAAGCGATTCTCCTGCCTCAGCCTCCCGAGTAGCTGGGACTGCAGGCACCCACCACTGCACCCAGCTAATTTTTGTATTTTTAGTAGAGATGGAGTTTCACCGTGTTGGTCAGGCTGGTCTCAAACTCCTGACCTCAGGTGATCCACCCGCCTCAGCCTCCCAAAGTGCTGGGATTACAGTTGTGAGCCACCACGCCCAGCCTGTAATTTTATTTTTAAGAATGGCTATGTTCTCAGAAGCTCAGGCTTACAGTAACCTATGATTGCACCACTGTCTACAGCCTGGGCAACACAGCAAGACCCTGCCTTAAAAAAAAAAAAAAAAAAGGCTAGGCTCAGTGGCTCGTGCCTGTAATCCCAGCACTGGGAGGCTGAGGTGGGAGATTTGCTTGAGGCCAGGCATTCAAGACCAGCCTGGGAAACATAACAAGACCTGCCTCCATTAAATTTTTTTTTAAAATAAAAATAAAAAGTAAGAAAGAATGGCTATATTTAGCTGTCAAACTTTCTAAAATTTGGAAATAACTCTGACAAGCTGGTTCCAGCATGCTACTGCTACCCTCCCGAATTGAGCCACATGTGGGGAAATAAATAACTGAACCAAACTCAGTCCCCATCAGCAGGAAAGAAGAAAGAAAAGGATGTTGGAGAGGTAGCAAACAGTGTCTGTTACAAACATTATTCATTAAAAGGGCATTACATCTCTATTTATTCCTCAACTTACTTCCATGACTGCAGGTTCATATAAGTGTGTCATTCTACAAGAGTTTAAGGTGGAATTGGGGATACTATTAGATGGTATTAAGGCCATAAACCTAATGCCTGGCACAGAACAGGGACATAGTAGGTGCTCCAGTATTTGTGGAATGAATGAAAACCTACTGGAATCCTGCCCAAGGCAGCAAACCCTCCTCTCCTACAAGGACTTGAGTTACAAACAGGAACAGATAAAAAGTCGAGTAACTATTTTTAATGATGGCCAGAGCCATGCGCCAATGCTGAGAACTCTGATAATACAGATACTAAGGGGTCCTTCCTTTGCCCTAGGCTAGACTCCAAAATCAGGATCTCACTAAACTCTGGCCAGCCTGGCCCCATGGAAAGAGGACAGTGAGTCTGAGAAGTCCTCTTAACATTCCCGAGAAGTAGAGGGCAGACAGAAGCAGAAGAGAAGATCTGCACCCTTGCAAATGACCTGTTAGTGCGCCACGACCATTCTACTAGTTCCTGGCTGCTCAACGTTGGGTCTCCAGACCAGAAGCAGATGCATCACCTGTGAGTTTGTTAGAAGTTCAGAAGACTCTCATGCCTGTAATCCCAGCACTTTGGGAGGTCGAGGTGGGTGGATCACAAGGTCAGGAGTTCAAGATCAGCCTGGTCAACATTGTGAAACCCTGTCTCTACTAAAAATACAAAAATTAGCCGGGCGTGGTGGCACATGTCTGTAATCCCAGTTTCTCAGGAGGCTGAGGCAGAGAATTGCTTAAACCCCGGAGGCGGAGGTTGCAGTGAGCCGAGATCACACCACTGCACTCCAGCCTGGGTGACAGAGTGAGACTCTCTCCAAAAAAAAAAAAAAGCAAACCAAAAAAAGTACAGAAGACTCTCACCCAGACCTATTGAATCAGAATCTACACTTTAGCAAGATCCGCAGGTGATTCGTAGGCTCACTACAGATTGAAAAGAACTTCACTGGTTAGTGTGATCCGACCAGGGTCCTATAATTTGATAAATCAGATTTGCAGTTACTCCACGGGAATCCCTGGCTCTTTGGTGTGTGTTAGTTACAAAGAAGCACTTTCACATTCTTTGCCTTCAACCATCACAATCTCCCTCTTAGAGAAGGCAGGCAAGAATCATTACTGCAGGAATAAAATAAGACTCAGAGAGCTTAATTGATTTGCCCAAGGGTAACAGGCAGCATGATTTGGATCAGGCTGGTCTCCCAGTCAAATCATCTCCAATACAATACATCCTAGATTAACACAACTGGGCTTTTCCATTTTACCAGCTACATGGCCTCAAGTTTAATTTTTCTAGGACTTGGTTTCTTCATGTAAAAAGTAAAATAAAGTTTCCTCTTCAAAAACTTTCCTCCCCATCTAATTAAAAATAAATAATAACTTCTCTTAAAAACAAAATTTATTCAAAAACCTGTACTAACATTCTTAAATATCTACTAGCCATAATAAAAAAATCAATATACTTTATACTCTTAACTCCCACAATTTAGCTTAAATATTTACCCTAACATACTTATAGTAGTCCAAACAAACATTAAGTCATAGCCTGTTCCTCTTCCTTATTTAAAAGTGTTTTTACCTTTCTCAACATTCCACAAATTACTTTCTCCTTCCTTTGTTCTCCTCTGCCTTTGCCTCTTTTAAAAAGTTCTAAGTTACTAACCAATCAAGACAAATACAAAATGTAAAGTCCCATTCCAGCCAATAAAAACCAAACACAACATTAAACACATCAAGTTATAAATAACCCTGTCTCCTTTGTTCAATATACTCTCATAACAAAACTACTAACAAATATACCCTTTCTACGAAAAATAAAAATAGCCTTACTAAAAAAATTAAATTTATGTTCAAATACTATTTCTTTGCAACACCAAAAGACAAACATTTCTAACACTCATCTGTAAATTGAAGATAATACTATTACCTATTCATAGAGTTATGTGAATTAAATAAATTAATCTACATAAAGCATTGGAAAACTGCTTGGCACATAGTAAATATTGAATAAACATTACTTATTATCCTTGCCCTTGCCCCCAAACTCATAATCCTTAATTTCATGTATTTATTTTTCCTTGTATTCAACTAGTAAATTCCTACAGCACAATAATGCTTGTGGGTTTTTAAAAATCACTTATAGGCCAGGTGAGGTGGCTCATGCCTATAATCCCAGCACTTTGGGAGGCCGAGGCTGGTGGATCACTGGAGGCCAGGAGTTTGAGACCAGCCTATTCAACATGGTGAAACCCCATCTCTACTAAAAGTACAAAAATTAGCCAGGCATGGTGGTGCGCGCCTGTAGTCCCAGCTACTCAGGAGACTGAGGCAGGAGAACCTGGGAGGTGGAGATTGCAGTGAGCCGAGATTGCGCCGCCGCACTCCAGCCTGGGTGACAAAGTGAGACTCTGTCTCAAAAAAATAAAAAAAAAATCAATCAATCAATCACTTCCAGTTTTAATCTGACAAATATTTATGCCTTGTCTCCTTAATTGGATAATATGCCCCAGAGGGCAAAGCCTGTGTCTCTTTCTCCTTTGTGTCAGCCACATGTCCCGGCAGAAGTCTCCAACCCAACTCAAAGAAGTCCAGCAAGTCATGTAAGTGACTGAATGGGGCCAAGTTTGCTCTTTCAACAAAGTCACAGTTAAATGCATACTCCACCTAGAAAGGACCACAGCTCAGCTACCTTGAATCAAAGCGGAAACAATATTGCCAGAGCTCCCATTTTTCAAACGAAGCCACAAATCCAGAATTTCAAGCGAAATTCTGTGATTTTTAAGTGTTGGCTCAAATTTAAAAGAAAAATATAGTAAAGTCCAAATAAAACACATTTGTGGACCAGCTCCAGCCCATAAGCTGGCAACTGGTAACCTCCTTCTGAGCAGAGAGAACAGTGTGAGCAGAGGCACAGATGGCTGATATTACAAGGCCTATTTGGGGAACCAGGAGTATAGATCAGCGTGACCAGAGTGTGTGGAGTTGGGGGTAAGGGGAAAGAGTGGAAAAGGAAAGAAAATGAAATCAAATCTAAGGAAAGCAAATATTAAGTAACACAGTTTTGCTGGGAAGCCACTTTCCAGAAGGCTCTGGTCAGTCAGCCTGACTTAATTGTTTGGGATGAAAGGAGACCCTTCAACCTTGGCACAGACCCGCATCTTAAGGGACCGCTGTGTCTCCCCCCTAAACATGTGGTTTCACTTTTTATTTTAAATAAACACTAGATGCAAAAGACTCCTTAAGTATCCTAGACATCAAAGAGGGATTGTAAAACACCCAAGACGTTACTATCAACAGAAAGAGAAACATACTGATTAAATTTGCCTGAAGTTATCCTTGGATTGGATAAGTTGAAAACAAAATTATTGGGAGGAGTGAGCTGCAGGGGGGATGCAGAAGGGCACTAAGGTGTCCGGGTTAAATGTATATGCTTAAGACTATAGACTGGTGGAATTTTCTCATTTCACTGAATTTTTATTTTGCTTTAAGTTCTGGGATACATGTGCAGAACATACAGGTCTGTTACCTAGGTATACATGTGCCATGGTGGTTTGCTGCACCTGTCAACCTGTCATCTAGGTTTTAAGCCCTTCATGCAGTAGGTATTTGTCCTAATGCTCTCCCTCCTCTTGCCCCCGACCCCCCAACAGGCCCCGGTGTGTGATGTTCCCCTCCCTGTGTCCATGTCTTCTCATTGTTCAACTCCCATTTATGAGTGAGAACATGCAGTGTTTGGTTTTCTGTTCCTGTGTTAGTTTGCTGAGAATGATGGCTTCCAGCTTCATCCATGTCCCTGCAAAGGACATGATCTCATTTTTTTTTTTTTTTTTTTTTACAGCTGCACCCATTTCACTGAATCTTAAATGATGCTTTCAAGACAGAAGGAAGAACAGTACACCTGAGATGACCCCAAAGGTGGGCCTTCTTTTGAGAAAATTTCAAATGCAAAATTCCAGATTTACAGATGAAACTGTCAGTAAGACAATTCATGGGTTTTCCTAGTGGCTTTAAGCTATTAAAACTTGCAAAACTTTGGCTGGGCACAGTGGCTTATGTCTGTAATCCCAGCACTTTGGGAGGCCAAGGTGGGTGGATCACGAGGTCAGAAGATCAAGACCATCCTGGCTAACATGGTGAAACCCCGTCTCTACTAAAAATACAAAAAAAATTAGCCAGGCATGGTGGTGTGTACCTGTAGTCCCAGCTACTCGGGAGGCTGAGGCAGGAGAATGGCGTGAACCCAGGAGGCGGAGCTTGCAGTGAGCTGAGATCACACCACTGCACTCCAGCCCAGGCAACAGAGCAAGACTCCGTCTCAAAAACAAAACAAAACAAAACAAAAAACTTGCAAAACTTCTACTTACAGACACATTTCCAAATTGATGTACAATTTAAATGGAAATATTTTCTACAGACAAGTTGCATGGAGTCCTTTTAAATTCCATACTTGTCATTGTTCACATTTCTTGATAGAACCATTGCATACAACTGCCTGGGTGGAAAACTAGTCCTGTCGTTTGATAATCTGAGTTCAACATTGATGCTCTACGGTTTTCGTGGGCTAAGCTCAGTCTAGTGTTGTTTTTTTCTATTTCCCTTTTCCCCAAAAGAGAAACTCACTGAAGAGATTTTAAAATAACCCATTTTTCCCTTGATTTTTGGTAGATCAGTGCATTTGGGCAATAGTTTTTAAAGCTGGCTTAGCACTACTGTCACTAAGTAGGCAATTTGCTTAAATTACCCTGAGCATCTGTTACATTCCAATTTTTCCTCCTGAAGTTGATTTTTTGTGAAGTTCTCAACTATTCTTTCAAAAACGTTTTTCTGCATAAAAAGAAATATTTGGACTCACTAATAGTCAAAGAAATGCAAATTGAAACAATACTCTGCCTTTTGCCAATCAGATAGGCAACGATTAAAAAGAATAGTAATACTTGGTTTTGGCAGGAGTATGGGGAAAGAAATACTGCTGGAAGAAGCAGAAAGTGGTTCAAATTTCCTGGCACAATACACACAAAAAGCCTTTAAAATGAGGCACTCTTTTGAATCTACAATTCTACATTTAGGAATTTGTCCTAAGGAAATATAAGATCTTTGTGCAAAGATGAATGAGCAGGAATGTTCCTCCCAAACTTACTTATAACAGGAAAAAGAGTGGGTTCAAATTAAGCAACATGAATAGTCAACTGATTACATATATTATGGCATTAATCTGTGTCCATCAGTGGAAGAATGGATAAAGAAAACATGGTGGCTCCACACAATGGAATACTATCCAGTCTTAAGAAACAAACGGATCCTGTCATTTTCGACAACATGGATGAGCCTGGAGGACAGTATGTTAAGTGAAATAAGACAGGCACAGAAAGACGAATACCACATGATCTCACTTAAATGTGGAATCTAAAAAAGTCTCCTAGAGGCTGGGCGCAGTGGCTCATGCCTGTAATCCCAGCACTTCGGGAGGCTGAGGTGGGCAGATCACGAGGTCAAGAGATTGAAACCATCCTGGCCACCATGGTGAAACCCCATCTCTACTGAAAATACAAAAATTAGCTGGGTGTGGTGGCACGTGCCTGTAGTCCCAGCTACTTGGGAGGGCTGAGGCAGGAGAATTGCTTGAATCCGGGAGGCGGAGGTTGCAGTGAGCCAAGATCGTGCCACTTCACTCCAGCCTGGTGACAGAGTGAGACTCCGTCTAAAAGAAAAGTCTCCTAGAAGCAGAAAGTAGAATGGTGGTAACTAGGCAGAGGCAGACTGGGGAGTTGGTCAAAGGATACAAAATTTCAGTGAGACAGGAGGAATAAGTACAAGACATCTATTGTAACACATGATGACTATAGTTTTTTTAAAAATTAGTTATTTATTTTTTATAGAGATGGGGTCTTGCTATGTTGCCCAGGCTAGTCTCGAACTCCTGGCCTCAAGCAATCCTCCTGCCTCAACCTCCCAAAGAGCTGGGATTACAGGCATGAGCCATCATGCTCAGCTCAATGGCTATAGTTAATAACAATACACTGTATATTTGAAAATTGCCTACCAAGTAGATTTTAATGTTCTCATCACAAAAAGTATAGAAGATAACACATAGTCAATTAGCTTGACTTAATTCCACAATGTATACATATTTTTAAAAATCACGTTGTACACCATAAATATATATAATTTTTGTTAATTAATAAAAATAATGAAACTGGCCAGGCACAGTAGCTCACGCCTATAATCCTAGCACTTTGGGAGGCCAAGGTGGGTTGATCACTTGAGGCCAGGAGTTTGAGACCAGCCCGGCCAACATGGTGAAACCTCATCTCTACTAAAACTACAAAAATTAAGTGGGGGTGGTAGCATGTGCCTGTAACCCCAGCTACTCTGGAGACAGGCAGGAGAATTGCTTGAACCTGGGAGGCTGAGGGTGCAGTGAACTGAGATCGCACCACTGCACTCCAGCCTGGATGACAGAGCGAGAGTCCATCTCAAAAACAAACAAACAAACACCATAAAACAGAATACCATGAAGTCATTAAAGATAGTGGCATGCATTATCCCATCCCTAGCAAATTAACACAGGAATGGAAAACCCACTACCGCATATTCTTACTTATGAGTGAGAGCTAAACATTGGGTACTCACAGACGTAAAGATAGCAACAACAGACACGGGGGACTATGAGAGGAGGGCAACGGTTGAAAAACTATTTGGTACCATGCTCACTACCTGGGTGATGGGATCAGTCATACCCCAAACACCAGCACCATGCAGTGTACCCATGCAGCAAACCTGCACACGTACCCTCTAAATCTAAAAGTTGAAACTGGCGTGGTGCAGTGACTCACACCTGTAATCCCAACAATTTGGGAGGCCAAGGCAGGTGGATCGCCTGAAGTCAGGAGTTCGAGACCGGCCTGGCCAACATATAGTGAAACCCTGTCTCTACTAAAAAATACCAAAATTAGCTGGGCATGGTGGCGCATACCTGTAGTTCCAGCTGCTTGGGAAGCTGAGGCAGGAGAATCACTCAAACCTGGGAGGTGGAGGATGCAGTGAGCCAAGATTGTGCCACTGCACTCCAGCCTAGGTGACAGAACAAGACTCTGTCTCTCACAAAAAAAAAAAAGTTGAAATTATTAAAAAAAAAATAAAATAGTGGCGTGGATCTCAACTTTTAAGTGCAAATGGTCCATGATATATTGTTAAATAATTAGAAGGTTTCAGTATAGTTTATATGATTGTCTTTTAAAGGGAGAGAATGTACATGTGTTTGCATGTACTCAAAGGAAAAAGTCTGGAAGGATATGTACCCAAATGTTGATAACTGTAGGAATTGGTATAATTTTTACTTTATCAATTCTATTCAATATGATGTGAAATATTACAATAAGTATGTATTTCTTTAAGAATCAGACCAGCCTGGCCAACATGGTGAAACCTTGTCTCTACTAAAAATACAAAAATTAGCGGGGTGTGGTGGCAGGCACCTGTAGTCTCAGCTATTCCAGAGGCTGAGGCAGGAGAATCACTCGAACCTAGGTGGCGGAGGTTGCAGTGAGCCAAGATCCCATCATTGCACTCCAGGATGGGCGACAGAAGCGAGACTCCATCACAAAAAAAAAAGAATCTGGGGGAAAAAGTCTAGTTTCCATTTTAAAAAATAAAACCAAGAAATTTCATACACTTTAAAGGTAAAATGAATTTTTTTTTGTAATTGGGCCATTATGCTTCCTAGTGCAGGAAAATACATGTAATGATTGTTTTCCATCTTCAAATTTTAAAAACAAAGGAAAATAGTTTTCTAACAAAGCCAGAGTTTTAATATAAATGGTTGCTATAGGATTCGTTGTCTATCAGGTAATGACAGATAAACTCTTAAATCATCAGACTGAAATGGACTTCAGTATTTCAATAGTTGATTAGCTTCTAAATTCAATTTTCAATTTTTTTTAATTTTAGGTTCAGGAGTACATGTGCAGGTTTGTTATATAGGTAAACTCATATCACGAGTGTTTGTTGTAGATAATTTTGTCACCCAGGCACTAAGCCAACATGTTCTCATCATTTAGCTCCCACTTATCAGTAAGAATATGTGGTGTTTGGTTTTCTGTTCCTGCGTTAGCTCGCTAAGAATAATGGCCTCCATCTCCACCCATGTTCCCACAAAATATGTGATCTCATTCTTTTTCGACTGCATACTATTCCATGCTGTATATGTACCACATTTCCTTTATCCAATCTGTCATTGATGGACATTTAGGCTGATTCCATGTCTTTGCTATTGTGACAGTGCTGCAATGAACACTCACATGCATGTGTTTGTTTGTTTGTTTGTTTTTTGAGATGGAGTCTTGCTGTTCCCCAGGCTGGAGTGCAGTGGCGTGATCTTGGCTCACTGCAACCTTCTCCTTGCGGGTTCAAGCAATTTTTGTGTCTCAGCCTCCTGAGGAGCTGGAATTACAGGTGTGTGCCACCACGCCCAGTTAATTTTTTGTGTTTTTCTTTTAGTAGAGATGAGGTTTCACCATGTTGATCAGGCTGGTCTTGAACTCCTGACCTCAAATGACCCACCCGCCTCGGCCTCCCAAAGTGCTAGGATTACAGGCATGATCCAGGCATGTATCTTTATTGTGGAAGGATTCATATTCCTTTGGGTATATACCCAGTAATGAGATTGCTGGCTCGAATGGTAGTTCTGCTTTTAGCTCTTGGAGCAATTGTCACACTGCTTTCCACAATGGTTGAACTAATTTACACTCCCACCAACAGTGTATAAGTGTTCGCTTTTCTCCTCAACCTCACCAGCATCTGTTATTTTTTGATGTTATAATAGCCATTCTGACTGATGTGAGATGGTAATTTTCTTCCCTTTTCAGCTTCCTTAAATCTAATTGGAAATTTGACCTCACACTGGTTCCCAGGATTAGCTATGGTCAAAAAGGCACCTCACAAGACTTCTGTTCTTTTTTTTAGCCTACATCAGGCCTGCTCAACACAGCAGATCCCAGATGCTTTTGAGGGCAATGAAACAAATCTGAGATGTACTAGATCCCGTGAGAAGAAAGGAGTTGAGAAGGAAGGACTAGGAAAAACAAGGTTAGAAGAATATTTGCACCCATAGCCAGTGTTTAATAAATATTAATATAAGCAAATTGGGGGGACTGGATATTTATATTACATTGAAAGAAATGATGTTACCATGTCAACTTAGTGGAGAAAGAGATAGACTATAACAACTAATTGTGTTGGAATAAATGAGTAGCCACTTGGAGAATGCAGAGTTAGATCATAATTCAGATCTTAAATTATATAAAGTATTTAAAATAACAAATGAAACTAAAAATAGCACTAAAGGATCAGTCAGTATTGAGGCATGACCTCAAAGTTAGAATCACACAACAAAGATTGATAGACTTATACGTATATATATATATATATTTATGTTTACATTTATATTTAAAAATCTGTTGTCAAAAATATAAATTGTGTATTGTAAAACAGTTGTAACCTATATGACAAAGAGTTGATATTGTTAACTTTCAAAAGTGTTTTTATCAATCAAGGAGAAATGGTTGAAAACCCCAATATAAATGGGGAATAAAGTTATAAATACACAGTTCACAAAAGTGGCAATCCAATGGCCAATTCTTTTTAAGCATAAAAAGAATTTTCAACCTCATCGGCAACCAAAGAAAAGAACATTAAAGCCACACTGGTGTATCATTTTGTTTTGTTTTGTTTTGTTTTTTGAGACAGAGTCTCACTCTGTTGCCCAGGCTGGAGTGCAGTTGCCTGATCTCGGCTCACTGCAACCTCCACCACCCGGATTCAAGGGATTCAGGAGCAATTTGTGCCTCAGCCTCCTGAGTAGCTGGGATTATAGGCGTGCACCACCACACCATGCTAATTTTGTATTTTTAGTAGAGATGGGGTTTCACCATGTTGGCCAGGCTGGCCTCGAACTCCTGGCCTCAAGTGATCTGCCCGCCTTGGCTTCCCAAAGTGCTGGGATTACAGGAGTGAGCCACCACGCCCAGCCTAATATATCATTTTGGACCTATCATGTTGGCCAAAATGGGTACTCACTTTCTGAAGGACAGCATGTCCATTTACACACACACAAAACTATTTAAATTGCACATATGCTGCTATGGTTTGAATGTGTCTCCTCCAGAATTCATGTTGAAACTTAATCGTCAATGTAACAGCGTTAAGCAGTGTGGCCTTTAGGAGACGATTGAGTCATGAAGACTCTACCCTCATGAATGGGGTTAGCACCCTTATAAAAGGACTTGACACAGGGAATTTGCCTTTTTTTTTTTTTTGCCCCTTCCTTCCCTTCCTCCATGTGAGGACACAGCCATAGGATGCAACAACAAGGCACCATCTTGGAAGCGGAGACAGGGCTGTCATCAGACACCAGTCCTGCTGGTGCCTTGATCTTGGATGTCTCTGCTGCCAGAGCTGTAAGAAATAAATTTCTGGTTTTTATAAATTACCTAATCTAAGGTATTTTGTTATAGCAGTACAAATGGACTAACACAAATGCAAATTGATCCAGAAATTTCACTTTGGAGAATTTATTCTCAAGAAAATGTGGCCAGGCCCGGTGGCTCACACCTGTAATCCCAACACTTTGGGAGGCCGAGGTGGGCAAATCACCTGAGGTCAGGAGTTCGAGACCAGCCTGGCCAACATGGTGAAACCCTGTCCCTACTAAAAATACAAAAATTAGCCCGGCGTGGTAGTGCACGCCTGTAGACCCAGCTACTTAGGAGGCTGAGGCAGGAAAATTGCTCAAACCCGAGAGGTGGAGGTTGCAGTGAGCCAAGATCACGCTACTGCACTCCAGCCTGAGTGACAGAGAGACTCCATCTCAAAAAAACACAAAAGACAATGTCAGCAAAGATTTATGTACAAGGATAGTCATCATAGCCCTATTCAAACTAGGGAAAACAAACTATGTGTCCAAAAGAGGGGTTGGCTAAGAAATGTATTTGTTGACTAGAGTCCTACAAAGTCCCTGAAATTTATAGAAGAATATTAAAATGTATTTGTATGCACTATAGTATATATAGAGAGAACTATATACATCTTAGTAGCATGGCATTATAGGACATTTTTTCTTCATGTTTTGTGTGCGTCTGTATGGTTTAATTTTCTGGGTTCAGCTCATGTTACTTTTGTAATTAAAGACTAGCAGAACCAGGCTGAGTGCTGTGGCTCACACCTGTAATCTCAACACTTTGGGAGGCTGAGGCAGGAGGATTATTTGAGCTCAGGAGTTCGAGACCAGCCTGGGCAACAAAGCGAGGCCCTGTCTCTAGTAAAAATAAAAAATAAATAAAGACCAGCAGAAGAGTTATTGTAAGAGAATATTTCAGGCTTTCAAAGGAGAGAAAGAGAGAGAACACCTAAGCATTACTATTCAAAATGTCCTCAAATGGAACAAGAGCTCTCTGCTGAGAAGAACCCCAGAACCCCCAAACCCTCTTCTAGGAGGACAAACTCACTGGTTGATACAGTTTGGATCTGTGAGATTTGGTGGGGAACAAACCTCAAATCAAATTGTAATCCGCAATGTTGGAGGTAGGGACTGGTGGGAGGTGACTGGATCGTGGGGGCGAATTTCTCATGAATGGTTTAGCACCATTCCCCTTGGTACTGTCCTCATGATAGTGAGCTCTCATTAGATCTGGTTTCTAGCACCTCCCCCCTTGCTCTCTTGCTCTTGCTTCTGCCATGTGAGATGCCTTTTCCTTCTGCCATGATTGGAAGCTTCCTGAAGGCTCCCCAAAAGCAGAAGCTACTATACTTCCTGTACAGCCCGTAGAACTATGAGCCAGTGAAACCTCTTTTCTTTATAAATTACCTAGGCCCAGGCATTTCCTTATAGCAATGCAAGAATAGGCTAATACTTTGATTTTAAAGTAACTGACATCTTGCAGTTTGTGGAATGAGGTAGACTTTCAGTAGATGGAGAAAGCTGGGGAACCCTAGGCTGAGTAGGAGAAGAGATGAGATGACTGGAGAAGGCTGGCTGATGGGGATCGATGTGTCTGAGAAAAGAAAGTCTTATTCAGACAAGAGAGATGGGGAAGATCTGCTTCACTCACTTTCTCATTCAATCTTCAACTCAGGAACTCTCCCAATCCTGGGTTCTTCTGACACTTCCTAAATGTCCCCTATTTTAATAAAGGGTGTCAACATCCAAAACCTGGGACCTTAACCCTCCTTTTCCTTTATCTGCCCACATCCAGTCAATCATTATTGATTCTACATCCAAACTGCCACTCAAATCCAACCATATCTTCCCATTCCCAATGTCACTACCCTAGTCCAACTCATCTCGACCACTAAAACAGTCCCCAAACATTCTCTCCGACTGTTATCCATCTACCTGAGTGAGTTTTGTAAACATAAATCTACTCTGGCAGCTTCCCTACCCAAGACATGGCTTCCTGGGCCCTTAGGATAAAGTCCTTACCAGAGTTGACAAGGCTCTTTGTGATCTGGTCTTATCTCTTATACTTGTCCTGACCCCACTCCTACTTGAACCACATCCAGCCATACTCAGCTTCTCTAGTTCTCAGAACTAGAGCAGTTTTCCATCTTAGGGAAAACACTCTTTCGTCTAGCCAACTTGTTCTCATTTTCCTAATCCCAGCTTAAATGCTTTCCCCTTAGGGAAGCCTTCCCTCACCCCTGAGATTGAGGTAGATGCCTATTTAGTGCCCTCTATTTCCCTTTTTGTAACAAATATCATAGATGAGCCAGGCACAGTGGCTCACAGCTGTAATCCCAGCACTTTGGGAGACCGAGGCTGTCAGATCGCTTGAGCTCATAAGTTGAAGACCATCCTGGGCAACATGGCAAAACCCCATCACTACAAAAAGTACAAAAATTGCTGGGCATGGTGGTGCACACCTCTTGTCCCAGCTACTCGGGAGGCTCAGATGGGAGGACCACTTGAGCCTGGGGCTCAAGGCTGCAGTCAGCTATGATCTTGACACTGCACTCCAGCCTGAGTGACAGAGTGAGACCCTGTCTCAGAGCAAACATGCACACACACACACACACAAATATCATAGATGTCTTGTCTTCCCCTCTCAAATCTGCTCACTATGACAGGGACTGTGGCTGTCTTGTTGATCACAGTGTGCCCAGTGGCTAGCAAAATATCTCTTATCTTAAGAGATAAGTGGCTGGCACATAACAAATACTGAATAAATGGGTATTCAATTGGATTCACTTGGCTCCTTTATTTACCTTGTCCTTTTCTCTTTCTTTACCCCTCTTGGGTTACGGTTGCCAACACAACCTAGCCCTCTGATAACAGGCAGAACAAGCAGAGGAACTAGCTTACTCCTCCATTAAAATCTGGGCAAAGAGATGGGGTGTGTGTGTGTGTGTGTGTGTGTGTGTGTGTGTGTGTATCTATCCACTAGCCAAAGAAGTGATAGAGTTAAGATAGGCTAAAGAGTCCTTGTAGAGCCAGCAACTCCATTCAAAAGAGCAAGACCCTGTGTCAAAAATAAAAAATAAAAAAATCATGAGCTTGCACTGGGATTGAAAGTTAATAAAAGACTGTGAGATTTTGATGGCATAGATAAAAAAAAAACTAAAACCATGTCATTTGTTCCAACCAAGGTTGGCAACTTAAAACCAAGTAAAACAATGGCCTCTTTGAAAAGAGAAAACTATTTAAATTTCATGAAAAGCATTTTTAAAGGCATAGAATTAAAATATCTTCCCTCTTCCCCATGCAGATAATGCCGTAGTTCAGGGTCTCTCCTCTGATTGTGGCTAAGGGATGAGCCACTCCTATAGTGCCAGTCCTCAGTGAGAAAAGAGAGCATCTCTAGGCATAGTTTTCTCTCTTTCTCTAAAAATCCAATCATTTAGACAATCTAGAAAGAGGATAAAGTATTTGTATTGACGTCCCTGCCTCTTGCTGCTGTCTGCAAAAACCTACCATGAACACTGTTTCCAACAGAAACCATCGGGTTGAACTTACCCTCTACTGCAGATTATCTCTAGGGCTTCCAAGTTCCCATGGTAGGCTGCCAAGAGAGTAGGAGTCATGCCGTCTTCATCCGAAAGATTTAGATCTCGCTTGGTAGCCTCTTTTAGAAGTTCCAGGTAACTATCACTAGCAGCTTGGTGGTAACGAGTAGACATTTTTCCTGCTCACCAGAACTTGGCCAGATGTCTCTCCAGGCAGAGCAAGGTGTTGGCGGAGCAACCTTCCTATAGAGCTGGTTAATTAGTGACAAGGAAGAGTGTCACCAGGGGCAAAGCTCATTTCAACTGCTTCCTTTCACGGAAGGCAACAAGGTTCGAGGCACTGAACTTGGACCTTTTCTCTCTGGAATGGCCATGACGTTGACTATTGAAGACTGCTGTATTCATCTTGAGTGTTTGGAGGTACATTCAATTTTTCTATGTCCATTAGTTTCTTGAGTGTAATATTGGCCATCTAGGCACAGGATGTAAGAAATAATTTCTTAATAAAATGCAGAGCTACTCTAGTTCACTAGCTGTTTTTTCCAAAAAGAACAGCTTTATTGAGGTATAACATCATTAAATTTACCCATTTCATGCATACAATTCAATGATTTTTAGGACATTTATAGAGTTGCATGCCCATTATCATAATCCAGTTTCCATCAGCCCTTAAAGATCCCTCATGCCATTTGCTGTCAATCCCATTTCCACTCCCAACCTCAGGAAACCACAGTCTGCTTTCTGTCTCTATAGATTTGTTTTTTACGGGCATTTCAGACAAATGGAATCCTACAATATATAGTCTTTAGTGTATAGCTTGTTTCAATTCACATACTTTTTTGAGGTTTGTCATGTGTAGCATGTAATGGTTTCTTTCTTTTCACTGCTGAATAATATTCCACTGTGCTAACATACCACATGTTCTTCATCCATTCAATGTTTCATGAATATGATGAATATTTGGGTTGTTTCCATTTTTCAGTAATGATGAATAATGCTGCTATGAGCACTGATGTACAAGTCTCTGTGTGGACACATATTTTCATGTGTCTTGCGTATATATCAAGGAGTGAAACTGCTGGGTTGCATGGCAATTTACATTTAAATTTCAGAAGTTGCCAGACTGTTTTCCAAAGTGGCTGTACTACTTCACATTTCCACCAATAACGTATGAGGGTTTCAATTTCTCCACAACCTTGCCAGCCTTATTATTGCCTATCTTTTTGTTTATGGTCATCCTAGTGGATATGAAGTGGTCTTATTATGGCTTTAATTTTCAATTTCCTAATGACTAAGATATTGAGCATCTTTTCATGTGCCCATTAGCCATTCTTACATCTTCTATTCAAATCTTTTTGCCCAATTTTTAAGTGGTTGTCTTATTAATAAATTATAAGAATTATTTATATACTCTGGATACAAGTCCTATATCAGACATATTTGGAACAGAATGAAAATGAAAATACCACATATCAAGATTTATAGGATGCAGTTAAAGAAAAGCTTAGGGCAAAATTTGTAGTTTTTTATGCATATATGAGAAAGAAAAAAGATCTCAAATCAATAACTTAAACATATTATCAATAACTCAAGGGAAGGAGAAAAAGTATAGAAAAATGACTATAAGGAGTACAATATAAGACCAAAAAATTTCCAGATCTGTAATAAAAACAAAAGAAAATGGACTAAATTTATGATGTGGAAGACTCAGCCATGTCTTGTTTATAATAGACATATCTAAAATATAAAATTGCAGAAAGATTGAAAGCAAAAAATGGAAAAGTTATAGCAAGCAAATACTAACAAAACATTGGTGTACCCACATAGATGGTCTGCAACTTATGAGAGTTTGACCTAATTTTTCAACTTTATGATGGCACAAAAATGACAGGTATTTAGTATGCTTCTCAGCTCACAACTGAGTTATTATATCAACTTATGGTGGTTTTGCATTGTAAGTTGAAGAGCACCCGTATTGGTAGCAAGGAAAAATATAGCTTAAGCCAAAAAAATTTACTAGGCATAAAGAGAGATAATACATGATAATGAAAGGAACAATTAATCAAGAAACTATGATCGTTTTAAACTTGTATAAATTAAATAACACAGCTGCAAAAAAGGGAAAGCAAAAATTAAACAGAAAAAAAAAAACAAAACCACAATCATAAGGGAAGATTTCAGACATCATCATAATGTTCTATATCAGACTAAAGATTGGTATAGCTATAAAATATTTGGGCCGGGCACAGTGGCTCACACCTGTAATCCTAGCACTTTGAGAGGCTGAGGGGGTGCAGATCACGAGGTCAAGAGATTGAGACCATCCTGGCCAATATGGTGAAACCACGTCTCTACTAAAAATACAAAAATTAGCTGGGCATGGTGGCATGTGCCTGTAGTCCCAGCTACTCGGGAGGCTGAGGCAGGAGAGTCGCCTAAACCCGGGAGGCGGAGGTTGCAGTGAGCTGAGATCGCACCATTGCACTCCAGCCTGGTGACAGAGTGAGACTCCATCTCAAAAAAAAAAAAAAAGAAGAAAAACAGATTTGAACACAATTAACAAGCTTGATCTAACAGTCACATGGAGAAAGGACCCTGTGCCCAATAGTAAATGCATGTTTTTTCTAAGCACACAGAATATTTATAAAACCTGACCACTGAATAGAAGCAGTGCAGTTCTCGACAAATAACAAATAACAGGGTTCATGCAAACCGTGTTCTCTGAAGACACTGCAACTAAATTAGAAACCGCCATCCTTACATAACTCATCAACTATGCATATGTTCTCCTGTGGTGTATTTTTTACATTGTTTTCATCAAATACATATAATTTTACATTACATCTTTTCCACTCCTTAATCCATCATAAATATATCCCCATATTGTTACACAATCTTTAATATATTTAGATAATTGTCCACTAAACTGATGTGAGAAATATCTATTTTTGAAGCCTGTAACTGTATATTCCTCTTATCTCTTTTTGTCTAAGTTTTTATTCCAAGATAAATTATTTACCCACTCAGAAAAAGTACAAAGCTTTCATCTACAGTTTCTTCACAATAATAATGAGCTCCAAAGGTCACTGTTTGTTCCTTTTTCTGGCTTCTAGGTGAAGAGCAGTAGAAGCAGCCTGGAGGGCAGCATTATTTAGCTTTTTTTAAACATTGTTTTTAGCCCAGAGAGAGTGACATATCCAAACATGATTATGAATACTGTGAGAAAATGGTAAGGTTCTTCATCAAGTTTTGCATGAGCCACTTTAATTTAGATACAACTGCATTCATTAATGCACTTTGAAATTTAAAAACAGGTCAGGCGAGGTGGCTCACGCCTATAATCCTAGCACTTTGGGAGGCAAAGGTGGGTGAATCACTTGAGGTCGGGAGTTGAAGACCCACTTGGCCAACATGGCAAAACCCCATCTCTACTAAAATACAAAAATTATCTGGGCATGGTGGTGCACACCTGTAAGCCCAGCTACTCATGAGGCTGAGGCAGGAGAATTGATTGAGCCTGGGAGGCTGAGGTTGCAGTGAGCCAAGATCACACCACTGCACTCCAGCCTGGGTGACAGAGTGCAAAAAAAATAAAAAATAAAAATACATATAACCGATAGAGAACTTCTCAAAGATGTATTATTTGTAGTAGAATCCTAAGACTCCAGCCAAAGGGTCTGCTTTCAGAAGATAAGGATGAGGAAGAGGAAGAGAAAGAGAAGAATAGTGGCCACTAGGATGGTCATAAGCCAAATTAGGATGAGGATTGTCAAAGTCAAAATAAAAATTTAGAGCTGAATCTCTAAATTTAATGTTTTATTTGGAAAAAGACTTGCAATTTGGGATACACACATAGACCAGGTGGTCTTCAGTATGTCTGAAGAAGAAAAGAGAAGTTTAGAGGTTTTATTAACAAGAGAAATGTTACATATTGCTCTTCAAGAAAGTTCATTGGCACTAGTAAGGGTTTGGGGAGCTGGCAAGCTCTGATTAGTGGGCAAAATTTGTCCTAGAGTTGCAGCAAGTTATCTCAGCAGCTGTAAATAAAACTGCTCCCGGGTTACAGCAGGCAGTTCCAGCAGTCAGTCTTGCTGAGAATTACGTTCTTGGAGCAATTTTTATTTATTTATTTATTTTTTGTACTCGGAGTGCTTTCTCCCCCAACTCCACCACCCAGCCTCTCAACCCTGATTTAGTTGGGTATAACAAGAATGATGCAATTTGCGTGATTAAGTTTCACAGGATGGAGGCAAAGGGTAAAGAGGACAGAATAATTATAGAGATGGGGAAGAAGGATTGGAGATAGAAGACAAGAAAGAGAAAGAATTTCTCAGTTCCAGCAGTCCTTAGGACTAGAACTTAAAGTCTCCTGTGAAATGGCGAAATAACCAAACTTTCTTAAATGGTAAATATCCTGGCATCCTCTGGCACGCCCTTGGGAAAATTTCCTCCTTGGGAGAAGAATGGGGTGGCAGGGGCAGCGGGGGGTGGGGAAGTGGGGGCAGAGATAAGGATTTAAAACATTTTTCTGAACTTGAAGATCCTCCTTATCCTATCCCTTCAAGGTGAGGTTGGGAAGGAGGGTTGAAGACCTAGCGTTCATATAATCCAGGAAAAGTTACTCCATCTATTTGAGTCTCCATATCCTTGTGGATAAAACTGGGGGATGTTGCTAGTGATCATATCATCATTATCATCAGCATCAACTAACTTTAGTAAAGATGAAGAAATAAAATTTCTTGCAACCCATAAAGCATGTTTTTACAAACTAGAAGTAGTGTGATTGTGGCTTAGGGAACAGACAGAGGAAGTTTTAGCCCAGTAATCATTTTTGAATTCCTCAAAGCCCAAAGGAAACAAAATTGGTGGGAGATGGTAAGGGCAGAAATTAATAAAAAGAGCTAACACGAATTTGCATATAATGTAGACATTAATTCCTTGTGAGGAGTCATGGTAATTGTGGGGGCAGTTGTGGATTTTCTTGACTGTACTGATCTTGTGGAAATTAGTATTTGAGCGTGTTCCATCAGCATACAGCTGGACTCTTGGAAGGCCAGAGAAGAATATTTGCCAGACACACACTGGAGAGACTTTGAGGCTCGGACCTGAGTGGCAGTGACCCCAAGTCAAAGCTCTCATCAACCTTCCTGTTGGAGCCTCGCCATGCTCCTCATATCTCCCCATACTCCTGCACTACTAGTATGTCTCAACTTAGAGAAACATCCTGTCCATGACCTCTGTGTTCCCTTGACTCTGACTGACACTTAGGTTTAGACAGGCAGGTCTTATTTCCTCCTGCACTGTCCTAAAACTCTAGAACCTCAACCTATTATCTGGAACCCCAAGCAGTTGGTTATTTAATGATAAGAAGCCCTTCTCCACAGACACCACTTCTTTTTTGCCAAAGACCCAGAGAAAACATGGTTAATCTGCTTCTAGGGGCAGCACTTGGAGAGATTCTCTCATGAATGGTTCCCCTCCTCCCCCCAGAGCAAGGACATTGTCAGCTTCTCATTGCTGTGTTTATGATTTTGCAGTCTCCCCTAACATCATAACAGCTGACAGTAGCTGACAACTAGGTAGTCTTAAATAGGTGTTCCTTCTACCATGGAGTCCAATCCTGGCCCAGAGGAAGTAGCATTTGGATGAAGAATTTACCTGGAACTCTGACTATCTATAAAACAGAGTCATGTGTGTTCCTTTGCTCAGGGAGAGGAAAAGAAGGGACAGAGATGATGGTAGTTGATACTTCCAGTCTAACTCCAAGAAAAAAACAACACTTGCAAAGTACAAACCAAACTTCTTCCTCATTGTTCTGAAAAACCATTTGCTGCTAATTGGGAAAGAAATTCAATGGCTTGTGCAACCCAGAAACACATATTTTCAGTAATGAGATTGCCCCTGTGTCCTAAGAGATCTGGTTTTCAAAAGCAGCCTGTGTTTGATCTCTAAAGCTATTCATGTCTAATTAGAGAAGAAATTCACTTGTATGGTAGGGAAGCACATTTTTTTTTTTTACATAAGAAGGAAAAAGATCAGAGTAGAACACTGCTTTTAACAAGATTACTTCATCTAATGAGGATCTTATTATGAATTTTAATGAAAATAAAAACAGTAACAAAGTAAGGGAAATTAGAGAGTAATACAAAAGTCCTGTTGTTCCATAGAAAACTTGCAGGAACCAGGCAAGGACAAAAGAAGCCATCAGTAACACACTGCTGTATGCACTGCCCTTGGGTTTATGAGAGACTATCTGTTAAGGTAAAGATGTGCTCAAATATATTATCCAGAAAATGTCACTTACATGTGTATTCTTTTCTCTTTAGCACAATGATACAACTGTTCAACCTATTTGATATGGATTTCTCCTATTCGGAAGAAATTTCAACAACTTCACTTCTAACTTAAACACATTCATCGACTAGCCTGGCCAACATGGTGAAACCCCGTGTCTACTAAAAATACAAAAATTAGCTGGGCGTGGTGGCATATGCCTGTAGTCCCAGCTACTTGGGAGGCTGAGGCAGAAGAATCACTTGAACCTGGGAGGCAGAGGTTGCAGCAAGCCGAGATTGTGCCATTGCACTCCAGCCTGGGCGACAAGAGCAAAACTCCGTCTCAAAAAATAAATAAACAAACACATATAACACTGTCAAAATAAGGAGAAACTTTCTTTCCCACATTGAAAGTCATTGATGTTTTCCTTAAAAGCATTGTATCATGTTTGTATTCTTTAACAATCAAAAAGAATCATTGTCTGCCTTTTTGTTTCTTCTTTTCTAAATGAAAACATTTATAAAAATATTTAAGTGGATAAGTTGCCTATTGAAATTGTAATGTCCCTGAAGTATTGGTTGAGCTTAATTTATTCATATAAGTTTCAAGCCATTCAAAGGCCTATTTTTCTGGCAGAAAACTAAAGACAGAGCTGTTATTGTACCATCTGGTTTGCATGAGGAATCTCTTGGCATCTCTTAACTGCACATTTTATAAATGCTAAATCCCAGATGGCATACATTGTAACAGTGAAGAGTTTTATAAAGGCTTCCAAAAACAAATTCTTTCAAATTTGAATACTGGATAGTCTAAGCAGGGGCTAGGAATTTAAATTCTACACTTGATTAAACTGGCTTTGTTAGCTGAACAAATTTCCCTTTTTTCTTATGTCTTTCCTTCTTCCTAATTATTGGTTCTGTGACTTGAAAATTTCAATCCATGTAATTCTTCTACCAACAGGTCCCCTCTATAACTCAAGTTCTAGAAAAACTGCAGGAACGACAATCATTGGAAAAACCTATGTTAGGTGCCATTTTGTTTCAAAGATGGTAGAATTTACCACAAGGGAGGTGTGTTATAGCATCCATTAGCAGATCATCAAATACCATCAAAACCGTTCAACTCTTACAAAGCTGATGGTTGGATTGGAAAGACAAGCAAATGTAAACTCCAAGCATTGTGTTGAAATAAAGCCAGAGTAGAATAATGATTGAGAACATGGGGTCTGAAGTCAGAGACTGACAGATATTAAGCCCCAGATTGGATCTTCCCATTAAGTTGGGCAAATTACTTCTCCCTAAGCTTTAGTTTCTTCATCAGTAAAATAAAGACAGTACTTTTCTCTTTAAAAGAGAATCATTCACAGGGTTGTTGCAAGTAATTACTGAATATTTGTAAAATACTAAGTACAGTTTATGGTGTGTAGTCAGCACTTAATTAAAGTAAATTAATAGTAGTACTAGCACTAGGAGAAAGAAAGTTTCTCCTTTCTTTAAGTCAATCTATATAAATGCAGCATTTTCTTAAAACTTCTCTTTTCTCTGCATTTTCCTTCTCAATAACAACAGCCGAGACCTAGTTTTGTTTTTTTTTTTTTGTCCTACCCCTTATCATGGTATAATAAAAATAATATATATTTTACAGTCACACAGAATTGAATTTCAATCTGGGGTTTTGTAATAGTTTACTAGGACTTCCATAACAAAGTACCACAGACTGAGTGGCTTAAACAAATTTATTTTCTTACAGTTCTGAAAGCCAGAAATCTGAAATCAAGGTGTGAGCGTGGTTGGTTCCTTTTGAGGGCTGTGAGGAAAGGACCTGTTCCAGGCCTCTCTCCTGGAAAAAGACTTGCAAATGGCCATTTTCTCCTTGTGTCTTCATGTCATCTTCCTCTTCACATGTCTGTGTCCAAATTTTCTCTTCTTATAAGGACACTTGGTCCTTATAAGATGGTCATATTGATTAGAGCACACCCTAATAACTTCATTTAACATCATCACCTCTGTAAAAGCTGTATTAGTCTGTTTTCACACGGCTATAATGAAATACCCGAGACTGGGTAATTTATCAAGGAAAGAGGTTTAATTGACTCACAGTTCCAACATGGCTGGGGAGGCTTCAGGAAACCCAATCCTGGCAAAGGCAAAGGGGAAGCAAGCATCTTCCACACACAGTGGTAGGAGAGAGAATGAAGGAGGAACTTCCAAACACTTATAAAACCATCAAATCTCATAGGAACAAACTCACTATCACTAGAACAGCATGGGGGAAATCACCTCCATGATTCAATCACCTCCCTCCCTCAGCACGTGAGAATTACAATTTGAGATGAGATTTGGATGGGGACACAGAGCCAAACCGTATCAAAGGCTATCTCCAAATACAGTAACATTCTGAGGTGCTGGGAATTAGGACCTCAACATGAATGGTGGGGGAGATATATTTTCAGCCCATAATAGCTTTCTACTACTATCAACTGGAGGAAAATTCACCTCAAGGAGACTTCATTTCATTTTCTTACTCCTATCTGGATTATTTATAAATCAGTGCTTAGCACAAGGTCTATACATTGTGGCCTTGACAAAAACTTTCTTCCCTTCTTCTTAGAAAGACTCATGAACTCACATTGTTTCTGGGAACCACCTACTCTTTCCCAGAACTCTGGATGAAACGTGAACGATGTACATGTGGCTTACAAAACCTGCAGAGGACCAAATGAGGAAGGAGTGGCTTACAGAGCTATGATCAAAGGAGACTTAGCAGGACTCAGCTGTTATTTGAATGGTGGGGGACATTTTATGGAAAAGATGCTTTAAAGATTATACAAAGGTGGCCAGGCATGGTGGCTCACACCTGTAATCCCAGCTCTTTGAGAGGCCGAGGTGGATGTATCACCTGAGGTCAGGGGGTCAAGACCAGCCTGGCCAACATGGTGAAACCCCATCTCTACTAAACATACAAAAATT
This sequence comes from Homo sapiens, assembly GCF_000001405.40. Lineage (NCBI taxonomy): Eukaryota > Metazoa > Chordata > Mammalia > Primates > Hominidae > Homo > Homo sapiens. The sequence goes on along the minus strand of NW_017852933.1, from coordinate 48,357 downwards.
AGCTGGGTGTGGTGGCACGCACCTGCAGTCCTAGCTACTTGGAGGCTGAGGCAGGAGAATCACTTGAACCCAGGAGACAGAGGTTGCAGTGAGCCAAGGTTGTGCCACTGTACTCCAGCCTGGGCAACAAGAGTGAAACTCTGTCGCAAAAAAATAAAAAAAGATTATACAAAGGTGAGAATCAACTTCTTTAAACACAGGGGAAAAAGTAAAAAGCAGAGATGAGGGGAACCCTGGATTCAATTCCCAGGACTGTCACTAAGTAACTGTAGGACCTAGAGTTATTGTCCCTATCTGCAATCCAGGTTCCTTGCCTCTCATATAAGGAGGTAGCAACCAAATTCTGTATCAGTCAGGTTTCATCAGAGAAGCAGAACCATTCTGAGTGATATAGAATAAAGGGTTTATTGCAGAGATTAAGCTTATACCTGGAAGCCAGGTAAGCTGTCTAGTAAGGCTATTTCTTCTGCACCAGATGTTAGACCCAAAGTCCGTAGGGCCAGCAATTGGGAAGTAAAGATGGAGAGGAAGTAAAGAAAAAGAACAAATTAGAATCTGCAGAGACAAATTGGAACCCCAGAGAATAAAACGAAACCCACGCCTGTCTCTCACCACCCCCAACCTCGACGACACAGGTGTCTACAGGATAAGCTGCCACCTTTCACCATAGACAAAGCTGCAAACGCACCTGGCCTAGGATTCAGAGAAGCTGAAGGGGGAGATCTGGACGGAGTGGGAGGAGCTGCAGGTTCGCCTCCTGCCCCACGCCCACAGGGTGAGCAGCAGCTCAGCCACTATATGCATGGTCTCTCCATGGTTTTGGAAGTTACAGGCTGCTGGTGGATGGGAATAAATATGGCCAGAGATATGTCTTGTTTGGCAGGCACAGGATTTTGAAAATATCTTTAACATTAAATATCAACATTAAAATTGAGGAAATTGAATGGAATCTGGATTTTCAGCTTCCAGATGAGAAACTGAAGATCATGACAATTACCTCTGCCTGAGCTGGGAAGCAGTTCTTTTTTTTCTTTTTTCTTTTTTTTTAAGATGCAGTTTTGCTCTTGTTGCCCAGGCTGGAGTGCAATGGCGCGATCTCAGCTCACTGCAACCTCCGCCTCCTGGGTTCAAGTGATTCTCCTGCCTCAGCCTCCAGAGTACCTGGGATTACAGGCATGCGCCACCATGCCCGGCTAATTTTTTTGTATTTTTAGTAGACAGGAGGTTTCTCCGGGTTGGTCAGGTTAGTCTCGAACTCCCAACCTCAGGGGATCCACCCACCTTGGCCTCCCAAAGTGCTGGGATTACAGGTGTGAGCCGCTGTGCCCAGCCAAAGCAGTTATTTCTTTAGATGCAGCCTGGACTCAACAGTCCACATCACCCCCAGCTGCCCAGAGCTGTAATCCTGACCCTGAGGGCAATAGTTAGTCACTTGCCATTCTCATCACACTAAAGCCATTTCCTTGCACCCAACCGACTTCACTCATGTACAGTATTTGCCTTGCTCCAGTAACCATGTCGAATGGCCTTTTGAGTGTGACAATGTCCTATCATTTCCTCTCACATCAGTTACATCCTAACCCTCCCTCATTTCCTTCTGTGCCAATCAGTCACCAAATACATATTATGCGCCTGTGTGAAAGCTCTTCTAGTCCCCATTTCCAGCATGTCTGGCCAATTCTCAAGCATTAAAAAGGCTGTTCTCTTGGGGATATGGGGATATTTACACCTGCACTCACAGGGTTATAAGACTTAAGCAAACTTGCATATTGCCCAATTGCAGTTGAATTACTGATCAGTAGAAAGAACACACACACACTTGCAGGATAATTTCCCAGGTTAGCCAAGGATACAGAAGTGGCCACGCAGAGCAAAATTAGCTGCTATGTGTTTTAGTAACACTTTATCCTGGTCCCATTGTGGAGAAAAGAGAGATCAGACTGTTACTGTGTCTATGTAGAAAGAAGTAGACATAAGAGACTCCATTTTGTTCTGTACTAAGAAAAATTCTTCTGCCTTGAGATGCTGTTAATCTGTAACCCTACCCCCAACCCTGTGCTCCCAGAAACATGCTGTGTTGACTCAAGGTTTAATGGATTTAGGGCTATGCAGGATGTGCTTTGTTAAACAAATGCTTGAAGGCAGTATGCTTGTTAAAAGTCATCACCACTCCCTAATCTCAAGTACCCAGGGACACAAAACACTGCGGAAGGCCGCAGGGACCTCTGCCTAGGAAAGCCAGGTATTGTCCAAGTTTTCTCCCCATGTGATAGTCTGAAATATGGCCTCGCGGGAAGGGAAAGACCTGACTGTCCCCCAGCCCAACACCCGTAAAGGGTCTGTGCTGAGAAGGATTAGTAAAAGAGGAAGGCCTCTTTGCAGTTGAGATAAGAGAAAGGCACCTGTCTCCTGCTCGTCCCTGGGCAATAGAATGTCTCAGTGTAAAACCGGATTGTATGTTCCATCTACTGAGATAGGAGAAAACTGCCTTAAGGCTGGAGGTGAGACATGCTGGCGGTAATACTGCTCTTTAATGCACCAGATATGTTTCTGTATGTGCACATCAAGGCACAGCACCTTTTCTAACTTTGTTTATGACACAGAGACATTTGTTCACATGTTTTCCTGCTGAACCTCTCCCCACTATTACCCTATTGTCCTGCCACATCCCCCTTTCCGAGATGGTAGAGATAATGATCAATAAATACTAAGGGAACTCAGAGACTGGTGCCGGCATGGTCCTCCGTATGCTGAGCGACGATCCCCTGGGCCCACTTTTCTTTCTCTATACTTTGTCTCTGTGTCTCTTTCTTTTCTTAGTCTCTCATCCCACCCGACAAGAAAACACCCACAGGTTTGGAGGGGCAGGGCACCCCTTCATCCCATAGTGTCATTGCTGTGTGGGCATCTTACACACTCTCTGAACAAGCAGAGTCCTGCCATAGTTAAAAACAGCAGCTTATTTCTTGCTATATCACTGCCCCTTTATATGCAAGCTACTCTAGAAAAACATATATATGTATCTATATGCATGCATAAACATACACATACACATACCACTAATCTCTTACAATATTGACTTCTCTTGGTTCTTGAAACAACCTCAGCATAGGCAAACCCACATACCCATCTAGGATAAAGACAACCAAATGAGTATCCAGGTATTCTCCAACAAGAATCAAACAAGTAGAAGAAAACTGCAGAGCTCGAAGACAAGGCTTTTGAGTTAACCCAATCCAACAAAGACAAAGAAAAACGGATTTTAAAAATGAACAAAGTCTCCAAGAAGTTTGGGAGTATGTTAAATGACCAAACCTAAGAATAATTGGCATTCCTGAGGAAGAAGAGAAATCTAAAAGTTTGAAAAAGATATTTGAGGGAATAATTGAGGAAAACTTCCTTGGCCTTGTTAAAGATCTAGACATCCAAATACAAGAAGCTCAAAGAACACCCAGGAAATTCACCGTAAAAAGATTATCATGTAGGCACATAATGATCAAATTCAAGATGAAGGAAAGAATCTTAAGAGCTGTGAGGCAAAAGCATCAGGTAACCTATAAAGGAAAAACTATCAGATTAACAGCAGATTTCTCAGCAGAAACCCTACAGGCTAGAAGGGATTGGGGTCCTGTCTTTAGCCTTCTTAAACAAAATAATTATCAGCCAAGAATTTGGTATCCAGTGAAACTATGCTTCATAAATGAAGGAAAAACACAGTTTTTTTTCAAACAAATGCTGAGAGAATTTGCCACTACCAAGCCAGCACTACAAGAACTGCTAAAAGTAGCTCAAAATCTTGAAACAAATCTTCAAAATATACCAAAATAGAACCTCCTTAAGGCATTGTCTCACAGGACTTATAAAACAAAAACACAATGAAAAAAAAAACACAAGGTATTCAGGCAAAAACTAACACAACGAATAGAATAGTACTTCACTTCTCAATACTAACACTGAATGTAAATGGACTAAATGCTCTACTTAAAAGATATAGAATGGCAGAATGAATAAGAATTCAGCAACCAAGTATCTGCTGTCTTCAAGAGACTCATCTAACATGTAAGGACTCACATAAACTTAAAGTAAAGGGGTGAAAAAGGACATTCCATGCAAACGGACATCAAAAGTGAGCAGGAATAGCTATTCTTGTATCAGTCAAAACAGACGTTAAAGCAACAACAGTTAAAAAAGACAAAAAGGCAAGGTGTGGTGGCTCATGCCTATAATCCCAGCACTTTGGGAGGCTGGAGGGGGCAGATCACTTGAGGTCAGGAGTTCGAGACCAGCCTGGCCAACATGGTGAAACCCCATCTCTACTAAAAGTACAAAAATTAGCTGGGCGTGGTGGCACATGCCTATAATCCCAGATACTCAGGAGGCTGAGACCGGAGAATCTCTTGAACCTGGAAGACGGAGGTTGCCATGAGCCGAGATCACGCCATTGCACTCCAGCCTGGGCGACAGAGCAAGACTCCATCTCAAAAAAAAAAAAGACTTCTGGGCCTTCTGTCTTCCATATATTGATGCCGCCCTACCTTTATATTTATAGATCGATAAAGCTTTCATCCTAGTTCTTTCTGAATTTATTACTGTCAGAAGGCTCATTCAACTTGGATCTGTCTAAAGGACCCAAGGGGAAAACAACATTAACATTGTATATTAGATTGGTAAAGGAACTACCATATGATGTTCGAGAACATTCTCATTGACATAGTCTATCTTATTTTTCCAAGTTAAATTCATATTTGATATTTGAAAGCTATTTTGAGCTGCATTAGCATAACTGGGAGAAGTTTTTATATTATTTATCTTATACTGCTAAAATTCTAATTAATGTCATCTTGTACTTTTAAAAGACAAGTGAACTGCAAGAGAAGCACAGAGTTTTAAAACACCCCCGCATGCACAGACACACACACACAGCGAGAGAGAGAAAATTGAAATGAATTAGAAAGGGCAGGGAGAGGCATCAGGAGACCTGGTTTCTCACTGGAGCTCTATCTGCTACTAACTTGGTAAATGACCTGGAGCAAGTCACTAAACCTCTTTAGATATTAAACCTCTTAATATCTTCATTTTACCATAGGGAGTTGGACTTTGTTTCAAAGCCTCAAGTTCCGGATCCATTCATTTCGCCTTTTTACCTTTATACTACTGAGTTTTCATCCTTGAGCCTTAGACTCTGTAACTTAGGTAGCTCACTCAGAAATCAGTCAAAATTATTATTAAAAAAAATTTTTTTTTGTCCAGGCACGGTGGCTCACACTTGTAATCCCAGCACTTTGGGAGGCCAAGGCGGATGGATCACCTGAGGTCAAGAGTTCAGGACCAGCCTGGCCAACATGATGAAACCCCATCTCTACTAAAAATACAAAAAGTAGCCAGGTGTGGTGGCACACGCCTGTAGTCCCAGCTGCTGGGGAGGCTGAGTCATAAGAATAGCTTGAACCTGGGAGGCAGAGGTTGCAGGGAGCACAGATGGTACCACTGGACTCCAGCATGGGTGACAGAGTGAGACTCTGTCTCAAAAAACTAAAACTAACTAACTAAATAAATTTTTAAGAGACAGGGTCCTGCCATGCTGTCGAAGGTGGTTTTGAATTCCTGGCCTCAAGTTATCTTCTAGCCTCAGCCTCCCAAAGTGCTGGGATTATAGGCGTGAGCCACCATGCCCAGTCTATAATTATTTAATTGGTTATTTTATCACTAAAACAATTCAACCAAAACAGAGGGAATAAAGTTGTTGGAACCTCACCAATGCACCTTAATGTAGACTTTCTCATTGTCTGAACTAGTACCCTGGGTTCTTTGTCCTACCTCCTAGAAAATTAAGGAACATGGACACAAAGGTGGGTTGGAGTGAAAGTTTAATGAGGGAAAGAGGCCAGGTGTGGTGGCTCACACCTCTAATCCCACCAGTTTGAGAGGCCGAGGTGGGTGGATCACCTGAGGTCAGGAATTTGAGACCAGTCTGGCCAATATGATGAAACCCCATCTCTACTAAAAATACAAAATTAGCCGAGTGTGGTGGGGCATGCCTGTAATCCCAGTTACTTGGGAGGCTGAGGCAGGAGAATCTCTTGAATCCAGGAGGCAGAGTTTGCAGTGACCCGAGATCACACCATTGCACTCCAGCCTGGGCAACAAGAGCGAAACTCCGTCTCAAAAAAGAATAGTAATAAGTGAAAGAAAAAAATTCTCTGCAGCAGAGAGGGGAGTCCAAGTGGATTGCCAGGTTACAGCTGAATTCAAAAGCTTTTTTAAGAAACTCCTCTCTCATCTCTAGCAGTTTGAGTAACTTCTCATCAGTAAAGCTGTCTGTGCAACTCCCGGTATCTTACGCAACTGTGGGCATGTATCTAGGCAAGCACAAAGCCTGCGTCTCTTGTTTTGATAACTGCGGGTTTGTTTTAGGTAAGCCCCCCTCCTCCCTGTGTAAGTTCCCACCATGGATATGTCTGAAAAGGGGAGGAAACTTTTTCCTAGGAGCTCGCTAATTAGACAAAGTTGCTTATCTGTGTGCAGGTGCAGCCTGTTTATCCCAAATGATTTTTCCTTTTCTTCTCCCTCAAAGTCAGAAAGGCAGGAGTTACTTATTCTTTAAGGGCTGAAGGAAGAAAACTCCCACCTTTGCACTCTGAAAGTTCACTGAAAATAAACTGACCAAAGGCAGATGAATAAGAGAAAAATTCATACAAAATTATTAATGTGCAGGGGAAGGTGGGAATCACAGAGTAATTGCCCCTAAACCCTCAGTGGGGCACAGATGCATATATACGGTGGGTTTTCTTTTTTTTTTTTTTTTGAGATGGAGTCTTGCTCTGTTGCCCAGGCTGGAGTGTAGTGGTGCAATCTCGGCTCACTACAGCCTCTGCCCGCCGGGTTCAAGCGATTCTCCTGCCTCAGACTCCTGCGTAGCTGGGATTACAGGCACACACCACCATGCCTGGCTAATTTTTTATATTTTTAGTAGAGACAGGGTTTCGCCATGTTGGCCAGGCTGGTCTCAAACTCCTGACCTCAGGTGATCCACCTGCCTCGGCTTCCCAAAGTGCTGGGATTACAGGTGTGAGCCACCGTGCCTGGCTGTATATACAGTTTTTCATAGGGGAGGGAGGAGATGGGGACTGTAGACAATTCTCTTGAGGGGCAATAATGATTATCAGGGAGAATGAACAGACCAGGGAGAGAGAAATTAACTTGTACATAATTATCTTTGGAATTTGACTGAGCTTCAGAGGCTGACATTATCTTGTGGAAAAGTCTGTCCATGTGTGGTTACATTCCTTAGTCTCCTTTCCTGCTATAGATAATGAGATTTCAGGGAGGGGATAGAAGGCAATAGTGTTTCTTCTGTTAAGAAGCTGCCTTGGCTGGGCCCAGTGGCTCATGCCTGTAATCTCAGCACTTTGGGAGGCCAAGGCAGGTGGATCATTTGAGGTCAGGAGTTTGAGACCAGCCTGACCGTCATGGTGAAACCCTGTCTCTACTAAAAATACAAGAAAAAAAAAATAATTAGCCATGGTTGCTGGCGTGCACCTGTAATCCCAGCTACTTGAGAGGCTGAGGCAGGAGAATCACTTGAACCTGGGAGGTGGAGGTTGCAGTGAGCCCAGATCATGCCATTGCACTCCAGCCTGCGCAACAAGACCAAAGCCCTGCCAAAAAAAAAAAAAAAAAAAAGAAGGAGCTTTCTTTTTTTTTTCCCCAGAGAGAGTTCCTTCCTGTACTTTGGGGGTGGAAAGGGAACAAGGCAAGGATAGAGAGACCTTGATTCTGAGGCTTATTTCTGAAGCCTTTTAATTTTCCAAAGCACTTGGCATGCCCAGGCACATTTGGGGAATTGTTTTCTGTGCTCCAACCCTCCCATCTCCTTAATCCTATTCCCGGTGATGATATTCAATGTATTTAAAACCCATACAGCAAAAGCACGAACAAGTCAGAATAGACAATGGTCGCAAATGCCCAGCACAGCCACGTGGACTCCCCGGACCCTGGCAACCCTCTCCTTTCCTGGATGATGCTGTCGATTCTCTGGGACAACTTTCTTGACTTGTAATCCAAATACATATGTATAGACCCACATGCAGACACATAAAGTATAAATATACACATAAGTTTGAGAAAGAAAAGAAACTTTTTATCTGAAGAATGCAAGTCCCTTTAAATTATCAGGCCCAGAGAGGCATTGAAACGTGACAGCAGTCACACCTCACTCCCTCGGGCTCAGTAATTATCTCTTGGAGCTACTTGATATGTGGGCTCTAGACTGACACCAAGTAGCCATAAAATTAACCTAACTATGCCATACACTGGACATCATAACTCATACCATATGCTGGACGCCATTAATCATACCCTATAGTTCAACAATGTATAGCCAATCACTAATCAGTGTTTTTTTTTTTTTTTTGAGATGGGATCTTGCTATGCTGCCCAGACTGCCTTAAAAGTCCTGGGCTCAAGCTATCCTCCCACCTCAGCCTCCTGAGTCACTGTGACTACAGGTGTGAGCCACTGTACCCAGCTAATCAGTGTTATTTCTGTAAATCAATGAGTCAAGAAACACTGTATCAGCCACTAATCCCAGCACTTTGGGAGGCCAAGGTGGGCGGATCACGAGGTTAGGAGACCATTCTGGCTAACATGGTGAAACCCCGTCTCTACTAAAAATACAAAAAATTAGCCAGGAATGGTGGTGGGCGCCTGTAATCCCAGCACTTTGGGAGGCTGAGGCAGGTGGATCATGAGTTCAGGAGATCAAGACCATCCTGGCTAACACGGTGAAACCCCATCTCTACTAAAAATACAAAAAATTAGCTGGGCGTGGTGGTGGGCGCCTGTAGTCCCAGCTACTCGGGAGGCTGAGGCAGGAGAATAGCGTGAACCTGGGAGGCGGAGCTTGCAGTGAGCTGAGATCGTGCGACTGCACTCCAGTCTGGGCGACAGAGCAAGACTCTGTCTAAAAAAAACAAAAAACAAAACAAAAAAAACACCCACTTGTGACAAAAGTGGAGAACTCACCAAGGCAACTTGGAAGTGTTTCCTGGGCAGCTGTCCACACTTTGCCTCAAGTAAACTCTTTAAAACTATATTCTCTTCTCCTTCCTTTAGGTCGACAGGTTTTTCATTTTCCTATTAAAGCAAAACATGAAAGCATAGTAGATATATAGCCCTGAAATTCCAGTTTTATTGCAGACATCTTTCATGTCAGTACTCACAGATCTGAACGAACTCATAGAATCATTTGCAGTAGCTGAAGAGTATTCCATAGTTTATCCAACCATCTCTAGATGGTGATATTTAGGTTGTCTTTTATAAATACTTTTATAATTGTTGTGGAAAACAAGGGCAGCAGATTCAGAATTTAAGAATTATAAACTGTCATTTATAAGAACCACACTTCAGAAAGGAAGACATCTGCCCAAATGAGGCAACAACAAAACTATAGTCTTTCTTTTATGTATGAGAACCCCGTCAAGAAATGCCTTGTGATTAGCAAGAGAGAAATGGTTTCATGATACATAGAACCCAGGGCAGAGAAGAGGAGAAGGAACACCTTGTAATAATAAATCAGCAAACTTTAAGAGGTTCATTGAAAAGAGTGTGGAACACATATATTTGAACGAGGTCTGCTGTTTGTTTACTGCCTTTTTTTTTTTTTTTTTTTTGAGACAGAGTTTCACTCTTGTTGCCCAGGCTGGAGTGCAGTGGCACAATCTTGGCTCACTGCAACCTCTGCCTCCTGGGTTCAAGCGATTCTCCTGCCTCAGCCTCCCGAGTAGCAGGATTTACAGGTGTGTGCCGCCATGCCCAGCTAATATTTTTGGTAGAGACAGGGTTTCACCATGTTGGCTAGGCTGGTCTCAAACTCCTGACCTCTGGTGATCCACCCGCCTCAGCCTCCCAAAGTGCTGGGATTACAGGCGTGAGCCACTGCACCGGGCCTATTTAGCGCAATATTTTTTTAAATTTAATTTTAATTTCCAGGATACATGTACAGGACATGCAGCTTTGTTACATAGGTAAACGTGTGCCATGGTGGTTTGCTGCACCTATCAACCCATCACCTAGGTATTGAGCCCCGCATGCATTAGCTATTTATCTTGATGCTCTCCCTGCCCCCACCCCCCAACCCCTGTCACCAGGACCCAGTGTGTGATGTTCCCCTCCCTGTGTCCATGTGTTCTCATTGTTCAGCTCCCACTTATAAGTGAGAACAGAATGTTAAGAATCATTTTTGTAATAACTTTAGTTTTTCCTACCTCCTGATAGGAGACACTGTTTTACGGAGCAGCTATTTCTTCCTGTGTTCAAAGTCAGTTGCTGAACAGATGGTAGCTTCCTGCTTTTCCGGAGCAGAATCCTAGACATGGATGCTCCTGGGCCCAGAGCCATTTGTTCGGTGGCTGTCCCCAGCACACCACAGGTCTGGGTTAGGTGAGACAAACAAAATTAATCTCTGGTGCACATACCAGCTTCACCAGCCCACAGCGGGCTTTCTCACCACATCTCCTGCTTGGGGTCTCTGTGCTGCCCCTTAACCTTTTAGAAACCCCAAATTTGGGGGCTCTGACCAAAGCTGCCCTTTCCAAGGCAAAAACTTCCCGCTCTGGAGAAAGACACCATCTCGAGGGGAGTGAGTAGCGCGGTGGGAAGGGAGGTGGGGTCTGAGGGAGGCTGAATAAGCACATTAACCCATCACTTCTCTGACCACCTTCTCAATAGGGCTCTGAGTCTCACGTCTATGCTCCTTTTTCCTCTAATGTCTTATCATAGTCTTAACCATTGTGGCAATAAATTATATTTGTAGAAAAGGTGCCACTTTTCAGAAAAATATGCATAGAAGGAGAAACTATTGCTATCATGCTTTGGCTATAAAATGAAATCCTTTTACCATCTCTATCCCCAAAAACTTATCTGTATTTTGCTCCTTCTTCCCAATTCCGCTGGGATGTAATCTACTCAATTCCCGTAAGGAGGTTAACCACTGGCCACCACAGATTTTCTCGCCTCGCTCCCTCCAAGTATTTTCCAGGTTTTCCTGATTATAAGAATCACCTGTGGTGCTCGTTAAGTAAATATTTCCCAGGCACATCTTCTGGAGAGTCTAATTCAGCAGCTTTTGGGTGGGACCCTGGAATCTGTGATATTAATGAGAGCTCCATGTGATCCTTTTGATCAAGGAAGTCAGGGAAACAGTTAATCTCCAATGTTATTTCAGATGCCTCAGGTTACACCTCAAAGGCAACACATGAATCAATACAGTTTAGGATGATGCAAAAATAATTGCAGTTTTTGCCATTAAAATTAGTGGCAAAGGGCCGGGCACAGTGGCTCACGCCTGTAATCCCAGCACTTTGGGAGGCTGACACGGTTGGATCACTTGAGGCCAGGAGTTCGAGACCAGCCTGGCCAACATGGTGAAACCCTGTCTCTACCAAAAATACAAAAATTAGCTGGGCTTGGTGGTGGGCGCCTGTAATCCCAGCTACCCGGGAGGCTGAGGCAGGAGAATCGCTTGAATCCAGGAGGCAGAGGTTGCAGTGAGCCAAGATTGCGCCACTGCACTCCCACCTGGGCAACAGAGCAAGACTCCATCTCAAATACATACATACATACATAAAAGTAGCGGCAAAAACTGCAATCACTTTTGCACCAGCCTAATAATTGCAAGTGTCACCCACCACTTGAATGGAGTCTAAGCCTTATATCCACCTATTTTGGAACATGGGCTGCAGACATCTAGTTATCTCAAAGAGTGTGAGAGATGTTGAAAAAACACAACCATCAGGCCTCAGGAAATCTGAGTTCTCCACCTGGTCCCTGACATTGTTGGGGCAAGTTGCCTTGCCTCAGTTTCCCCACTGGGAAACTTCCAAGTGCTTTACAACAATATAACATTCTTATTAGATCACTACTCCCTTTTACCCAGAAGTTTTACTTTGAGGAATTTATCTTGAGGGTTACCCAAGGATATGTATCAGAATGCTCATCATGTTACTGCTTATAATGATGAAAAATTACAAGCCACCTTATGCTCATAATTAAGGAAATTATATAAACACAGATTTATCTCAAATTGAATATTATGCCACCCTAAAATGGTAACAGAGAGCTTTATGTTTAATAGTTATAAAGTGACAGTAGCAGATTACAAAACAGTATTTAAACTTTCCTCCCAGTGTTTTAAAAAAATTGTGTGTGGTGTTTGTAGAAACATGTCTAAAGTTACTCACCTAAATATTAGCAGTGGCACTATTATGAGTGACTTTTGCCTTTTCTCTGTATCCTTCTGAAATTGTATCTTTGCGGTAAGCTTAAGCTTTTACACTTGGGGGTCAACAAGGCTTCATTCATTTTTTTAAAGACACTTCCTGTGCATTATCAGGGTAACTTCTGCAGTAGCCAGAAGACTAGATGTTACTTAAAAGGTTTTAGGGTAGGTGCAATGGCTCACGCCTGTAATCCCAGCACTTTGGGAGGCCGAGGCACGTGGATCACCTAGGTCAGGAGTTCGAGACCACCCTGACCAACACGGTGAAACCCAATCTTTACTCAAAATACAAAAATTAGCCAGGTGTGGTGGCGTGCACCTGTAATCCCAGCTACTCAGGAGGCTGAGGCAGGAGAATTGCTTGAACCCAGGAGGCAGAGGTTGCAGTGAGCCGAGATTGCACCAGTGCACTCCAGCCTGGGTGACAGAGTGAAACTGAATCTCAAAAAAAAAAAAAAAATGTAGTGGTGTGAACAAGACTTGTTTTTTTCTCAATAAAGCCCATGATTCTCTTTGGCTCTACATTGCAGTTGTAAATAATTTGCCCAAAAGATCCTAATTTCCCCCATAGTTATAGGGAAAACACCAATTCACTCACCTGGAGCTGATTTCAGCAAACTCTGATTTCATGCCTGGCCCACAGGGCAGCTGGCAGAATACCCGGCGCAAGCTGTCAGGAATCAGAGGCCACTTCCTTCCCCAATCCTTCCGTTTCAGCTGGGAGAATGGGACAAGATTCAGGTGCCCCCAATGGGGAGAGGGTGTGGATGCGGCTGGCTTCCTGCTATAAAAACACAGAGCAGCCTACCCTCTACCTGGTTGATCTGGTAGTGTCTTCTGCTATGGCGTGCAGGCAGAGAGGAGGCTCTTGGAGTCCCTCAGGCTGGTTCAATGCAGGCTGGAGGTGAGTAATTCTGGAAGTGGAGGGAGGGGGTATGGTAGCTTTGTTTGTTAAAGTCCATTCTTCCTTGACTATCTCCCTGTCTCTTTCCAGCACCTACAGGTCGATTTCTCTCTTCTTCGCCCTTGTGACTTCAGGGAACTCCATAGATGTTTCTCAGTTGGTAAATCCTGCCTTTCCAGGTATGTCTCTTGGGTGACAGAAGTCTTCTTAGCAGAGAAAACAGGTTGCAGCTGGAAGGCCTAGCTGGCCAAGAAACACAGGCCTGGCTCAGACAACCTCCATTCACCCCCTTTATTACCTTGGTCAGGTTACTGGATCTTTCTTCTGCTAACCTGTAGACTCACTATACCTGCTAAATGAAAACTCAAACACTTGCACTGCCTTCCAATCCCTCACTGCCTCAAGCTTTATGGTATCCACAGAACAGCAAACCACCACACTAAGCCCTCATCTTTAGGAGCAGCAATCTTCAAACACAAACTCATGCTTAAGGAAAACATCGACATAACAAGCAAAACTGGAGCTGCTCACTTGACGTTCACCTGAGCCAGAGGCTGCAGAGTAGCAGATGATGGGCAAAACTTGATCTTTAAAAAAAAAAAAAAAAATGCAGCCAGGCGCCGGGGCTCACGCCTGTAATCCCAGAACTTTGGGAAGCCAAGGCGGGCAGATCACCTGAGCTCAGGAGTTTGAGACCAGCCTGGCCAATGTGGTGAAACCCCATCTCTACCAAAAATACAAAAACTAGCTGGGTGTGGTGGTGGGCACATGTAATCCCAGCTACTTGGGAGGCTGAGGCAGGAGAATCGCTTGAACCTGGGAGGCGGAGGTTGAGGTGGGTTGAGATCGTGCCACTGCACTCCAGCCTGGGTGACAGAGAGACTCCGTCTCAAAATAAATAAATAAATAAATAAAAGTCCTGGGACTTACCCAGGACTTTGTTTAACATCAATTTGCAAAACCTGTTGACAAAGCTTTTGTCAGTTTTTCGGGCCTGCCTCCATCTGCTCCACTGTCAAGGTGTTGACCTGGCTCCTACAGACCTGCTTGTCAACCCTAACCTGGGCTTCTTACTGGAACACTTCAAAAGCCCTGGGTACCTGATATTTTCCTTACAGTTCTTGGCATATTGTATTGTTGTCTTGGTCACTTGTTTGTGAGCTCTCCCAGGGTAGGGGACGATTCTTGCCTCCCTCATCTGGAATCCCTCCCATCTGAGAGGAGTCTATACACTTTTGTAGGAGTTGCATCACTCATGACTCAAAGCCCCCAAATGCTTCCTTTGCTCCTTAGGCACTGTCACTTGCGATGAAAGGGAAATAACAGTGGAGTTCCCAAGCAGTCCTGGCACCAAGAAATGGCATGCATCTGTGGTGGGTAGGTAACGTGTGTTATCTCCTCATAGTCCTGATTAGCAGACAGCCTTTGGCTTAGGTCAATCCTGTTTGGGGAGCAGAGTACCCAAACTCCTGCAGCAACGGCATCCAACTCCCATGATGCCATGGGGATACCTGATTTGCATGAAGCCACCCAGCATGGAAGACCTGTCTGTCTTCGAAAGTGTGTCTTATGCCAGCATCTCTGGGAAGCCTCTGGCTGCAAGTCATACCATCTCAAAGCTCAAGTTCTATCACTGAGTTGGGGCGGAAGTGAAGGGACTGAAGTACCTTAGAAATGGACTGGTGGTCTTGACTCTATAGCTTTGGACTGTCACTGAAATGTACTCAGCCATCCTGTCTAACCTGCTCTGGCCTTGGCAGATCCTCTTGGTCTCGACATGCCGAACTGCACTTACATCCTGGACCCAGAAAAGCTCACCCTGAGGGCTACCTATGATAACTGTACCAGGAGAGTGGTAAGTCATTGCTTTGAGCAGTTCTTGGGGAAGTACGTAGTAACCTAAGAGTTACTGGCAGTAAACTTGGCTAAGAACTTTCTCTTTGGAGTAAAGCAGTGGCTCTCAACCAAGGGGGTGGTGTCTCGTGTGTGGCTCTTCTTTTCTATTATAATCTGTCTAGGCCAGGTGTGATGGCTCACGCCTATAATCTCTGCACTTTAGGAGGCTGAGACGGGTGGATCACCTGAGGTCAGAAGTTTGAGACCAGCCTGGCCAACATGGTGAAACCCCATCCCTACTAAAAATACAAAAAACTAGCTGGGTGTGGTAGCACACACCTGTAATCCCAGCTACTTGTGAGGCTGAGGCAGGAGAATCGCTTAAACCCAGGGGACAGAGGTTTGCAGTGAGCTGAGATTGCTCCATTGCCCTCCAGCCTGGGCAACAAGAGCAAAACTGTCTGGAGGAGGGTGGGGGGAATCTGTCCAGGGGACATTTGACAACATCTAGAAACATCTTTGGTTATCACAACTGAAGGTAGAAGAGCTACTACTGGCATCTAATGGATACAAGCCAAAGATGCTGGCAGACAACCAACATTACCCAAGTCTCCTCCCCATAACACAGAATTACCAGGACTGAGATGTCAGTGTTGAGGATGAGAAACCCTGGCATTCAAGTACTTGAGCCCTTGAGCCCTGGCTCTACCACTAATCAGGTGTAATTTCCACCAAGTGAGCCCTTTCAAGCCTGTTTGCCCATTAGAAGATGAGAGTAATGGTGCCTGCTCCATGGGGGTAATGAAGACTAATGATGTTCTACAGATTAAGACCTGGTGCAGAACCTGGATACAACAAGTGATGAAACACGAGCTATTTTGATCTGTGAACCCCAACATGAGATGGAAGGCTATTTTGGTGCTAGCAAATAGAAATCTGACCTATAGAAACAGGTGTTAAAAGGCAAACAGCAGCTAAGCAGTAAGGGTTTTTCTATTGCCAAGCAACAGTATTGCCCAATCAGGAATATTAGGAGCAATAAAAGCAACCTGTCTAAGCAGAAGCTAGCAAGTTGTAATTTGGAAAGTTTGGGTTTGACTAGTTGGACATAGGCCTGGGGTGAGTTCTGGGAATCTGCATATCTAACAGTCTATACCATCTGATTACGATGCAGGTGGTCAGCAGTCTAAGCTTTGTACAGATACAGTCTTAGACCCTACTCTGTAAACAGGCTTGAACTGTAAGTCATCTGGTCCCCTAAAGCCCTCTGTGATCAATCAATGAAGTAATCATAGGTCCTTCATGAAAAACCTGATAATTTCCTTCTAAAACAGACCTTCTCAACATTAGAGGTCTTGGAGTCGCATTCCCTTAGACTAAGGGTCTGCAAGCCATAACCTGTGGATGGCCAAACGCAGTCCATGGTCTCTTTCTGAGGCAGGCTTGCTCTGTAGCCCAGGCTGGAAAGTAGTGGCTGCAATCATGGCTCACTGCAGCCTAGAACTGCTGGGCTCAAGGGATTCTCCCGTCTCAGCCTCCCAACTAGTTGGGGCTACAGGCATGCAACACTATGCCTGTCTAATCTTTGTCTTGTCAAAATGGGGATTTCACCATGTTGTCCAGGCTGGCCTCAAACTTCTGGCCTCAAGGGATCCTCCCACCTCAGCCTTCCAAAGCACTGGGATTATAGGCATGAACCACTGTGCCTAGTTCATGGGTTTTTTTTGTGTTTTTGTTTGTTTTTGTTTTGGTTTGGTTTTCAAACTAAGAATGGGTTTTATCTTCTTAATCTTCTTGAGACAGGGTCTTGCTGTTGTCCAGGCTGGCATGCAGTGGCATAATCTCGGCTCACTGCAACCTCTACCTCCCGGACTCAAGCAATCCCCTACCCTATGTCTCAGTACCACCTCAGCCTGCCCAGTAGCTGAGACCACAGGCATATACCACCACACCCAGCTAACTTTTGTGGTGTGTGTGTGTGTGTGTGTGTGTGTGTGTGTGTGTGTGTGTGTGTTTAATATATATATAGAGATGGAGTCTCTCACCATGTTGCACAGGCTGGTCTTGAACTCCTGAGCTCAAGCAGTCAGTCTGCCTCAGCCTCCCAAAGTGCTGGAGTTACAGGCAATGAGCCACCATGCCCAGCTGGCTTTTATCTTTTTAAAGTTCTTTTAAGGAAATATGCTATGGATTTCATGTGGCTCACATGAGTCTAAAACAGTTGCTAATGCATAATGGAAAAAGGTTGGCTGACCCCTGCTTTTAGACTGAGTTTCCTAAGGTCAGGGGTAATAGCAAGGGTAGCTCTACCCAGCACAATGGCAGCTACTTAGGTGCTTAACAAGTATTCAGATAACCTGGGTAGAAGCCCCATACCAACCCCATTCAGCCAGGACCATGGTACTGAGACATAGGGTACACATAAGAGAAATAGAAACTGAACTCCATTTCCTGATGCTAAAACTGGCCTATCAGCATGAGTCTTCACTAACAGATTACAATGGGCTAGCTAGTCTCCTGGTACGGGAATGAGGTACCTTCCAGCACTTGTGGTATTAGTAACTTTAAGGGTTTTCCCACTCAGATGGGTCAGATGGTATTCTAGAATCCCATGGGGGTACAGTACTTACTCTGTTCCCACTGTGCTATCTGTACACAGCATGGTGGACACCAGATGACCATCAGAGTCATGAACAACAGTGCTGCCTTAAGACACGGAGCTGTCATGTATCAGTTCTTCTGTCCAGCTATGCAAGTAGAAGAGACCCAGGGGCTTTCAGCATCTACAATCTGCCAGAAGGATTTCATGTCTGTGAGTGAAACGGGCTGACTGCTCGGGGTATATGGCTACTGCAGGGGGAATATGATGATGATCTAACCAGGGCGGGGCTTAGAAATCAGACCATGATTTAATCCTGTACTTGCTAATTTTCTGTGTGATGAGGTTTAACTTTACCCTGAGGCTTTGTTTCCAAGTCCAAAGTGATGGGACAATAATGCTTACCTCAGGGTGGCTCTAAGAATTTACTGAGGGTATATACATGGTACTTGGCACATCATGCATGGCAATAGGGTTTTATTGGTAGTTGCACTCACACTAATCATCTGACAAATGGAATACATGCCATGTTCCAGGCCCTACCCTAGATGCTAAGATACAATAAGTGAACAAAACGACCCAGTCACATCTTCATGGGTTTAGAGTCTAACATGGCTAATGTCAACAATGGACAACTAAAAATAACACTGACATAAAAGCAACTCAATAACAATGATAGAACTGCATGGCTTTTACATAGTACCTGATTTCTATGGACATTGGTGAAAGGGCAAACGTTTAAGAACATTGTCCTGGTCAGGCATGGTGGCTCATGCCTGTAATCCCAGCAATTTGGGAGGCTGAGGTAGGTGGATCACCTGAGGTCAGGAGTTTGAGACCAGCCTGACCAACATGGTGAAAACCCATCTCTACTAAATACAAAAAACTAGCCGGGTATGGTAGTACATTCCTGTAATCCCAGCTACTTGGGAGGCTGGGGCAGGAGAATCGCTTGAACCCAGGAGACGGAGGTTGCAGGGAGCCGAGATTGCACCATTGCACTCCAGCCTGGGCGATGAGCGAAACTCTATCTTGGGGGGAGAAATGTGTCCCAACTTACAACTGGAAAGGAGCTTAGATCTTCCAGCTGCCTCTTGGGATCAGAAGTTCAAAGAAGTATAATGACATCTAAGGGCACAGTCAGGGTTCATGTGCTTCTTCCACTGCATCCCACAGCAGGCCTTTTGGTATGACAACCACACAGCAATTTCTGGCATGAATTCGGAAACATCTACCTCCAAATCAAAGTCTTACATCACAATTCTTTTCTTCCAGTTTTCCTTGCCACGGGTCTTCTCTGGCTTGGCTGACGACAGTAAGGTATGAAGCAAATTTTAAAAATCAGACCTTAATAACCTTTAATTCTATGTTAAAGGTGATATTACCTTTAACCTGATAAATTGTTAGACTACCAGAGACTTGGTTAAGGGAGCACCAGCCCTCTAAACAAAGCTTTTTGACTTCAGGGGACCAAAGTTCAGATGGGATGGAGCATTGAGGTTGGTGATGGTGCAAGAGCCAAAACTCTGACCCTGCCAGAGGCCATGAAGGAAGGCTTCAGCCTCTTGATTGACAACCACAGGATGACCTTCCATGTGCCATTCAATGCCACTGGAGTGACTCACTATGTGGTAGGTGTGGAAGTCTGGCTTTGTACCACCAAAGCACAGGCCAGTATTCCTAAATTGAAGCATGATCTCAACCATGTCTTCACATTAATTTATAATACAACCCATTTTAATGCCTATTAAGTGCCAAACACTTCGCTGGGTATTCACACCTGTAATCCCAGCACTTTGGAAGGCTGAAGCGGGCAGATCGCTTGAGGTCAGGAGTTCAAGACCAGCCCGGCCAACCCTGTCTGTTTAGTGAAACCCTGTCTCTACTAAAAACACAAAAACTTAACTGGGTGAGATGGTACATGCCTATAATCCCAACTACTCAGGAGGCTGAGGTGGGAGAATCGCTTGAACCCAGGAGGTAGAAGTTGCAGTGAGCCGAGATTGTACCACTGCACTCCAGCCTGGGCGACAGAGCGAGACCATTTCTCAAAAATACATAATCCTTACCTCAATCTAGTCTCTTTCCCATAGTCTTAAATCTATAGTACAACACAGAACAAGCATATTCCTGAAAGCTTTATGGGTTAAGGGGTTCTGTTTGGGTTGTCATTGTCCTATATTGTTTTATAGCAAGTATTGGTGCTTTCCAGGCCAATAGTCTGAACACTGCACTAAATGAATTAATCTCCTAAAGTACTTAGGACAGGTCCTGAGATGTAAGTGCTCAAATGCCAACCACTTCAAGAACAGTCCTATCTCCCAGTAAGAACACAAATGGATTGAGGCTTGAAAACATTGTCTGGCTGCTGATACTTTAAAATAGTCATATGGGGTAAGGACAGATCTTATCTGCCTAGAAGTCATTGGCTACAGGTGATCTAGACAACATTCTTCCAGATGTTAGAACAAGGTTAAAACTAATATACCTCCAGATTAGACAAATTAGTCATTAGACAAATGCTTAAATCCTACTTGTGTCAAAGTAGTGCCCATTACTTGGATATATACTTGCCAAGATGATTCTTACTGGTTAGAGATTCAAGTAACCAATGTTTTTGAAGATCACTGTTATTTCTCCCCCTAGCAAGGTAACAGTCATCTCTACATGGTGTCTCTGAAGCTTACATTTATATCTCCTGGACAGAAGGTGATCTTCTCTTCACAAGCTATTTGTGCACCAGGTAAGGTCCCAGATAGCTGCAACCTCAGTGTGGGAGACATTGTCCTAGAAGCTTAATCAAGGCTGGTAATGGGCATTCTGTTGTCATTCCTTCTAGATCCTGTGACCTGCAATGCCACACACATGACTCTCACCATACCAGAGTTTCCTGGGAAGCTTAAGTCTGTGAGCTTTGAAAACCAGAACATTGATGTGAGCCAGCTGCATGACAATGGAATTGATCTAGAAGCAACAAATGGCATGAAATTGCATTTCAGCAAAACTCTGCTCAAAACGAAAGTATGTTCAATTGTCAACCACTGAACTCCACCGGGTCCTGACTTGAAGTATACTCTTGTGGGTAGTCCTCATACGGCTGATAACTTGCCCGTGAGCTCTAATTGCCAACATAACAGATTCAAACTCCAAAAGGCCTCATTTGATCATCTTGTATAAGTGAAATATCAAGTAACTAAAGTTCATTCTCTAACACAAAACCTCTTTAACTTCTGTCATGAAAAATCGTCTAAGTCTTTCTAAGTCTTAAAACTGTCTAAGGCCCCAACTGAGTAGTAGCAACTACTTGTCAAATACCTAATGATGAATCTGTCCTGGTCAACGAACAGGACACCTTGATCTAAACAAAAGGGTCCCGTACTGTTGCTGTTGAGGTTAGTCTTCACTAGAACTGCCAGGGATACCAGAGAATAATCTTAGGTTGGGGGTACATATTATGCAATACCATTTTATAACATCTGTAGAGTCCTTTTGACTCAGACCTGGCTTGGCAGAGGATTCCACTATTCTTTGGAATTTGATCTGCTAATTCAAGCTTTAGTGCCTCGTACAAAGAGTACAGTGCTGGGTACTCCAGGGCATGAGTTTAAAGCAATAAATCTGCCTGGGGATACATCCAGATCTGAGGAAGTGATAGGGTCTCTCTTGTTTTGGTTTAAAGGGAGCCCAGATAAGTCTGGAGTGTGTCCTGCAAGTATTTAGTGGACTTGCTTCCTGCCTCCCTGTGACGGTTCCGGGCCCCAACGGACTGTGGCTGCTAATTGACATTTTCTCATTTCAGTTATCTGAAAAATGCCTACTCCATCAGTTCTACTTAGCTTCACTCAAGCTGACCTTTCTCCTTCGGCCAGAGACAGTATCCATGGTGATCTATCCTGAGTGTCTCTGTGAGTCACCCGTTTCTATAGGTAAAGACCTTTTATTAAAATCATGTTCTACCTTTTTTCTCCCTTGGCTCTTGTACATGTGGGCAAATGTATAGAAGGTCAGATTCTGATCTATTGCTTATAGACTGAAGAAACTAAAGACTAGTCAGATTAGAAACAGTGTAGCTGCTACGATGGGGTCCTAAGTATGATATTTTTAAGATCCCTACATAGGTAGGTTTTATGGCAACTGCTCCATGGTTAAACAATCTAGATATTTTGGCTTAGGAGCCTGAACCTGACATCTAGGTAAGAATATTCAAACTTCTAATTAGAATTAAGTTTAAGTACCCCCCCACCCCAAAATTCCTACAAATTCTTAAATAGAGTGAATATCTCTTGTTTAGCATTGCCTCCACCATGTGCTTCTGTTTAATGTGATCTGCACAGGTCAGATCAAATAGGAAAACCAGCTCCTGCCTCAGTTTCTCCCCAAACTACTCAGGATTTGTGAGTATACAAAGAAAGGATACAATAACATAGGCGCTGTACTTAAAGCCACATTAAGTTTAACCTTGAGTCAACTCCTGCCCTTCATCAGGATTCTCACTGGTCTTATACCATATAGCACTTCTTCCTACATCTACTGGTCCCTCCTTTGGATGAAAAGTCCTACTCTCACATAGAACAATCAACTAACTTCAGCTCCCTTTGTAATTCAAGCTGCTGATCAAGGTTCCCTCATAAAGACTTCAAGACAGATTCTGATGCCTCCTGCTAAATTAGAATTTCTCCCTCGTAGCATATCAGGTTGGGAGATGACAGTATCACAGGGCAGACAAACTTATTTTCTCTAAACTTTCACCGCTGTCTAGTTACAGGGGAGCTGTGCACCCAGGATGGGTTTATGGACGTCGAGGTCTACAGCTACCAAACACAACCAGCTCTTGACCTGGGTACTCTGAGGGTGGGAAACTCATCCTGCCAGCCTGTCTTTGAGGCTCAGTCTCAGGGGCTGGTACGGTTCCACATACCCCTGAATGGATGTGGAACGAGATATAAGGTTAGTACTGGCAGATGGCACGAGGTTAAGTCTCATCTTTGACATAACTGGCTGCTAACCCACTTTCTCTGACATTTAAGTTCGAAGATGATAAAGTCGTCTATGAAAACGAAATACATGCTCTCTGGACGGATTTTCCTCCAAGCAAAATATCTAGAGACAGTGAGTTCAGGTGAGATAAAATTGCTATTTGACTCTTAAGCTCTAGTTTAAACTCAAGCAATTTTTTAACCTGAAATTTTCTGTACCTACCTTCCCTCCAAACTCTTACAGAATGACAGTGAAGTGTTCTTATAGCAGGAATGACATGCTACTAAACATCAACGTTGAAAGCCTTACTCCTCCAGTGGCCTCAGTGAAGTTGGGTCCATTTACCTTGATCCTGCAAAGCTACCCAGGTAAGAGATTGCAGTCTGTGAAATTGCTTAAATGATCTCAAACTTCTCCCTAAAATGAACATCCTGATACTGCCAGACTAATGGAGCAGTGATGACCTATGAATCTGTGTTGCAGCCATTAACTACTTGAATACCATTCAATTTCAGATAATTCCTACCAACAACCTTATGGGGAAAACGAGTACCCTCTAGTGAGATTCCTCCGCCAACCAATTTACATGGAAGTGAGAGTCCTAAACAGGGATGACCCCAACATCAAGCTGGTCTTAGATGACTGCTGGGCGACGTCCACCATGGATCCAGACTCTTTCCCCCAGTGGAACGTTGTCGTGGATGGGTAGGTACTCCCTGTACTATCAGGTTACCCAGCTAATCCATCAAAACTTGCCAGTAATGGGAATAAACCCTCTTGGGCTTTAGAGCAGCATTCAGTCATGTGAGATCCAGATTTAGTCCTTGTTTTCTAATTGGGACTCTTCTGCCTTCTGTTTTTTTTTTTTTTGTTTTGAGATGGGGTCTCATTCTGTCACCCAGGTTGGGGTGCTGCGGCATGATCTTAGCTCACTGTAGCCCCTGCCTCCTGGGTTCAAGCAATTCTCCTACCTCAGCCTCCTGGGTAGCTGAGATTACAGGGGCACACCACCAAGCCCAGCTAATTTTTGCTATCTTAGTAGAGACAGGGTTTTGCCATGTTGGCCAGGCTGGTCTCGAACTCCTGACTTCAGGTGATCCACCTACCTTGGCCTCCCAAAGTACTGGGATTACAGGTGTGAACCACCACACTTGGCCACATGCTGCCTTCCAATCACCTCTTGAATCTTAAGGAATGAGTTCCAAAGCCCCAGAAAGTCTGACTCTACTATGGTGTTGATCATCTGGAAAGACTGGTCTCTAGCCTCTATCCATCTGAACACCTACCATATGCCAGGCACAGTGCTATGTATTCCACATCCACTAGTTGTACTAGTCTTCGTCTTTCATGAAGAAACCCCAGCTTGCTGCCTAAATAACCAGCCCAAAACAATACTTAAACAATGGAGCTTGTATTAGAATATCCATCTGACTCTAGAATCTGAGCACTGATGCTCTGAGGTTGCAGCCACACACTTGTACACATAGGTGTTCAACCTTACAGCTCTCCTGCCGTGTCCTGTCCTACAACTGGATCTCACCCATTCTTATGGAATAGTGTGTACTTGGCTAAAACTGCACCTTTGCTTTCTTGAAGCTGTGGTAGCTCAGTTACTAAGCCTTCTGTTTTGTTTTTGAGACGAGGTCTCACTCTTGTCCCCCAGGCTGGAGTGCAATGGCACAATCTCAGCTCACTGCAACCTCCGCCTCCCAGATTCAAGCGATTCACCTGCCTTAGCCTCCCAAGTAGCTGGGACTACAGGTGCCTGCCACCATGCCCAGCTAATTTTTATATCTTTAGTAGAAACGGGGTTTCACCATGTTGGCCAGGCTGGTCTTAGACTCCTGACCTCAGGTGATCTGCCCACCTCAGCCTCCCACAGTTCTGGGATTACAGGTGTGAGCTACTGCACCTGGCCAAGAAACCAGTGTCTTCTGAAATGATATAATTTGTACTTCTCATGTAGTTGGCAAACAGGTACTGCTAAAATAGTTAAAATATAACTAGTCTATACAACTTATGATTTCATAGGTATTATAGGTCAGGTAAGAAATGCTGAGTAAAACAAAGGTGCTGGTAGAAGGTAAATATGGCAATAGTTCTGAAGATATTACGTATGACTAAATCTGGGCAGACATTGAATTTGACTCCAAGATGCATATGACTGACATCCCTCCCTGGTGCATACCTCCTAGCTGTGCATATGACCTGGACAACTACCAGACCACCTTCCATCCAGTCGGCTCCTCTGTGACCCATCCTGATCACTATCAGAGGTTTGACATGAAGGCTTTTGCCTTTGTATCAGAAGCCCACGTGCTCTCTAGCCTGGTAAGTGATTCAGAAGTCACCAGGGACAGGTTAAATGTTAGTGCATCGATTCCATGTAACTCTCTTCTGTCTCCAGGTCTACTTCCACTGCAGTGCCTTAATCTGTAATCGACTCTCCCCTGACTCCCCACTGTGTTCTGTGACCTGCCCTGTGTCCTCTAGGCACAGGCGAGGTAAAAACTTCAAATTCCTGTTTCTGTGAGTCTAATTCAAAGCAAGTATCAACTTTTTAGAATAGAAGATCTTAAGGACTGGTATAACTCATACTTTATTTACTGCCCAGAGCTCTTGTTGGCCCAGTCAAAACTTGGTCCAGTCTACCTTACTCATGTGACAGGTCTAAGATGAACAGTTTCTTGTCTAGTTCTATAGACGATGAGTTCTTTAAGAATCTATCCTTTTTTTTTTTTTTTTTTTTTTTTTTGAGACAGTTTTGCTCTTGTTGCCCAGGCTGGAGTAAGATGGTGTGATCTTGGCTCATTCCACCTCCAGGGTTCAAGGGAAATGATTCTCCTGCCTGAGCCTCCCAAGTAGCTGGGATTATAGGAACCCCCCCAACATACCCAGCTAACTTTTATATCTTTAGTAGAGACAGGGTTTCACCATGTTGGCCAGGCCAGGCTGGTCTCAATCTCCTGACCTCAGGTGATCCACCTACCTCGGCCTCCCAAAAGTGCTGGGATTATAGGCATGAGCCACCACACCCAACCCCAAGAATCCATCCCACTTCTACAGTAAAGGGCATAACCTCGCCTGCAAAGGCAAGACAAACCACATGAACAAAATACTCCAGAGAGCTTCTACTTCTAAGCATTCCATTGACACACCTCTCGAACCACTATTCCAGAGGCCAAACACAAACTTGATCATCTGTCTCCAGCCACAGGGGCCACTGAAGCAGAGAAAATGACAGTCAGCCTCCCAGGACCCATTCTCCTGTTGTCAGATGACTCCTCATTCAGAGGTATGGACCTAAAGCCTGGAGTACTTCCTGGATTCAAGTTCTTAGCTTTTTATGCCAAGCGGTCAGTGCTTACATATACTATGTACCCGTGGTGAGTCTAAACAATAGAAGAATAAAAGACTAAGTCTCTTCCCAGAAGTAGGCTTCTATTAAGTCTCCTGTGTACCCTTCTAGAAATCACTTCAACACAAGTAGGATCATAGCTTCTACCTACTGATCTAGAACTTGGTCTCTAATCTGTCTTATCTACCTTATATCTGTACAAAGAACCCTTAGGATTCCACGTGGCTCTACCTTAGTCATGATCCTCATTCATGGATATCTATAGGTTTATTTCTAGTTTTGTCCTCAGTCCATACTAGAATCCTTCTTTTTTTCTTTTTGAGATAAAGTTTTGTTCTTGTCACCCAGGCTGGAGTACAATGGTGTGATCTTGGCTCACTGCAACCTCTGCCTCCCAGGTTCAAGTGATTCTCCTGCCTCAGCCTCCCGAGTATCAGGGATTACAGGCACCTGCCACTGTGCCCAGCTAATTTTATTATTTTTAGTAGAGAAAAGGTTTTACCATGTTGGCCAGGCTGGTCTCAAACTCCTGACCTCAAGTGATCCGCCTGCCTCAGCCTCCCAAAGTGCTGGGATTACAGGTGTGAGCCACCACACCCGGCCACAAAAAAAAAAAAAAAAAATCCTCTTGAATTTCTTGTATAGTAGTCAAAGATTTAAGATATGTTTCTAGCAAGATTAGGTCAGAGCATGTGCATCTTAACATGCTATGGCCAAACTTAAGTGTGTATTAGTTTGTGCCTGTTAACACATACCCTTACCTGAGATAGCCTTAATGAACAACCTGTGGGATCACACCCTCAGGGGACAGCTAACCACATCGACTAGCATGAAGATGTTGTACTAAACTCTCAGGTTCTTCCCAGGTGTCGGCTCATCTGATCTAAAAGCAAGTGGGAGCAGTGGGGAGAAGAGTAGGAGTGAAACAGGGGAGGAGGTTGGCTCACGAGGTAAGTTTATTCAATGTTGCAAACTTCTGAAATAAGCCTGTTGAAGGCTTAGTTTTACCCCCTTCTCTGGGGAGCCTTATGTAAGGCTTCCACTTACCCTTATTTAAAAATACTTAAGACTCAAATGTCTGCTTCCTTTGTAGGTGCTATGGACACCAAAGGGCACAAGACTGCTGGAGATGTTGGTTCCAAAGCTGTGGCTGCTGTGGCTGCCTTTGCAGGTGTGGTGGCAACTCTAGGCTTCATCTACTACCTGTACGAGAAAAGGACTGTGTCAAATCACTAAATGGGCTTCTAAATAAAGCAGTCAAAATAAGCCTCTTGCCTTCCACATTCTTATTAAGATTAGATGACAAGGGATCATTTCTTTTGTTCCTCAGTGTAGAGGCAGTACCTAGCCACAATCCTCTGGGCAGGATTTGTATATAGATACAAATAGGGAAGTTCATGGTATAATTGTTTCCTGTCATTTGGCCCCTTCTGATCCTCTAACCCCAATACATGAGTCCTCTGACACTCCCAGTCAACAGTAGGGCTTTAGCTATAGCCCAGCTCTGGGGGTACACTTGAGTCTACAAGCTCTTACACAGGATAAGAAGCCAGCAAGCTACCCATGATCACTGGCATAAATCCAACCCCCCTTCTTTTAAGGGAAGGGAAACCAGATGTTCCTAAGAAAGTAATATAAGAACTTACTTCAAGGTAATTCCTAACTCAAGTTACACTCAAGCTTACAACTTTCCTGAGCTTAAAAGGACTTAGTTACCTTCCCACTTATAACTAAAGACAAGCAATCTTTCTTTGGTAGGGAAAGGAATACTAAAGTGCCAGAGTCCTAAGGCTCAGTTATAACATTCCAAGAATCAGACTCCACCATTCAACTGAGCCTAGAGTGAGTTTTCCATTACCTGCATTCGATCTTGACCGTCTCCTGAGGCCTTCGTCCTGAGGGTAGCCAGTCTTATTCTAAGTAATTATGTCATCAACATGACTAGTGTCTGCTTTATACTGCAGCTCTTAGAGACCTTCAAGATATATGGAAATTCACTTGTATTCTAGAAAACTTGAGTCTAAAATTTTTGCAAGGAAATATTTCAAATCTACGTATGGCAGGAAGAATAAGTGATGAAAGCTTCTAGTGGCTGGATTTAAATGTCAGCTCAGTCATTATACTCTTGGGTTTTTCAAAAATCTAACCTTGAGGTTGAATATCGTGATGTCTATCTGGTCATCTTGTGGTTTTCTATAGGTGCAATCTCGGCTTATTGCAACCTTCGCCTCCTGGGTTCAAGTGACTCTCCTGCCTCAGCCTCCTCAGTAGCTGGGATTGCAGGCACCTGCCACCAAGCCCAGCTAATTTTTGTATTTTTAGTAGAGATGGTGTTTCACCATGTTGGCCAGGCTTGTCTCAAACTCCTGACCTCAGGTCATCTGCCTGCCTCGGCCTCCCAAAGTGTTGGGATTACAGGCATGAGACACCGTGCCCGGCACCTGTTCTAGAATTCTGCCACACAGACTTAAAAGGTAGCTTTCTAAATCCTTTGGTTAGGTCTTACAGATAAGACTCTGATGTAGGGAAAGAACCACACCTACCTTATGTAGAGGGTCTGGCATTTCTAGAGTAATAGGGTCAAAAGCTCAAATTGTCTCATCAAAAGCCTTCTTTGGACCTTCTTTTAAGGATCCAAGGCATTCTGCTAAATAGTTTTAGATTCAAAATTCTGTGTGACTTTATCAAGTTGCATTGTATATCATAACTAAATCTCACGTACCATGCTTTTTAATGGCATTTTTAAAAATGGCCACTTAAATGACTTCCTGACCCTGAATGACACCTACCCCCGACCCATGTCTAGGAATTACATCCTAATCCCTAGAGCCTGTGAATATTAGTTTTACATGGCAACATGGACTCTGCAGATGTGACTAAGGGTCTTGACATGGTAAGATCATCCCGGTGGGCCCAATCACAAGTGTCCCTATAAAACAAGAAGGTCAGCAGGGCACGGTGGCTCATGCCGGTGATCCCAGCACTTTGGGAGGCTGAGGCATGTGGATCACCTGAGGTCAGGAGTGCGAGACCAGCCTGGCCAACATGGTGAAACACCATCTCTACTAAAAATACAAAAAATTAGCCGGGCATGGTGGCGGGCGCCTGTAATCCCAGATACATGGGAGGCTGAGGCAGGAGAATTGCTTGAACTCGGGAGTTGGAGGTTGCAGTGAGCCGAGATTGCGACATTGCACTCCAGCCTGAGCAAGAAGAGTGAAACTCTGTCTCAAAATAAAAACAAGGTCAGAATAGGATGTATCAATGGAAGCAGAAATTGGAATGATAGAGAGTCACAGAAAACACAGGCCGCCTCTAGTAGGGGAACAAGAAAATATCTTCCCATAGAGCCTCTAGAAAGAGTACAGCTCTGCTGTACCACTTTAGACTTCTGACCTCCAGAATTGTGAGATAGCTTAACGGCATGAAACAAACTTGTTACAGCAACAATAGGAAATTAAAATACTGAGTCACTACCCACAACTTGAAAAACATGGCTTAAAAGTGCACATTTTACAGATGAGCAACTTGAGCCCTAAAGAAGCTTGTCCAGGATGTCACAGCCCCTTGATTTCAGAGCTAGAGCCTCTCAGCTGCAAGTTGGTCCACTTGTATAGAGTCATATTGGGAATCAAAGTCCCCTGGGTCTCAAGGCAGCCCACAGCGTGACTTGGTTCTGATGTGTTTGCCAAAAATGCTAAAGCAGAACTTTGAGAGTGGAAAGCCAAGCTGGTGTGGAGCAGCTGCCGGGATGAACACTTGTTGCCATGGTAGCCTGGGAGCAGTTGACTAAAGTCGTGTTCTTGCCTTCTGAAAGTAGGCATCCTACTATATATGGGGGAGGCAGCCTCCTCAGACAGGAACTGTGTGGGAAGAGAGTCGAGCTTAAATCCTGAGAGACTGCTGCTTCAACCACGTTAGTGTGCTTGCAATCTCCTTTATCACGTAGTGATGGGCTGTAATTGTCATACAGGTGTCAAGAGTAGAATGATGGAGCTTTGGGGTTCTAATAGTTTGAGCAGTTCTGATTGATGGTGGAGGTTGCAGGAGTTGAAAACAGACTTGTGTGCCCTGGGAAGGCACCTGTAATGTAATGTACTACTTTCCCCTGCCCTGTTCTGCATTAGGAAGTTCTGTGGGATGCGCAGGCTCTAGAGCAAGAGTTGGGTTTGGGTTCGGGATCTACGTCTCCCTGGCTGTGTGGCCTCGGGCAGATAGAACAATCTCTGAGCCTGCTTCCGCATCTGTAAAAAGGGAACACAACCTAATTTGGAAGCGTGTGAGGGTTCAACAAGATAACCGTTGTATTGATGTAGGCACTGCCCAGTCAGCATTGGAGTATCTCAACATCAAGAAAATAGCACTGTTCTAACTCTAAATAAAAACTCAGATAACATTATGGACAATAACTGTGACTTGAATAAGTCTGTGTGCTATATACCAAGGCATATGTAATCAAGTGCATATGTGGTAGAATGTACACCTGATTGTACAGACCTCTGGCCTAGACACCATCTACCAAACTAAAATCTTTAGGGAGACACCACCTACAAAACTAGACACTATCAGCTGGGCATGGTGGCTCACTCCTGTAATCCCAGCACTTTGGGAGGCTGAGGCAGGCGGATCACCTGAGGTCAGGAGTTTGAGACCAGCCTGGTCAACATGGTGAAACACCGTTTCTACTAAAAATACAAAAAATTAGGTGGGCATGGTGGCAGGTGCCTGTAATCCCAGCTATTTGGGAGGTTGAGGCAGGAGAATCACGAACCCAGGAGGTGGAAGTTGTAGTTAGCCAAGATTATGCCACTGCACTCCAGCCTGGACGACAGAGGTAGACTCCATTTCAAAACAAAACAAAAAACAAAAACTTAGACACCATCTACTAAACTAGAATCTTTAGGGAGTGGAGTCTAAGCATGTTTAGGCTCTATAGGAGGCTAAATCATGGCCCCAAAGATATTCACGTGCTAACCTCTGGGACTTGTGAATTTTCCCTAATATGGCAAAAGGGACTTTGCAGTCATAATTAAGGTAAAACGGTGAGATGGGGAAATTATCTAAATTATCCAGGTAGGCCATACATATAACTGCATGTGTGCTTGTAAGAGGGAGTTTTGACTATGGGGAGAAAGCAGTACAATGATGGAAGCAGAGGTTGGAGTGATGCACTTTGAGATGGAGAAAGGGCTATAAGCCATGGGATACAGGGGAACACTAGAGGCTGGAAAATGCAAGGAAATGGATCCTCCCCTAGATCCTCCAGAAGGAACCAGCTCCACCGACACCTTGGCTTTAGTCCAGTGAAAGTGATTTCAAACTTCTGACCTTCAGAATTGTAGCAGAATAAATCTATGTTGTTTTAACCCACTAAACTTGTAATAATTTGTCTAAGCAGTGAAAGAAAACTAATCCATGCTCCTCAGATGACTCTGACACATATCCCTGGATAGAAATCACTGTGCTAGTGAAGGCAGAGCCTACCACACTTCATCACAGACAACACATTACAAACACACACTGTTGCTTGCACATAGGATCTAAAAGCATGGGGAGCAGTTTATAGCTTCAGGAACTTGGCACTTAAGTTGCAACTAGTTCCATTTCCAAACAGTGATGTATCGTAGTTGAAAGAAGAGGCATTGCTGAGAATACAGGTCCTGAGACAGGGGTGAGAAAAGAAAAGAACTTTGATCTGAGAAATATAAGTCCTTCTAAACTATCAGGGCCAGAGACAGTAAGATGAGATAGTCAGCTGGGTGCCGTGGGTCACACCTGTAATCCCAACACTTCGGGAGGCCAAGGTGGGCAGATCACGAGGTCAAGAGATCGAGACCATCCTGACAACATGGTGAAACCCTGTCTCTACTAAAAATACAAAAATTAGCTGGGCATGGTGGCGCACACCTGTAGTCCCAGCTACTCAGGAGGCTGAGACAGGAGAATTGCTTGAACCTGGGAGGCAGAGGTTGCAGTGAGCCAAGATCATGTCACTGCACTCCAGCCTGGCAACAGAGTGAGACTCCATCTCAAAAGAAAAAAAAAAAGGAAAAAAGATGAGACAGTCATCACATCCTACTCCTCCCTTGAGCTAAGTATCCATCTCTTGAAACTGCTTACTATTGCCACAAGTAGCTTTAAGTTAACCTAATAATGCTGCACCAGACATATAACCACACCCTATAGCTTAACAATGTATAGCCAATCACACATCAATGTTATTTCTGAAAAACAATGAGAATTCCTGACAAAGAACTGTGCATCAGCTCACTCCCTGTCCCCCCTTTTTTGCCTTTAGAAATCCACTTGTAAATGCTGCTAATAGGAGTCTATAACTCATGTCAACTTGAATCCATGCTCCGGGGTTGCAATCCTCAAACTTGGCCCCAAAAAACTCTCTACTTTTAATTCTGCCTCAGTTTCTCCCTTTTAAGTCAACAGGGAATTTAG
Organism: Homo sapiens; assembly: GCF_000001405.40. Lineage (NCBI taxonomy): Eukaryota > Metazoa > Chordata > Mammalia > Primates > Hominidae > Homo > Homo sapiens. The sequence continues at coordinate 15,956 of NW_017852933.1, read as the reverse complement.
TTTCTCTCCCATTGGATGCAAAGATGTGAATTACCTCTGATAGTGCCCACCACTGTGTCAATAACCAGAAAATCCACAGCACAACATTGCTTCTGGTTTGAAAGTGATGATGTGTTGAGTGGGAAGCTGTCTCATCGTGGGCAGCACAGGGGTTGCGGAAAGGTAGAACATGCAGCCTGTGGCACAAGGTGTGTGCTCAGGCTTATTCTCGGTGTTGTGGGCTCAATTGTGTCCCCCCACAACAAGTTCACATGAAGTTCTTACCCCCAGTGTATATGTTTTTGAAGTCCTTACCCCCAGTGTGATATATTTGGAGGTGGGGCTTTGGGAATTAATTAAGTCATGAGGATGGTGCCCTCATAAAGGGGATAAGTGCCCTTAAAGGAAGAGAAAGGAGAGTGAGCTTCCTCTCTCTGCTCTCGGCCATGTGAGGATACCGCAAGATGACCATCTGCACAGCAGGAAGCAGTCCCTTCCTCTGAATTGTCTGTTTATAGCCTTTGTTTAATTTATACTAGATTTTAAAAGTCCTTTTCCTATTGATTTTTAGGGTTTCTTTATATATTCTGAATGCTGATCCATGACTGTTCGATTACAGGAACTCTATGAATACGTCACAGAAACAGGTCAAAAAATACCCTCATATGATGACATCCACAGACACGAAGAAGGCATTCACTGGAACCTGAGATTCACACATGATAGAAAGCCCTTTGAAAATTAGGATGAGAAGCATGATAATCGTATCTCTTTTAAAGCAAGGTGCACATCAGACTTGCAGAGGAAATAGAAGTATGCTCGCTGAATTGGAGGACTGAATTGTGTGACCCGCAAATCGATATGTTGAAGTCCCAACATCAGAATCTCAAAATATGGCTGGAGGAAGGGTCTTTAAAGAGATAATTGTGGCTAAGTGCAGCAGCTCACGCCTGTAATCCCAGCACTTTGGGAGGCTGAGGTGAGTGGATCACCTGAGGTCAGGAGTTCGAGACCAGCCTGGCCAACGTGGTGAAACCCTGTCTCTACTAAAAAAAAAAAAAAAAAAAAAAACTAGCCGGGCATGGTGGTGCAGGCCTGTAGTCCCAGCTACTCAGGAGGCTGAGGCAGGAGAATCACTTGAACCTGGGAGATGGAGGTTGCAGTGAGCCAAGATCACGCCACTGCACCCCAGTCTGGGCAACAGAGTGAGACTCTGCCTAAAAAAAAAAAAAAAAAAAAAAAGAGGTAATTGCATTAACATGAGTTAATAGGATGAGCCCTAGTCCAATAGGATTGCTATCCTTATAAGAAGAGGAAATTCAGACACAGGCAGAAGACACAGGGAGAAGACAGCTCTCTACAGGCCAAGGAGAAACCAAGCCTGCTTGGCATCTTGATCTTAGACTCCCAGCTTCCAGGATTGTGAGAAAATAAATGTCTGTTGTGTAAGCCACCCAGTTTGTGGTACTTTCTATGGCAGCCTTAGCAAATGAATACATATGGTCCTCATTATAGCAAGTTCCATCTGCTAAGTCTAGGGACTGCAGTGTGGGTGCTGGGCTGTTAGGCAGCATTGGTTACTTTTCCTTATCTCAAGAGTATGAACCCCTGACTGAGATTCCAGATTTAACTAAATCCTCCTTGGTCCTGACCTTTGCTCACACAGCACATGAAGACCCTTACTTTGTGAATAAATACAGCGAAAACACAAGTGTACTGGGGCAGATAGTGTAGGGCTTAATTAAAAGGGATTTTCTTGCCCTTTCTTTTTCCTTCCCACCTCATCCCCTTCTTCCTTGCTAAGAGAACCTGGACTTTGTTTGCACAGCACACCCTGGGGGACAATCCTGCTTGGCATGAGATAGCCAAGATAACGTCCCATTTCCCTTCTGTTTAGAGGTGAGCATGTAATACAGTTCTGTTCAATGAGATTTAAGGGGAAGTTGAGAGGGGGCTTCTTTTTCCTTATTTAAAAAAAGGTATGTGCAGCTAACCCCTTTTCTACCTGCTTTTGGATATGATTATGTGATGTGATTCCCGGAGCTATGGCAGCCATGTTGTAACTATGAGGAAATAACCCTAAAGACACCCTGAGAACGATGGAGCGAAAAAATGGAAAGCCTAAATCCTTGATAACTTCATTGTGTTCCCCAAATCAACCCTAGAACCACTTGCCTCTGCATTTCATGTTTAGTGAGAGTTTAGGAGCTCTTATTTTTTAAGGGAGGCATTTTTCATCTAAACTGATTCAAGCTAAGAAACTTCATTCTTAGGAGAAAGTCTATGGCTATAATTTGCATTCATAAAAACATACCAAGTTATATGTAAGCTTTTCTTTGGATGACTTGCCAAATTTGTACTAACCAAAAATAAGAGGGACTTCACTAACAAATCTATTTTACTTTGGCTCCCTCAGGCCCAAAAGAATTGGAGTCTGCTTGTGTTCATCTTTGAATTTCTATTGGTACTTCTGCAAGGGAAGTAACTTGACCAAAAATAGAGTATAAAGAAGCTTGATTCAAAGCAGATAGTATAGTCTCTTACTCCTCACCCACACTTAGGGATCCTCTTCCCTGAATCCTGTTTCAGGGTCAGAGGGGCAGGGAAGATGCTATGAAGTGAGCACCAGCTGTAGGAGTCATGGGTTCTAGCCCCAGCACTGCAGTCTTTCTGTTTGGCCTCTAGTAAGCAGTCTAAACTCCCTGGGCCTCAGGTCCACCATCTATGGGAGAGGGTGGGAGAAGTTATCTATTACCTTGCTACTCAAGGTGTGGCCGGTGGAAGGCTTCATCTGGTGGCTGATAAGCAATGCAGGAACTCAGGTCCTGATGCAGACCTACAGACTCAGAATCTGCCTTATTTATTTATTTATTGACAGAGTCTCACTCTCGTCACCCAGGCTGGAGTGCAATGGCGCAATCTTGGCTCACTGCAACCTCCGCCTCCCCGGTTCAAGCAAGTCTCCTGCCTCAGCCTCCTGAGTAGCTGGGATTACAAGTGTGAGCCACCGCACCCGGCCAGAATCTGGCCTTTTTTTTTTTTTTTTTTTTCTTTTGAGACGGAGTCTTGCTCTGTCACCTGTCGCCCAGGCTGGAGTGCAGTGGCGCGATCTCAGCTCACTACAAGCTCCGCCTCCCGGGTTCACGCCATTCTCCTGCCTCAGCCTCCCGTGTAGCTGGTACTACAGGCGCCCGCCACCACACCCGGCTAATTTTTTTTTTTTGTATTGTTAGTAGAGACGGGGTTTCACTGTGTTAGCCAGGATGGTCTGGATCTCCTGACCTCGTGATCCGCCCGCGAATTTGGCTTTTAACAGGCTCCTATGCATAGGCTCATTCAAGTTCAAGGATCGCGCGTTGAATGCTTCTTCCAGCCCTCGGTGCTATTGAAGTCTCGGCTGAGCCAGCTTCGGATGGCCTGGATGTGCGCTCCCTCTACTGGCTCAGAGATGAAACGCTTTCATTAGGAAACAGTTGCGTTTCCTTCTGATGGTTTTTCTAAGGTTTCCAGCTGGGGATTGAAACTCCAGCACGGGAGCTCCTAACAGGGGCATAGAGACTCCTAGAGCATGTGGCTGGGGCTTGAGTCTCCTCCTGAGTTTTGGAAACATGAACAAACAATGTGTGCTGCTGGAGGCCCATACACGGAGCATGTCCTCTCCAGCCTGGAGGTCCATACACGGAGCATGCCCTCTGCAGTGTATGGACCCCCTGGATGGCTGACTCCCAACTGCCATGGGACACTGTAGTCCATCTTCCGAACGTTTCGTCGTTGTCACTTCTGCTTTAACAAAAAAGGCAGCAGAAGGGGGAGGAAAGGATCTGCACGTGGGCTAGGAGGCCGATAACCGGGTTCTGTGGCTTAGTCATTTGCTGACTCTGAGAACTTCCACAGGTGACTCATCCATTAACCCTGCTTTCCTCTTCCATCAGCTGAAGAGTAGGGGATGGGAATGAGAGCAGAATAACGTCTCTGGACTGTTATGAAAGGTAAGGATGGTAACTGATACGAAAACTCTTTGACAACCTGAACCATTTCACAACTGTGAACTTGTGTGTTTCCATGATGCCACGATTGCCACTGGTCACTCTGGGGCAGACCTGGTCAATTTTGACCCCCTCTCCACCAGCTGTGCTCTTGCTTGGCCTAATTCTCTTAATTCTTATTATTTGTTGAGGTTAGGGTTTGTCAAGACTGGCACTGTTGACATTTGGGCCCAGATAATTCTTGGTTGTGGAGGCCTGTCCTGGGCTTGGTAAAATGTTGAGCAGCATCCTTGGCCCCTACTCATTACATGCCAGCAGCACCCAACACAGGCACGCATATCGTGATAACAAAAAATGCCTCTAGCACTTTGGGACGCCAAGGCAGGAGAATCACTTGAGCCCAGGAGTTTGATACCAGCCCTGGCAACACAGTGAGACCCCATCTCTACTGAAAAAAAAAAAAAAAAAAAAAAAAAGCTAGGCATGGCGCCACACATCTGTAGTTCCTGCTATGCAGGAGGCTGAGACAGGAGCATCATTTGAGCTTGGGAGGTCAAGAGAGCTGTGGTTGACACTGCACTCCAGTTTGGGCGACCAAGCAAGACCCTGTCTCAAACAAAAAAAATGCCTCCAGGCATTGCCAAATGTCCCCTGGGGGTGCTGGTTGAGGGTTGGGGCGGGGGGCGGGGGCGGGGAACAATCACTCCCAACTGAGAACTGCTGATCTAGATTTATTTATTTAGTTAGTTAGTTTTATTTTTGAGACGGGGTCTCACTTTGTCATCCAGGCCGGAGTGCAATGGCATGATCTTGACTCACTGCAACCTTTGCCTCCTGGGTTCAAGCGAACCCTCTTGCCTCAACCTCCCGAGTAGCTGGGATTACGGGTGCCCGCCAGCATGTCCAGCTAACAATATTTGTATTTTTAGTGGAGACAGGGTTTCACTATGTTGGCCAGGCTGGTCTTGAACTCCTGACCTCAGGTGATCCACCCGCCTCAGTCTCCCAAAGTGCTGGGATTACAGGCATGAGCCACTGCACCCAGCCTAGGATGTCTTTTGCAGTTAGACAAACTGCAGTTAGAATCCCACTTCTAATTCTATGGGCCCTTAGGCAATTTAACTTGTCAATCTTTCGGTTTCCTTATCTCTAAAATGGGAGGTAGTGAGGACGCACTGGAAACATGTATTGCTGTGTATTGGGCTTAAAATAGCCCCCCGCAGCCAGGCGCAGTGGCTCACGCCTGTAATCCTAGCACTTTAGGAGGCTGAGGCGGGAGGATCACTTGAGCTCAGGAGCTCAAAACCAACCTGGGCAACATGGTGAAACCCTGTCTCTACAAAAAATACAAAAATTAGCTGAGTATGATGGTGGGCACCAGTGGTCCCAGCTACTCGGGAGGCTAAGGTGGGAGGATTATCTGAGCCTGGGAGGTCGAGGCTGCAGTGAGCTATGATCATGTCACTGCACTCCAGCTTGGGTGACAGAATGAGACCCTGTCTCAAAAAAAAAAAAAATAGCATCCAGCACATGGCGAATGCTCAAAAATAAACAAACAAGAAACCTGGACATACTGATAAATTAACATTATAACTGTAAAAAAGTCATCGTTTTTATGCTCTGGGGATTAATTACCTTTCCAATCGGCCACACATTGAGCTGTGTGTCTAAAAGGCTAAGGATATCTTTGTAAGGACCTTAGCCCGAAGTCCTTAACGGTCCTCCACAGCTTGGTTAACAACAGGTCTTTTACATCTTCCTGTTTCACTCAGTTTTAAATGACTCATGTAGCCATGCATTTTGACAACTTTTCTTTGTTTTTTTTTTTGGAGACAAGGTCTCATTGTTCCCCAGTGTGGAGTGCAGTGGTGCCATCGTAGCTCACTGCAGCCTTGACCTCTTGGGCTCAAGTGATCCTCCTGCCTAAGTCCCTCAGTAGCTGGGACCACAGGCATGTAACACTATCCCCAGCTAATTTTTTCATTTTTGTAGAGGCGAGGTTTCATTATGTTGCCCAGGCTGCTCTTGAACTCCTGGGCTGAAGTGATTCTCTCGCCTTGGCCTCCCAAAGTGCTGAGATGACAGGCACGAGCCACTGAGCCTCGTCCTTGACAATTATTCTTGATGGGCTTGTTTGGTGTCAGCCACTGTGCTAGGGTTCTGCACCTTATTTCACTTCATTTGATCGGTGAAGGTTAGGCCCAGACCATGTAAAGAACAGAACCTGAATGAATAACCTCACTGCACAGCCTTGATTTAGATGTCACATTTCTTAGCTGAATTGGGTGAGTCCTTTGAACTTTAGTTTTCTCTCTCATATCCAGAGGCCGATGGCATATAAAGAAGTAGCAGGAAGCAGAAGCTTGGATTGATCTTTTTTTTTTTTTTTGAGAGGGAGTCTCCCTCTGTCACCCAGGCTGGAGTGCAGTGGCGTGATCTTGGCTCAGTGTAGCCTTCGCCTCCCAGGTTCCAGCGATTCTCCTGCCTCAGCCTTCCGGGTAGCTGGGATTATAGGCATGTGCCACCATGCCCAGCTAATTTTTGTATTTTTAGCAGAGACGGGGATTCACTGTGTTGGCCAGGTCTCAAACTCCTGACCTCAGGTGATCCACCTGCCTCGGCCTCCCAAAGTGCTATGATTACAGGTGTAAATCATTGTGCCCAGCTGGGATTGGTCTTTGATCATGGATTGATCCATGAGGGGAAAGAGTTAGCACTTCTAAGTGCTGTGGGAAAGCACTTTGCCCTTGGCAGAGGTTGGAGTAAGGTGTTTATGTGATCAGAACTATGCTATGAAATGATCTCCTGGCTACTCTCTGGGAGAGCATCCCAAATGAAGGCTGTGTAAAGCTCTCAGCACCAAAAATACTCCCCAGCCCAAACGTACCCTCTAAGCCAGCTGTCTACTTGACACATCCTCTTAGTATCCAAGAGGCATATCTGACTTAATATGAGCAAAGCAGGGGTTGAATTTTCACACAGCCCCCATTGAGACACAGACAAGGATACCCCAAAGTCTGTTACTTTGGCATGCAGAGCACTTCTGAGTTAAAGGAAAATGAAAGGCCTTAGAAACTGCTTCAGAACCAAGGATTTTCTAACCTTCTCTTGTTTCTGCCATCTTGAGTGCAGGGAGGGGCTCTGTATTAGTCTGTTCTCAGGCTGCTGTGAAGAAATATCTGGCACTGGGTAGTTTATAAAGGAAGAGGTTTAACTGACTCACAGTTCCACATGGCTGGGGAGGCCTCAGGAAACTTACAATCAAGGCGGAAGGCACCTCTTCATAGGGCGGCAGGAGAGAATGAGTGCCCAGTGAAGGGGGAAGTCCCTTGTAAAACCATCAAATCTCATGAGAACTGACTCACTATCAGGAGAACAGGATGCGAGAAACCACCCCCCATGATTCAATTATATCCACCTGGTCCCACCCACAACACATGGTGATTATGGGAACTATAATTCAAGATGAGATTTGGGTGGGGACGCAGCCTAACCATATCAGGCTTTCTCTGGAAGTTCCCTTATCTGACCGAGGAAAATTTCTTCCAAAAGAAATGCAATTGTCTTAATTTCTGTGAATATGCAAAGTGATTCCCAAATGCTGAGGGAGCCGAGGAACCAAAGAAGGAGGCAGACAGATCCATTGTGTTGACTTTGGGTGATTCATTGAAGGAACTTACAGACACAAGTGTGGTCTTAGGTGGTGGCAGGACAGGTAGCTCTCTGCACTGTTACTCCCCACACCAGGGCTACGCATATACCATAGGGAAAGGGTATGCTTGCTCCAGCAAGCCAATTAAAGGCAACCCTTCAGGACAGGCAAGAATGCTGAATGTATCATAGCCTATAATTTGTGTGATGACATCAAGGTCAACATGTTCTTACACTAGGAACAGTGAAGTAGGAATCAGGAGGCATTCATGGGACTGGGGTTAATCAGAAGTCAACGTGGTGGATTAGCATCCAAAATAACCAGAAAAAATTAACCACTGCAGAAGAGACTAAAAGTTGTCACCATGCTCGGGCTTTTCATCTATTTTGCCGAGAGTAATTCTGAGAGATTACCTAAAAGACTTAATCTGCATAATAAGACTACCTTTGTTTGCAGTGCAGTTCTGCCCCTCACCTTCCCATAACTTGTCCCATTCAGTTTCTAAAGAAAATAATTTACAAACTATTGTCTGCTTTTTTTTTTTAACTTTCATTTTAGTTCCAGGAGTACATGTGGAGGTTTGTTACATGGGTAAATTGCATGTCACAGGGGTTTGGTGTACAGATTATCATTCAGGTAATAAGCATAGTACCCAATAGTTTTTTTTATCTTCACTCTCCTCCCACCCTCCACCTCCATGTAGGCCCCAATGTCTGTTGGTCCCATCTTTATTTCCATATGTACCCAATGTTTAGCTCCCACTTATATGTGAGAACATATGGTGTTTGGTTTTCTGTTCCTGCATTAGTTCACTTAGGATAATGGCTTCTAGCTGTATCCATGTTGCTGCAAAGGACACAATCTCATTCGTTTTTATAACTGTGTAGTATTCTGTGATGTATATGGCACCACATTTTCTTTATCCACCATTGACGGACATTTTTTGATTCCATTTTTGCTATTGTGATAGTGCTTTCCACAGTGACTGAACTAATTTACTTTCCCACCAGCAATGTGTAAGCATTCCCTTTTCTCCACAAACTCGCCAGCATCTGTTATTTTTTGACTTTTTAGTAATAGCCATTCTGACTGGTTTCAGATGGTATCTCATTGTGGTTTGCTCTTTGGGTCCATTCAATTCCCCTAAAAATCATTTACAATCCTTCAAGTTGCCTACATTTCCCCCATCTCCCTCTATGTAAGTTTCAATCATTTGGCCTTTCTTTGAGTCTCATATTTTTGGAACTCCTGTGTTCATGTGCATGTTAATAAATTTGAATATGCCTTTTCTCCTGTTCATCTGTCTATTGCCAGTTCATTTCAGGGATCCTTCAGAGGGTAGAGAGGAAGCTTGTCCTTCACTCCTACAATAGTGTCACTATCCACTACTGGCTCAAGCTAAAAACCTAGGTGCCACCTTGTGTCCCCCTTTCCTTCTCCATCATCACCAAGTGCTGCTGGCCCTCAAAATGAGGAAGGTCTCCATTACATTTGCCCTAATTTTTTTTTTTTTTTTTTTTTTTTGAGAGAGAGTCTCGCTCTGTCGCCTAGGCTGGAGTACAGTGGTGCGATCTCAGATCACTGCAATCTCCACCTCCCAGGTTCAAGTGATTTGCCTGCTTCAGCCTCCTGAGTAGCTGGAATTACAGGTGCCCGCCATCACACCCAGCTAATTTTTGTATTTTTAGTAGAGACGGGGTTTCACCATGTTGGCCAGGCTGGTCTTGAACTCCTGACCCCAAGTGATCCTTGGCCGCCCAAAGTGCTGGGATTACAGGCATGAGCCACTGTGCTCAGCCTAGTGTAAGTTTTAAGTCACAATTATCCTCTCTGCTCTTGGGCCTCCATAGACCTCCCAACTAGCCTTCCTGCTTTAAATCCATTGGCCATGGAGTGATCTTTAAAAACCCAAGTCTGATCACGTCACTCTCCCATGTAAGATTCTTCATTGTCTTTCCTTTGCTCTTTGGCATAAACCAGTGGTCCTCAACCTTTTTGGCACCAGGGACAAGTTTTGTGGAAGACAATTTTTCCATGGATGAGGCGTGGGTAGGGGGGTGGTTTCAGGATGATTCAAGTGCATTCCATTTATCGTGCAGCTTATTTCTATTATGATTACATTGTAATACATAATGAAATAATTACACAACTTACCATAATGTAGAATCAGTGGGAGCCCTGAGCTTGTTTTCCTACAACTAGACAATCCCAACTGGGGGTGACGGGAGACAGTGACAGATCATCAGGCATTAGATTCTCATAAGGATCATGCAACCTAGATCCCTTGCATGTGCAGTTCACATGAGGGTTCATGTTCCTATGAGAATCTAATGCCACTGCTGATCTGACAGGAGGTGAAGCTCAGGCAGCAATGCTTGCTCACCTGCTGCTCACCTCCTGCTGTATGGCCTGGTTCCTAACAGGCCAAGGACCGGTACTGGTTGGGGACCCCTGGTGTAAACTCACTCCATGAGGTCCTGCATGATGAGGCCCAGCCATGCTGACATCATTTTTTTCCCTTAAACACATTAAGCTTCTTCCCATCTCTGGGCCTTTGGGATACTGTGCCCTCTGCTAGGAACACCCTCCCTGTGTGCTTGGCATGGTGACAACTCATGTTTTGGTTCAAATAGAAGAAATCTCTGATTGCTGTGGCTAAAGCATGCTCTCCCAATTACTTACCACCCTTTTACTTATCTTCAGCGGAGTTGGTCTAATATTTTGTTTACTTGTTGTAGCAAGGTGGACTACTAAGGACCCTAGTAAGGACTCTTAAGGCAGAGCCCATGGTCCCCTCTGTGGTTTACCTGCCCTTGGGTGATCCCCTCCTCATGAGAGTGGGTGGTGGTTTCTGGGACTCGTTTCTAACCAGCAGAACACAGATAAAGTGATCCAGTGTTCATGATTGTGCATGCATGATTACGTTCCCTAAGAATGTAACGTCTATCTTGCTGAGAGGCTCTCCCTTGATGGCTTTGAAGAAGCCATTGACCACACTGAACTGTCATGGGGAGGGGAATATGCAGCAAGGAATGGAGGGCTTAAGTCGTGTTGCCAGCTGGATGCTGCCAACAACCATGTGAGCTTGGAATGTGGTCCTTCCCCAGTCAGACCCCAAATGAGAACACAGCCCTGATGACACTGTGATCACAGGCTTACAAAAGATCTAGCCAAGCCATGCCTGGACCCCTAACACATGAAGAATGTGAGATAAGAAATGCCTGTTCTTTTAAGCCAATAGTTGCTGGTAAACTGTTACATAGCAACAGATATGCTTGCTCACTCACTCTTGCATTAGAAAGAAAACTTCAGAAGGGAGACCATTGCATTCTTCATTATTAAAGCTGCAGAACCCAGCTGGGTAGATAGCATAGAGAGATAATATCAGACAGTTGTATGAATGAAGGAAACATCCAATAAACAGTAACTGTTAATATTAATAGTTATATTAATAGTGGGCTGATCTATCGCCTCCCCTGTTTCTTGAATGGCCACCATCCCAGCCCTGTCCCATCTGCATATCCCATCCTCCTAGCCACCATGATTGGTCTGGGGTCGCTCACATGACCCAAGTCTATCCAATCAGAGCCAAACCCAGAATATTTGTATATACTGTTGGAAAAAAGCAGTTTTCTTGCCCAGGATGGAGCTCCTGGGACCTCCGAAAGGGGTGGCGGGCCTGCCTGCAAAAGCAGCTCACACTGAGGAAAGCTATACTGAGAGATGAGGGGTGAGAGATGCTTAATGACACCACCTGAGCCCCTGGAATCAGCAGCACCTCAAGATCTACCCCTTGGCTTTTTGGTTGAGTGAAACTAATCCTTCTCCCTACCACCCCTCTTTTTAAAGTAATGTGGAATTGGGTGTCTATTGCGAGCAACTAAAAAAATCCCTATTACCCAGCACCAGTCATGAAATCGACAGAGGAATAGGCAGGTCTGATGTATGGAGCAGAAGGGAAAAAGAGTAAAGAAAAAAAGCCCACCCAAATAAATATTTAATGAAATGCCACGCAAATAAACCACTCAGTAATTCCACTGGGAAATCCCATAGGAAGTTTTATTTTTACTTACTAGTCCTTTAGCATTTTTATTTTAAGAAATGGCTTAGGCTGGGCACAGTGGCTCACGCCTGTAATCCCAGCACTTTGGGAGGCCAAGGCAGGTGGAGCACCTGAGGTCAGGAGTTTGAGACTAGCCTGACCAACATGGTGAAACCCCATCTGTACTAAAAAAAATACAAAAAAAAACTAGCCGGGCACGGTGGCGGGTGCCTGTAATCCCAGCTACTTGGGAGGCTGAGGCACGAGACTCACTTGAACCTGGGAGTTGGAGGTTGCAGTGAGCCGAGACTGCACCATTGCACTCCAGCCTGGGCAACAAGAGGGAAACTCCGTCACAAAAAAAAAAAAAAAAAAAAAAGAAAGAAATTACTTAAAGGACAAGCTCTTTAGAACAATACAACAGTACCAAGTGCAAATATGTAAAAGATTAACAGTACTTAACAGTACTCAACAGTTACAGTGGAAACTACACCTTTAGACTTTTTTGAAAATACTCTTGGCCACAAAGTTACATTTGGACTCTATTTTCCAACTTGGAGAGGCCAAATGTTGCTGTTCTTTCTGATAAAAAGCAAATACCACAGAAGGGCTTGTTCTGTTTTGGATTTTTTTTTTCATTTTGTTTCACATGAGTGAAAAAATTAACAGCTGCCCTCATTTCTGAAAACAAAAAACTATAAACAATCACTGTTGCTCCCAATGGGACCGTTGGACATAAGCCCTGAGGCTTTGGGGTCAACGGGCTAGACTCTAGAAGCCCAGGACCCCGCCAAGGTCAAGTCTGCATACTTGGGGCAGGGCGAGCTGTTGAACCATCGCATTTCTCTGCTGCTTCTTTACATGGGAACCAACACAAGAACAACACAATCCCTAAATTGGCTGCTGCGGGATCCTACAAGTAAGTGAAAAAGCGAGAGGACACAGCCAAGGAGTGCTTGCCTACCCAGCCCCCTTCTTCTAAGCCATAATCCCAAGGGGTGAGTATGATCCAGCAGTACTTGAAAAGAAGCCCGGCCTCTGAGCAGTCACTCATTCCTGGTAAAGCCCCTCGAATTCTGCAGACTTCATGGCTGGCAGAAAGTCACAACTGGTGTTTTGCTGTGTCAGTGGCCTGTCGGATAACAAGAAGAGATCGTTAGCTCTAGGGCCTCAGTAAAGAGCAACGTTGGAAGTGTGCATAGCTGAATACATGATGTTCTTTTTCCTGATTTTTAGCTGCTTCTTGCAACCACACCAGGCCTATGTCCATTATACAGATGAAGAAACTGAGGGCACAGGAGGTTAAAATGACCAGGTTAGGAGTAGGGTTACGGCCCCTTTTCCATTTTCTAATTTGGATATTTATTATGTTTTTCTTAATTATCTGTGTCCTCACAACAACCCAGTGAGAATGGTAGATTAAGAGTAGCCATTTTGTCTATTTTACCAATGGACAAAAACTGAAATCAGAGAAGTCAAGCAGCCCGTTCAAGACCACACAGCTGAAAACATGGCAGGGCGGGGATTCAGACCATATCTTCTGATTTCAATTAGTTTCTTGACACCTTCCATGGAAAGGAGTTCGGGGGAGGATTGTATTAGTCCGTTCTTATGTTGCTAATAAAGACCTGAGACTGGGTAATTTATAAAGAAAAAGAGGTTTCATGGACTCACAATTCCACATGGCTGGGGAGGCCTCACAATCATGGTGGAAGGCAAAGGAAGATCAGAGGCACTTCTTACATGGCGGCAGGCAAGAGAGCATGTGCAGGGGAAATGCCCTTTATAAAACCATCAGATCTCGTGAGACCTACAATCAGGAGAACAGCAACCAGCGGCCATCTGACAAAGTTCTAGTCAATGAAGTCTTTTGAAGTATAGTGGTGAGAGGTCCTGGGAAATATTTTATTCACATTTTTAAAAGGGTCAGACTCCATTTTTTTCTCCTTTTCTGCTGCCTTGAAGGTAGCTGGTAGATCTGGAGCTGCAGCAGCTATCTTGTGGCCATAAGGTAGGAAACCAATGGGCTAAGGATAGCAACACAGGAAGGCAAAAGGTGCCTGGTATGTTGATACCACACTGGCTGCACCAGCCCTGGGCTGTCTCCAGTTTTTCATTAAGCAATAAAAAAAAGTTCCCTGTGTGTTTAAACTAGTATCTACTTTGGTTTTTTTCATTATTTGCCACCTAAACCATTCCTCCCTGATAACAAAAAACTAAGAAAGAAGCCTTTCCTTTTCTTAGTAAAGATGTAAGGAAGCTAGTTATGCTCAGGCTGGTTTGGAAGATTATGATATGGGGTAGTGAGTTTGGTGGCTCTGCAAATAAACACAGCTGCCCAGGGCCCCTACTTCTCCTGAGCTGCAGGCCCTGGAAGGTCTTGCAGTCTCCATAACCAAGCAGTGTGGTTTTGCCCCTCAGAGGCTAGCTGATCTACATAGGAGGCAGGTCAGTGTATTTGATCTAAATATTGTTTAGTTGGGTTTCATATGTAAGGGAAACTTACAGTTTTGTTTCCTTTTTCTTTTCTTTTTTAAAAATTTAAGCTGTATTATCTTTTATGTTTTAGGGCCAAAATTCCATTAAATCATGAAATAAATTATATAGCTCCTCTTCCCCCCATTCCATGCTTTCGATCATTTAATGAGGGAGTTATCTTTTTTTGAGTTATAAAGAATTCACTAATGCAGGCTGGGTACAGTGGCTTACACCTATAATCCCAGCATCTTGGGAGGCTGAGGTGGGTGGATCACTTGAGCTCAGGAGTTCAAGACCAGCCTGGCCAACATGGTGAAACCCCACCTCTACTAAAAACACAAAAATTAGCCATGCATGGTGGTGCACACCTATAATCCCAGCTACTCGGGAGGCTGAGACAGAAGAACTGCTTGAACCCAGAAGGGAGAGGTTGTGTGAACCAAGATCAAGCCACTGCACTCCAGCCTGGGTGAGAGTGAGACTCGTCTCAAAAAAAAAAAAAAAAAAAAGAATTCGCTAATGCAAGGGTTCTCAGATGAAAACCATGTTCACAATAACATGACCTATTATATGCCTTTTTCACTCACATTCTCTCACAAGGGAACAGTGCAATTTTTCAAAATATATTTGGAAGATCTGCATGACTCAATGAATTGATATTCTCCCATTGACCAATGGGTAAAGTTAGAAAATCATGCATGATAAAGATCAATTTAAAGTGTGACACAGACCTGAAGATTTCAATAAAATAGAGTAGAAAAATTTCACATTTCAGCTAACCTTTAAGAAACTATCACTTACGGAGTTTTGGTGGACTATCATAGAATATCCACAATCGTTTAAAAAAGCTTTGCCTCCCTCTCCCAACCGCATGTTAGTGATGCTAGGTCTTCTTCAAATACTCCAAACAGGACAACATAGCACAACAGAATGAATGCAGCCACACAAACGAGAAGCCGGCTGACAACTGTTAAGGCAGATATGAAAGAGATCTGTAAAATGTAAAATAATACCACTCACAAATTTCATTTTGTTTTGGAAAATATAGTTACTTTTCATTAAAATTTGTTATTTATATCAACAGGTAATATTGTTCCTTTTAAATGAATAGATATTTTTAAAATTTATGCTATGATTTCTCATAGAATAATTATTTCAGAACAAGAAACAATGAGGAAGAAAATTTTTTAAAAAGAAATAATTATTAATATTCTTTTTTTTTTTTTTTCCAGACAGAGTCTAGCTCTGTCACCCAGGCTGGAGTGCAGTGGTACAATCATAGCTCACTGCACCCCCAACCTCCCAGGCTCAGGCCATCCTCCCTCCTCAGCCTCTTGAGTAGCTGGGACCACAAGCATGCACCAGCTAATATTTAATTTGATTTAATGTAATTTATGTTATGTTTATTTTAATTTATTTTATTGTATATAGTTTTATGTCATGTTAGTTATTTATTTTATATTTCAGCTCATTTCATTTGTTTTTTGAGACAGGGTCTTGCTCTGTTGCCCAGGCTGGAGTGCAATGGTGTGATCACAGCTCACTGCAGCCTTGAACTCCTGGGCCCAAATGATCCTCCCATCTCAGCCTCCTGAGTAGCTGGGACTACAGGCACGCACCACCACAGTTGGCTAATTTTTGTATTTTTTGTAGAGATGTGGTCTTGCCATGTTGCCTAGGTTGGTCTTAAACCCCTGGCCTCAAGTGATCTTCCCTCCTTGGCCTCCCAAAGTGCTATTAATACAATTAACCACATAAATAACATCTCTTCAGATGCCTCAATAATTTTTAAGAAGGTAAAATGGGACTTGAGAACAAA